>NC_000016.10:57289772-57592803 GCF_000001405.40 Homo sapiens
TCTAAAACAGTAGGGTGTTTTTGTTTTGGTTTTGGTTTGGATTTTGTGGGTTTTTTTTTTTTTGTTAATCCCACTTTCATTCTTTTCAAATGGCAGCAAGCAAGACTGAAAAGACTGAATCACTCCACTGTTTTTCACTTTGACATTTTCTCCCAAACCAACTTCACTCGCCCCCCAGTCAGAAAAAGTGGGAAGGAACCTGTCCCCAGACTGGAACCAGCTGCCCACCCACAGTCTCCGCTGGCGCCACGGGGTCCTGGATTCTTAGGATGGGGTGGGGGGACAGACAGCCTGTCTACTGCCAGGACCGGCCTCCCCTTCCCGGGCTCTGAGCAGCCTATCTCCACACGGGATACCTGCAGTACATGTCTTGCCTCAGTTTTCTCCAGTTCTACAAAAGTTCCCTGCTCTGACCTTATCCCCACTGCGTACTGGGCCTGCCCAGCTGTGGCCCCAGCTACTCAGCTACTCAGCAGTGGGGGTTCAGGCACGAAGCAGATGTTTAGTGTGTGCCTCGGGAGTGCCAGGCCCTGGGGATGGAGCTGTGAGCTGTGATGAGGGCCCCCACCTTCAAGGAGTCTAGTGGGGGAGACAGACAGTCTAGATGTACAAACCCACCAAGAAATAGCAACTCACCAGTAGTGATGATGTCACCACAGAAAAAGGGCAGGGAGCCAGGGGAGAGAGTAATTCTGAGGATTGGGAGTTGTCATTTAGATAACTGGGTCAAGGAAGGTCTAAACATTTTAGCAGAGACCTGGAGGATGAACAAGAATCAGACAGGAGAAGAACATTGCAGGCAGGGAAAACTGCCTTCTGTGCAAAGGCCCTGAGTCAGGGAAGACTTTGAGATCTCTGAGGAAGCACCGAGGGATAAGAGTTGGGAAGATAGGGAGAGATGAGGTTCAACAGGCAGCCAAGAGTCAGATCACTTGGGTCTTAAACCACTGAAGGATTTACACTATTAGATTTACAATTGTTGTTGTAGCTGGGTGTGGTGGCTCACACCTGTAATCCCAGCACTTTGGGAGGCCAAGGCAGGCGGATCACCTGATTTCAGGAGTTTGAGACCAGCCTGGCCAACATGGTGAAACCCTGTCTCTACTAATACAAAACAATTAGCCGGGTGTGGTGGTGCATGCCTGTAATCCCAGCTACTTGGGAGGCTGAGGCAGGAGAATCACTTGAACCCAGGAGGCAGAGGTTGCAGTGAGCTGAGACTGCACCATTGCACTCCAGCCTGGGCAACAAGAACAAAACTCTGTCTCAAAAAAAAAAAAAAAAGACAATTGTTGTTGACACAGGGTCTCACTCTGATGCCCAGGCTGGAGTGCAATCGCATGATCATGTCCCTCTGCAGTCTTGAACTCCTGGGCCCGAGTGATCCTCCCAGTTTTACTTCCCCAGTAGCTAGAACTATAGGCGTGTACCACCATGCCCAGCTAATTATTTTATTTTATTTTTATTTTTAACTTATTTTTACCATTTGTTGTTGAGACGGACTCTTACTCTGTTGCCCAGGCTGGAGTGCAATGGCGCAATCTCAGCTCACTGCAACCTCCACCTCCTGGGTTCCAGTGATTCTCCTGCCTCGGCCTCCAGAGTAGCTGGGACTACAGGCACCTGCCACCACGCCCGGCTAATTTTTTTGTATTTTTAGTAGAGATGGGGTTTCACTGTGTTAGCCAGGATGGTCTTGATCTCCTGACCTTATGGTCCACCCGCCTTGGCGACAGGCCTAATTTTTTTTTTTTTTTGAGATGGAGTCTCCCTCTGTCGCCGGGGCTGGAGTGCAGTGGCACGATCTCAGCTCACTGCAACCTCCACCTCCTTCTCCTGCCTCAGCAATTCTCCTGCCTCAGCCTCCCGACTAGCTGGGACTACAGGCACCCGCCACCACACCCAGCTAATTTTTTTTTTTTTTTGTATTTTTAGTAGAGACAGGGTTTCACCGTGTTAGACAGGATGGTCTCGATCTCCTGACCTCGTGATCCACCCGCCTTGGCCTCCCAAAGTGCTGGGATTACAGGCGTGAGCCACCGCGCCTGGCCTAATTTTTTTATTTTTTGTAGAGACAGGGTCTCGCTGTGTTGCCCAGGATGGTCTCGAACTCCTGGCCTCAGGGAATCATCCTGCCTCGGCCTCCCAAAGAGCTGAGAGCACAGGCTTGAGCCATCACACTCTGCCTTTTACAATTTTAAGAAATTCACAGAAAGGTTCCCATGGGAGTTCATCTAACAGCTTCCAAAAGCCAACTTCAACGAGTTGCTGATTGCAGTCAACAAATATTGATTGAGTACTTTTCCAACTGGCCCTATGCTTGGTGCTGTGGGAATGGTTCCTTTTTTTTTAAAATACATTTTATTGTGTATATATAAGATATACAATATGTTGTAAGATACATATAGAGTAAAATGGTTACTGTAGTGAAACAAACTAACATATCCATCATTTCACATGGGTACCCATTTTCCTCCCTGTGGCAAGAGCAGCTATAATCTGCTCATTTAGCAAAGATCCTGAATACAACACACTGTTATTAACTATAACCCTCATGCTGTACATTAGGTCTTTCCACTTCTTCATCCTACATGTTTGCCACTCTGTACCCTTTGACCTACATCTCCCCATTTCCTAGTTAGTTTTGAGGGCTTTTTTTTTTTTTTTTTTTGAGACAGAGTCTCTCTCTGTCACCCAGGCTGGAGTGCAGTGGCGCGATCTCGGCTCACTGCAATCTCTGCCTCCCGGGTTCACGCCATTCTCCTGCCTGGGACTACAGGCGCCCGCCACCATGCCCGGCTAAGTTTTTGTATTTTTAGTAGAGACCGGGTTTCATCGTGTTAGCCAGGATGGTCTCAATCTCCTGACCTCGTGATCCGCCTGCCTCGGCTTTCCAAAGTGCTGGGATTACAGGCGTGAACCACCTACCCAGCAAGATCTAGCTTTTGTGCTCAGCCTCTGGGTGTTGACCTCTAAACCCTTGGAATGTCATATCTGATAGTCATTGTTTAGGGTGGAGCTGGCCACACCTGATAGTCTAACAATGTGGTTTAGCCTGGGGTCTGGCTGCAGCAGGTCACCGAACAGTGTGGCTTAGGGTGGAAGCTTTGGGACACAAGATATGGACCCACATAGCTGGACCTTAGGAGGAGCTGGAGTCTGAGATTTGCCACCTGGGCAGTCAACCCTGCCTGCATGATGGGACCTCAATAAAGACTCTAGACACCAAGACAGTGAGTTTACTAGGGTGGCAATAGTCTGTGCACATTGTCACACATTGATGCTGGGAAAGTAACGCTGTCCCTGATTCCACAGGGAGAGGATAATGGAGGTTCCAGGTTTGGAACTTTCCTAGCCCCTTCCCTATACACCATTTCCCTTGGCTGGTTTTAATCCATATCCTTCAGCTGTAATAAACTGCAGCTATGGTTATACAGCTTGCAGCGAGTTCTGTGAGTCCTGGCTGATTATGGAACCTAAGGATGGTTTGGGGAAACCCTGAACTCTGTCGTTGTGTGAGCAGTGTCACTCAGCCACCTTGTTTATGCTTTTCTTTTTCTTTCTTTTTTTTTTTTTTTTCTGAGACGGAGTCTGTCCTCTAGGTTCGAGTGCAGTGGTGCGATCTCAGCTCACTGCAACCTCCGCTCCTCGGGTTCAAGCAATTCTCCTGCCTTGGCTTCCCGAGTAGCTGGGACTCCAGGCCTGCGCCACCACACTCAGCTAATTTTTGTATTTTTAGTAGAGACAGGGTCTCCCTATGTTGCCCAGACTGGTCTTGAACTCCAGGGCTCAGTGATTTGCTCGCCTCGGCCTCCCAAAGTGCTGGGATTATAGGTGTGATCCACCGAGCTCAGCCCAGCCAATATGTTTTACTTTATAAGACATTGTGAAACTGGCTGGGTGTGAATGGTTCATGCCTATAATCCCAATCCCAACACTCTGGGAGGCGGAGGCCAATGATGGTGAGGGCATCATTTGAGGCCAGAAGTTCGACACAGCCTGGGCAACAGAGTGAGAGAGACCCTGTCTCTATTTTTTAAAAAACAAAATAAAATTATATATACATATAATAATTCAAGGGATTCTCCTGCCTCAGCTTCCCAAGTATCTGGGACTACAGGTGTGTGCCACCAAGCCTGGCTAATTTTTGTATTTTTAGTAAAGATGGGGTTTTACCGTGTTGGCCAGGCTGGTCTCAAACTTCTGACCTCAGGTGATCCACCCACCTTGGCCTCCCAAAGTGCTGGGATTACAGGCATGAGCCACCTCACCCAGCCAAATAATAATTTTAAAAAGATATTGTGGCCGGGCACAGTGGCTCACGCCTGTAATCCCAGCACTTTGGGAGGCCGAGGCAGGCGGATCACAAGGTCAGGAGATCGAGACCATCCTGGCTAACACAGTGAAACCCCGTCTCTACTAAACATATAAAAAATTAGCGGGGCTTGGTGGCGGGTGCCTGTAGTCCCAGATACTCGGGAGGCTGAGGCAGGAGAATGGTGTGAACCTGGGAGGCAGAACTTGCAGTGAGCCGAGATCAGGCCACTGCACTCCAGCCTGGGCACAGAGCGAGACTCCGTCTCAAAAAAAAAAGATATTGCAAAACCGTTTTCCAGTGGCCGGGCGTGGTGGCTCACACCTGTAATCCCAGCACTTTGGGAGGCCGAGGCGGGCGGATCACGAGGCCGGGAGATCAAGACCATCCTGGCTAACACGGTGAAACCCCGTCTCTACTAAAAATACAAAAAAAAAAAAAAAAAAAAATAGCCGGGTGTGGTGGCGCGCGCCTGTAGTTCAGCTACTCGGGAGGCTAAGGCAGGAGAATGGCGTGAACCCGGGAGGCGGAGCTTGCAGTGAGCCGAGGTCGCCCCACTGCACTCCAACCTGGGTAACAGAGCGAGACTCCGTCTCAAAAAAAAAAAAAAAAAAAAAAAGAATCAATGTTTGGCCAGGCACGGTGGCTCAAGCCTGTAATACTAGCACTTTGGTAGGCGGGGGCAGGTGGATCACTTGAGGTCAGGAGTTTGAGACCAGCCTGGCCAACATGGCAAAACCCCGTTTCTACTAAAAATACAAAAGTTAGCTGGGCGTGGTGGTGGGCGCCTATAATCTCAGATACTCAGGAGACTGAGGCAGGAGGGTCACTTGCAACTGGGAGCCGGAGGTTGCAGTGAGCCGGGATTGCACCACTGCACTCCAGCCTGGGCAACAGAAGGAGACCCTGTCTCAAAAAAAAAAAAAAAAAAAATTTCCAAAGTGGCCTCACCATTTACATTCCCATTGGCAATATATGAGAGACTTCTAGCAGTAGCTTCTCATCCTTGCTAATACTTAGTATTGCCAGTTTTTTTAAAAAGCCATTCTAATAGGTATGCAGTAGTGTCTCATTGTGGCTTTACTGTTTATTTCCATAATAACTAACGATGGTTGGGCATCTTTTCATGTGGTTATTAGCCATTCATATATCTTCTTTGCTGAAGTGTCTCTTTAAAGCTTTTGCCCATTTTAAAATTGGGTTGTCTCCTTATAATTGAGATATAACTGGATGCAAGTGCTTTATCAGATATATCTGATTTTAAAAAATCTTGTGAATATTTTCTCCCAGTCTGTGGCTTGTCTTTTATTTTTTAACAGTGTTTTCGGCTGGACTGTGGCTCACACCTGTAATCCCAGCACTTTGGGAGGCCCAGGTGGGCTGATCGCTTGAGCCCAGGAGTCTGAGATCAGTGTGGCCAACATGGTGAAACCCTGTTTCTACCAAAAAAATACAAAAATTAGCCAGTCATGGTGGTGTTCCTGTAATCTGAGCTACTTGGGAGGCCAAAGTGGGAGGATCACTTGAGCCCAGGAGGCGGAGGTTGCAGTGAGCCGAGATCACGCCACTGCACTCCAACCTGGGTGACAAAGCCAGGCTAATTTTGAAGAGCAAAATTTTTATTATTTTTTTTTTTTATTTTAAAGATAGGGTCTCCTTCTGTCACCCAGGCTGGAGTCCAGTGGCATGACCATAGCTCACTTCAACCTCAAGCTCGTGGGCTCAAATGATCCTCTCACCTCAGCTTCCCAAGTAACTGGGACCCCAGGTGTGAGCCACCTTGCCTGGCTATTTTTTTTTTTTTTAGAGTCGGGTCTCACTATGTTGCCCAGGCTACATTTGTGTCACAACTAATGAGCCAATATTGCTACATTGTTATTAAATACTTATTCAGAGTTCTTCAGTTTTCTCCCAATGTGCTTTTTCTGTTTCCAGGATACCATCTGGGATACCACAGTACATTTAGTCATCCTGTGTCTATAGACTCCACTTGGCTGTGACAGTTTCTCAGACCTTCCTTGTTTTGGATGACCTTGAACATTTTGAGGAGTACTGGTCAGGGTTTTTTTTTTCTTTGTTTTGTTTTGTTTTGAGACAGAGTCTCACTCTGTCACCCAGGCTGGAGTGCAGAGGCGTGATCTCACATCCCTGCAACCTCTGCCTCCCGGGTTCAAGTCATTCTCCTGCCTCAGCCTCCCAAGTAGCTGGGATTACAGGCACGCACCACCATGCCTGGCTAATTTTTGTATTTTTAGTAGAGACAGGGTTTCACGATGTTGGCCAGGCTGGTCTCAAACTCCCGACCTCAGGTGATCCACCTGCCTCAGCCTCCCAAAGTGCTGGGATTACAGGTGTGAGCCACCACACCCGGCCCTGTTCAGGGGTTTTGTAGGATGTTCCTCAATTGCGATTTGTCTGATATTATTTTGTCATGATTAGACTTTGAGTAATGTATTTTTGGAAGGAAGACTACAGAGGTAAATTGCCTCTCAAGGATACCTACTATCAATGGAACCTATCAATGTTGATGTTGACCTTGATCACCTAGTAAGATTGTATTTATGTATTTATTTTTTATTTTTTGAGATGAAGTCTCACTCTGTTGCCCAGGCTGGAGTTCAGTGGCACAATCTTTGCTCACTGCAACCTGTGCCTCCTGGGTTCAAGCAATTCTTCTGCCTCAGCCTCCCGAGTAGCTGGGATTACAGGCACGTGCCACCATGCCTGGCTAATTTTTGTATTTTTAGTCGAGATGGGGTTTCACCATGTTAGCCAGACTGGTCTCGAACTCCTGACCTCAAGTGATCCACCTGCCTCAGCCTCCCAAAGTGCTGGGATTACAGTTGTGAGCCACCGCGCCCGGCCCATTTCTGGTTTCTACTTAGCTTTTTTCACTTAACTCTTTGTCTTGAGATTTTTCCGTGGTATGAACCCTTTTATTTTTTTATTTTTTATTTTTGTAAAGTAGGTTTGTGTTATTTATTTCTTTCATCACACAGTAAATATGGACCAAGCCCTATTATGTGCCAGGCCCTAGCCCCAGGGGTCCGGCTAATCACCAAGCCACAGATGGGGGGTGTTAGGGAGAGCCATTAAAAAAAGGATTACCCAGATAATGTGTTCATTACAGATGTGCTTGGATGGAGATCCAGGGAGCTGGGAGAGTCTGTGCCAGACAACTCGATTTGTAGGGGTGAGCAGGGAAGGCTTCCCGGTGGTGGAAAGATCTGGAGTGTGAGGGTGGCCTTCTTGGTGTTGAACAGAGAGACAAGGCCCTGGCCAGAGCTGCCTCCAGAGAAGCAGAGAGGGGCACAGGTGGGAGAAGTTCTGATCCCTCACTTCCTGGGGTCCCTGAGATCCAGCAACCTGCCTGCCCACCCTTCCCTCTGTCTCATGAGCCAACAAATCTCCCTTTTTTGCCAAAACGAGGGCAAGCTGAGTTTCTGTCTTTTACACCCAAAGAAACCGATGAATGGCGTTACAGTCCCCCAGCGTTTTTGGCACCAGGGACTGGGACTGGTTCTGTGGAAGACTATTTTTCCAGAGGAGGTAGGGGTGGGTTAGGAGGGTGGTTTTGGGATGATTCAAGCACATTATGTTCATAGTGCACTTTATTTCTATTATTATAACATTGTAATAGATAATGACATAATTATACAACTCACCATAATGTAGAATCAGTGGGATCCCTGAGTTTGTTTTCCTGCAACTGGACGGTCCTATCTGGAGGTGATGGGAGATCATCAGGCATTAGATTCTCATAAAGAGTGTGCAGCCTAATCCCTTGCACGCACAGTTCACAATAGGGTTCACGCTGCTATGAGGATCTAATGCTGCCCCTGATCTGACAGGAGGCGGAGCTCAGGCGATAATGCAAGCGATGGGGAGTGGCTGTAGATACAGATGCAGCTTCCTTAGCTTGTGTGTGGCTCACCTCCTGCTATGCCGCCGGTTCCTCACACGTCACAGACCGCTATAGGGGTTAGGGACCCCTGCCCCAACTCCTCCCTTCCTTCCTGTATGGCTGAGAGAGGTGAAGTGATCTACCCAAGGTCACACGGCAGGAATTCAAACGCAGTACTTCTCAACCTGTTCAAGGTTTAGCAGGGGCCTCCGGGATCCACCAGCCACGTTTGTGATGAGGGGGGAGGTGAACTCAGAGCAGTTTTGGGGAGACTGAACAGCGAAGTGGTGGGGAAAGTTGGTTTCAGACCAAAGATATTATAGAAAATTACCCCTGGATGGAATCTTCCAAATCAAATTGTGCTTTAGGGCACTGGTAGAATAATGAGTCTCCTCATCATATCCTAATCTCTGGAACCTGTGGCTCTGTTACTTTAAATGGTTAAAAGAGAGTTTGCAGCTGTGGTTAAATTAAGGCTTTGGGCCGGGCGCATTGGCTCACACCTGTAATCCCAGCACTTTGGGAGGCGGGTGGATCACTTGAGGTCATGAGTTCAAGACCAGTCTGGTCAACATGGCGAAACCCCGTCTCTACTAAAAATACAAAAATTAGCCAGGCATGGTGGTGTGTGCCTGTAGTCCCAGCTACTCAGGAGGCTGAGGATGAGGCAGGAGAATTGCTTGAACCCAGGATTCGGAGGTTGCAGTGAGCCGAGTTCGTGCCACTGCACTCCAGCCTGGGCAACAGAGTGAGACTACTTCTCAAAATAATAACAATAATAATAATAATGGATTTGGAGATGGGGTGATGACCCTGGGTTATCAGACAGGCCCAGTGTAATCACAAGGGTTGTTATAAAGAGGTTAGGCAGGAGGGTCAGAGTCAGAGAAGGTGATGTGAAGACAGAGCAAAGTTTGGAGTGGTGTGGACTGAGGAGCCAAAGAATGTGGGTGGTCTCCAGCAGCTGGAAGAGGAAAGGCAATGGATTCTCCCTTCTGGCCTCCAGACGGAATGTAACCCTGTGACCCATTTTAGACTTATGACCTCCAGAACTGTAAGATAAATAAATGGGATGGTTTTAAGCCACCAAATTTGTAGTTATGTGTTACAGCAGCAATAGAAACTCTTGAATCTCCTTGGCAGCATTTCCACCAAGTGACCATCGATCCTCGTCTTGAATGCCTCCAGCGACAGGGATATCACTACCAATACAGTCACCCTGTTTCCTTTCCAGCAAACTCTTTCTTCTCCCAAACCCATCCTCTGTAACTATTCACCCACTGCACCCCCACCTCGGGCCCCAGTTCTTGGAGCAAAAAGGACAGGCAGACACAATCCCAACCCCTTGTATATCAGGCTTTTGTAGACAGATAATAATTCTCTTCCCCAAGCTTAACAATCTCCAACTTTTTCCCTTGATCAGCTTATTAGAAAGGTCTAAAAGCCAACTCTTTCTGAATGAGGCCCTAGGTAATCATTTGCAGAGTGGGATCTCCCAACCCAAGGCCTCCCGTCCTGAGGAGCGGATGACAAAAACCTTATAGAGCGTCCTCCTTCCAACAATAATTCTCCAAACCCCGCCCCCTACTCCGCCAGTGCCCCATTCACAGCCCGAAACATCCGACCGGTATTAGTAATAGTTCATAATACCACCACTTGAGGCTCAGAGCCTGGGCAGGCAGCTAGAATTTAGCAACGTTATTTCGTTTTCATTGTGTTTATTTCTGTTGATGGTAAGGGAAACTGATTTTCCATTTAAATTATCTGTGTATTCAGTTGAAAGCGCCAGTTTGACCACAGCAGTGAGTCTCGCTGCACCGGATGGGTTTGGTTGTGGATAACCTAAGCTGCAGGCCGGACTCGGAACTGCCCGGGACACCGCCTCTGGGTTCTGAGTCCCGAGCGTCGTTGAAGCATGAGAGGAACTACATCAGACCCCAAAATAGTCTCTCCTAGGAAGTCAGGATGGCCGAGCGGTCTAAGGCGCTGCGTTCAGGTCGCAGTCTCCCCTGGAGGCGTGGGTTCGAATCCCACTTCTGACAAGCGCTCTTTTCCGGTATTTCAGAAGAGAAATCTTCGACGACCGCACACCAAGAGAGGCCCTCAAACACAGAGGACCGTACGTTTTACACACAATCCAAAGTCTAAATGAATGTCTGTGGGGAAGAAAAAGTCTGACAGGACGTGGTCGTGTGATTCTGAACTCCCAACTTCGGAGGAGGTTGAGGCGGGAGGATGTCGCCACCACACTCCAGCTTAGGCGACAGAGCGAGATTCTTTTTTAAAAAAGAAAATGCTCGTTAATAAGAAAATACTCGTTTTGTAAAACAATTAAGATTATGCGAACATATACGCACAAGACATCATAACCTCATTGATCTGTAAAAGAATAAAAAAAGATTATAAGAACATATACACAGAACACATACACACAAGACATCATAACCTCACTGATCTGCGGTGTTGATGAGGAAAAGTAATTGAGCTCTGTCAGAAGTGGGATTCGAACCCACGCCTCCAGGGGAGACTGCGACCTGAACGCAGCGCCTTAGACCGCTCGGCCATCCTGACTGCTTGCAGTGTGTGGCGCATAAAGCCTCTTCACAAGTTCTGCAATATGCGCATGCGTAGTGGGCAGCGAAGACCCACTCCTAGTTGTCCGCCCGGCGTTGGGTGGAGCGAGATACACTCACTTGCTCCAATGGGCGTGGAGAGATGGGACAAGGAAGGTCAGCGCGATGCACCTAGGCGACGCCAGAGGGTGCGCAAGGCCTACTAGAGAAGGCCGAGACCGAAGACTGTTACTTCAATACACATGCATTCGTGCCTCCAGCCTGTATTCATTCTGCATTCATACATGTACTATCATGTCAGCTTTGATTCCTGAAATCTGCAAGCAACCTTGCATTTCCCTTGTGCACAATGCAATCAAGTCCGTATACCTGCACTGATTCGCAGACATTTCCGTGGGCTGGCGCCCAATCTAGGTAAAGCCCAGGTATTGCAAGGCCGCCTGGCACTCTTACCGCGCTCTCCTTCCGAATACTCGCCCCAGCTGCAGCTTCACATTTGTATATGTGTTATAATTCATTTACTCAGGCTCCGGGATAGAACGAGGCCTGCAGCTGCACAGCCAGACCCGCCCTATTCCTATGTCCCCAGTGCCCAAACCGTACCCGGCACACAGTAGGTACGCAGGGAAGATCCCATGGATTCATTCTTCCCTCGCTTCCTCCTTCCTGCATCCCCTCATTTCGTGACTCATCTCTCTTTTCCTGGCCCCCGCGGCATCTTCCTCTCTTCCCTTCCACCCCCTCTAGGCTTACGCACGCCGCGCACAGGCTGTTTCCAGGGACCAGAAGACCTCGGTACCGAGAGGGTGCCCTTCTCCAGAAGGATTTCTAGGATCTCAGGGGGCTGGGCCGCTGACCTGGTGTGTAACAATTACACATTAATTAATGAATTCCCTCATTAATGACTCATATTCCTACAATGGCAGCTGCTGCCCCTCTCTGTACACAGGCACTAGAAGAGAGGGTCCAAGACCCTCGAACATCTCTGAGCCAACTTTGGAGTCCAGGGGTCAGGCCTAGAAGGTGTGAGCAGTGGGGTCACATTAACCTCTTAGTGCCCTCGGACTTGTCTGAGATGGTATCACAGAGCGGCCTCGGCCAGAGAACAGCAGCACTTACCACCCTTGGATTAGATTCCCTTGAGATGCTTGGAGCTTGGGATGCAGCCCCATGGGGGTGGGCAGAGGTCCTGGTTATCTGAAAGACAATGAAATCCTCCTCTTTCCCTGTCCCAAATGTCCTCTCCTCATTGACTGCCAGAATTCTTTCCTTTAGGTTTAGCACTAAACTCTTTTGTGTCCTCTTCTAAAATACAAATTGCCCTGGAAGCTGGAAAGAAAGTCAACAAACATTTATTAAGCACTTGCTATGTGCCACTCTTCTAGATGCTGTGAACAAAACAGAATTTCCACTCTCAAGATACATTCAGGCATGGAGCGAAGGGAGAAGGATAAGAAACAGGTGGACAAATACATCCAGGTGTTGTTAAATGCTGGGTAGAGGATGCATCAAGAAACTCATGAAAGACTTTAAAACAGGCAAAAAAGATAGCTGGATCTGATTCTATAAGGGCTTGCACCTTTCATTACTTTTATGTCCAAATAATTCTTGTCCACAGAAATACAGGTGAATTTTGTTAGGGTAGAATGCAATTGATCATTGCCCTGTGGATATTGACCAATTTTGCAATCTGCTTATAAATTCATTTCAGCATTCCTGATTGCCAATATATGTGTGTCTTTGAATTCTCTTTTGAATTGGCTATAACATTGAACAGGTCCTCCCATTAATTAATGACTAAAATAAAATCTTTGACGTGTTCATTTTATATTTATATGAGAATTATGATTTTATCTTAAAAATTATCCTTTTGGCCAGGCGAGGTGACTCATGCCTGTAATCCCAGCACTTTGGGAGGCTGAGGTGGGCAGATCACAAGGTCAGAAGTTCAAGACCAGCCTCGACAACATGGTGAAACCCCGTCTCTACTAAAAATACAAAAATTAGCCAGGCGTCATGGCACTTGCCTGTAATCCCAGCTACTAAGGAGGCTGAGGAAGGAGAATTGCTTGAACCCGAGAGGCAGAGGTTGCAGTGAGCTGAGATCACACCATTGCACTCCAGCCTGGGTAACAGAGTGAGACTCCATCTCAAAAAAAAAAAAATACCCTTTTAACAGTGATCAAGAGTGATTGGGGCTCTCCTAGGCAGGGTGGTTAGGGAGGGCCTCTGTGAGGAGCTGACACTGAGTTCAAAAGGAGAAACACAAGCAAGATCAAAGCTGCAGGTGGCAGCATTTCAGATAAAAGACATAGCCAGTGCAAAGGCTCTGAGGCAGAGAGAAATATAGTCTGTTGGAGGGACAGCAAGGCCAGTGTGGCAGGGGTAAGGTGATGGGAAGGTTCAGGCCATATCACACAGGGCTGGAGTGCCAGGGAAAGGAGTTTGGATTTTCTTCTGTGATGGAGTAACTGCTGTGTTTTTGTTTGTTGTTGTTGTTGTTTTGACACAGGGTCCAGCCCTGTGGCCCAGGTTGGAGTCCAGTGGCACAATCTTGGCTTACTGCAGACAATCTCCTGGTCTCAAGCAATCCCTGCCTCAGCCTCCCAAGTATTTGGGACTACAGGTGTGCACCACCACACTTGGCTAATTTTTATACTTTTTGTAGAGACAGGATCTTGACACTTTGCCCAGGCTGTTCTCGAACTCCTGAGCTCAAGAGATCCTCCGGCCTTGGTCTCCCAAAATGCTGAGATGATAGGTGTGAGCCACTGTGCCCAGCCTGGAGTGTTTTAAGCAGGGGAGTGGCATGGTCCTGAGGGCCCTTCAAAAACTATCCCTTTGGCTGCTGTGTGGAGGATGGACGGCAGGCCAAGGGAAGAATTGGAAGTCCAGGGGGAAGGCCAGGGCAGGGAGGGTAAGAGATGATGATGGCTGGACCAGGGAAGTGGAGATTGCAAAAGGTGGTAGAATTCAAGATTCAGGATGTGTTTTGGGGTAAAACACACAAGCCCTGCTGGCTGGCTGGTGTGTGTGTGGGGTGTCAGGGTGGAGAGAGAGGATGTAGGGATGCAATAGGAGGTCACGAAGGCCATAGGGGAGCCAGGTTACTAGATGCTTGGTTTCCCTTGAAGGCAAGGGCTTTGAAGCAGGGGCTGCTAGCTTCCCACTTTCACCCCATTTTGCAGACCAGGGAGGTAAGGCTCAGGTGGGCTGAGTGACTTGCCCAAGGTCCTCTTTGGGGCAGAAGCCCTGCACTCTCCACCTCTGGGACCCTCCCTTCATTTCTTGCATCACCAACCTTTCTGAGTGCACATCATTTTAGAGAGAAGGGAACAGAGGTAGCGCCAGAGCTGGAGCCCACACCAGCCCCGCCCTGCCTGCTGCCCTCCTGGCCGGCCTGGGAGAAAGTGCTCCCTTGATGGGGCTCAGCACCAGGTTCCCACACAGCTCTGTCTCTTGGGTTTGGGTGGATGATCAGGTGTCCCCCCTCGACACCTTTCATGTGACACCCTCCTGGCCTGGAGGAAGCCTTGTACCCCTAGGTCCCTGAGACCAAAATTGGGAAGGGAGAAGGCCACCATTTCTGTTTATGTCCTGTTTCCACCTTATCAGCAGCCTAGACGCCAACAATGAGCCCTGTGGGACAGGCCTCACCCATTCCCTGCTCCGGACATTTGTCCAGCTTGGGGAAAAAAAAGTCCCCTGGGTGGAGCTTGAAAAGCCCACAAGCAGCTGGGGAAGCCCCGACGTGGCTCTTCCTGTACTTTGCCCTACTTTGCACAGATGAAGTCAGATGGCCAAATGAGGACCTAGTGTTTGTCCAGCCAAGGTGCCTGAAAGGGGTAATTCCTAGCATTCCTGGGACTTCAGCACACATCACCAGCCCTCCCAGGGACAAGTGTGGCAAGAAGCTGAGTATTAGTGAATGTTTCCTTTCCATCCATTACCTCACTTAATGTTCAGCACAGCACCACAACACAGGTCATCATTACCCCCATTTTACAGGAAAGTGAGGCTCAGAGAGACCACATGAATTACCCAGAGTCACACAGCTGATAAATGGAACTTGATTTGTCTGGCTCAAAACTCCTTGAGGCCAGGTGTGGTGGCTCACACCTGTAATCCTAACACTTTGAGAGGCCGGGGTGGGAGGATCGCTTGAGCCCAGGAGGTCGAGGCTGCAGTGAGCCGTGATCATGCCACCTCACTCCAGCCCGGGCAACAGAGTGAGATGCTGTCTCAAAAACAAAACAAAACAAAACAAAACAAAACAAAACCCCTTCTTGAATGCTGTGTGCCTAGCATTGTGCCAAGCACTTTCTTTACATTGTCTCCTTAATAAAGGCCATGAGGCCGGGCGCGGTGGCTCACACCTGTAATCCTGGCACTTTGGGAGGCCGAGGCGGGCGGATCACCTGAGGTCAGGAGTTCGAGACCAACCTTACCAACATGGTGAAACCCCATCTCTACTAAAAATACAAAAAATTAGCCAGTCATGGTGGCAGGCGCCTGTGATCCCAGCTACTCGGAAGGCTGAGGCAGGAAAGTTGCTTGAACCCAGGAGGCAGAGGTTGCAGTGAGCCGAGATCGTGCCACTGCACTCCAGCCTGGGCGCGACAGAGCGAGACTCCATCTCAAAAAGAAAAAAAAAAAAAAAGCCACGAGGGCTTGCCAATTCACATGGCAGGATGGACTTTGAGATGCTGTTTTTAGTCCTGTTTGTTTTCATTATTAAAGGAGATTTAAAAGAAAGGGTAGGATTTTCCCAGTAAGGCAGTCCAAGTAGCATGGCCAAGCTTTTGTTATTTAGGCTCTGGTTTTCTTGGCTGAGGGTGGAGGGCAGAAGCCACAGGGTGCCAGGAGCAAATGCCTGTTAAAGTCCTTGTTTGGACATCTTGACCACTGAGGGGAGAAGCCAGGCCAGCCCCAGGGGAATGGGGGAATCTGGAGGTGAAGTGGATGAGGCAGGCAAAGATGTCTAACAGGATGGGGTAGGGAAAATTTGGTCCCTCAGGAGCTGGAGCCAAAGACCCCAAGGTCCACCCTTGGCATAGAGGGAGTCAGGCGGCTCAATTTCTTGGCTATGAGTGGATCACGTGGACAGTGAGCATTTCAGTGACGACCAGAATAGACCAAAGGCCAGGAGCTCACTTCCAAGTTCTCTGGACTGCTTCTGCCCATGCCCCCTAAGCCTTTGGCCACCCTAGAAGGAGAACCCCAGGAATGGCTGAGACGACAGCTTACCACCCTGATAGGCAGGGAGTAGAGGGCCAATTTTTTTTGAAATGGAGTTTCGCTCTTGTTGCCCAGGCTGAAGTGCAATGGTGTGATCTCGGCTCACTGCAACCTCCATTTCCCAGTTCAAGTGATTCTCCTGCCTCAGCCTCCTGAGTAGATGGGATTACAGGCGCCCACCACTACCCCCAGCTAATTTTTTTTTTTTTTGTATTTTTAGTAGAGATGGGGTTTCACCATGTTGGCCAGGCTGGTCTTGAACTCCTGACCTCAGGCGATCCACCTGCCTCGGCCTCCCAAAGTGCTGGGATTACAGGTGTGAGCCACCATGCCTGGCTGGCCAATTTTAATTTGAGCCCTCGTGGCTGAGTGCATGGACTCTGGGACCACCTGAGTTCAAATCCTGCTTCTGCCATTTGCTAGCTCTGTGACCTTGGGGGAGTTACTTAGCCTCTCAGTTCCCCAGTTTCGCCATCTGTAAAATGGGCTTAGTACTAATATCTATCTTAGAGGATTTTTGAGAAGATCAAATAAGTTAATACATGCTGAGCACTTAGAGTGCCTGGAGCAGAGTAAATGCTTTATGTGTTAGCCCAGCAAAATAAAACAATGTGACTTTTTTATTTTATTTTATTTTTTTTGAGACAAGATCTTACTCTGTCACCCAGGCTGGAGTGTAGTGGTGCAATCACAACTAACTCCAGCCTCGACTGCCTGGGCTCAAGTGATCCTTCCACCTCAGCCTCCCGAGTAGCTAGCACTACAGGCACAAGCCACCACGCCTGGCTAATTTTTGCAAAAAAACATTTCTGTAGAGATGGGGTCTCAATATATTGCCTAGGGTGGTCTTGAACTCCTGGCCTCAAGCACACCTCCCACCTCAGCCTCCCAAAATGCTGAGATTATAGGCATGAGCCACTGTGCCCAGCCTAATATGACAGTTCTTGTGCCTGGTGAATACTATGGGGCCAGTTTGACCTGCCAATCTGACTTTGTGGAGAGAATCTCTAGCCTGCCCTCCCCACAACCACAGTGCATCCTGACTGCCTCACCTGAGTCAGCCGTGACCAGCTTTCCGACCTCTTCCCCCACCTTCATCTCCCACCTCCATTTATCTGGTTTTCCAATACAAAACGTACTCCCTCTGCAGGGTCTATGAAACTGGCCGTTTCCTCTGTCTAGAGCCATCTTCTTCAAATGACTCTTCCTCAGCGCGTGGCTAAAGCAGCCCCCACCTCTCCTCCCACTCATTTGCTATCTGGCCACCCTATTTGAGATCCGAAGTCACCGTGTTCATTGGCTGGCTTATCTGTTGATCGTGTTTCTCCCTGACTAGGCTCTGGGCTCTGCGAAGGCAGGGACCTTGGCCATCTAGTTCACCAGGGTATTCCTGGCAGGTAGGGCATTCCTGTCACATAGCAGGAGCTTGGTAAATAAATAGTACATGAGTGGGTGAACGGACAAAGGGATGCATGGATGGATGGATGGACGGACGGACAGACGACTGAGTCAATTCTCTGGGCTCTTCAAGTCAGCTTTTTGTGCCTCTCTAGTGGAGCTCAGGAAGCCTGGGTTCCCCCCTGGGAAGGCCATTCATGACCCTTGCCTTCCCCAGGAGTCTTCATCTCTGAGTCCCGTGCCTAGCCCTCCCCATTGGGATAACAACCCTTTTGCCTGCCTGGGCTTGGGGACCTCCAGACCCTCGGGAAGGTCCATCTGCTCTGTCTTTCTGGGCTAAAAGGTTCCTGTGTTCTGCTCAGAGCTGCACCAGGGCAGAGTTTTCTCTCGGGGTGGGCTGCATCCTTAGTGTGGGGTATGGGATGCAGTGTCTGAGGTCGAGGCCTCTGGATGGTCTCCTGATGTGCTTCCTATGGCCATATCAGTAGCAACAGGTGGAAATACTGCTGTGCTCCTTGGTAAATGGGGCTGCAATGAGCCTCCCATAGTCCCCACGACCATCCTGGCCCTTCCCCTCTCCGGGATTCCCCACAACCCCCAAAACTCCTGGGCACCCAGCACTAAGGCTATTATCTGCTCTCACTGGCATGTGCCCTACTAGCCATCACATCTTTTGAACATTTCCGCCAGACTAAGATCATGTCTTTCCTGTTCAATCTCATACTCCAGTACTCTTGGGAGCCTCTTTTTATTCAATCCAACCTGCATTCTGGTCACTTTTCACTCTCACCTCACATCCCTCTCCCTCCCCATCCTGTGTGGCCCCCTTAGTCTTTGGGTACCAAACCTCCTGATTCTCCTTTGGGAAACCCCTCCGTGGCCACTGTCAGTCCCATCAGGAAAGGTGAGGCTGACTCTCCTCTCCTCTCATGCTGGGAATGGTCAGACGACTCACATCTGCTAGTCAGCCATTCCACCCATCTTGCCACAACACTGATTGGTTCAGAAATGAGTGCAGAATTCCAGTTGGTCCAGTGGGAGTCTGGCCTGGGGGAACACTTGGAATAGAGAAGCTGGGTGCGGGGTCAGGTGGCTGAGCTGGTGGTGGCTGTCTTTGCTATGCCATCCAGAACCTACTTGAGAAGGAAAGCTGGAAAATATACAATGTCAGCTCTCTGACGACATTGACGACATTGGAAAGCCTGGAGCTAGCTGTCCCTCAATTTATCCCTTTTGGTCTTGTCAGTTTCATGAGCCAATGCCCTTTTTCACTTATGCCAGTTTAATGTGAACCTCTGTCACATGTAACCCAAAGAAAAATACAGCCTGGACCTGTACCCTCCCACACAGTAGTCACTCACTGGCTCTTGAGCATTTGAAATGTGGCCAGTCCAGGCCAGGTGTAGTGGCTCACGCCTGTAATCCTAGCACTTTGGGAGGCCGAGGCAGGCAGATCACTTGAGGTCAGGAGTTCGAGACCATCTTGGCCAACATGGCAAAACCCCATCTCCACTAAAAATACAAAAATTAGCTGGGCATGGTGGTGTACACCTGTAATCCCAGCTACTCAGGAGGGTGAGGCAGGAGAATTGCTTGAATCCGGGAGGCAGAAGTTGCAGTAAGCTTAGATCATGCCACTGGACTCCAGCCTGGACAATAGAGTGAGACTCCATCTCAAAAAAAAAAAAAAGTAAATAATATAATATAAAATAAAATAAAAAAAGAAATGTGGCCAGTCTGAATTCAGAGGGATCATGAGTGTAAAATACAAAGTAGGTTTCAAAGACAGTATGAAAAAAATGTAAACTGTTTTATTATTAATTTTCAATGTAATTATACTTTGGCCATGTTGGGTCAAATAAAAATATATTATTAAAATTAATTTCCACTGTTTCTATTTACTTTTTTCAATGCTGCTACTAGAAAAATTTAATTTCTGGCTGGGTGCGGTGGCTCATGCCTGTAACCCCAGCACTTTGGGAGGCTGAGGCAGATGGATCACTTGAGGTCAGGAGTTCAAGACTAGCCTGGCCAACATGGTGAAACCCCATCTCTACCAAAAATACAAAAAAAGTAGATGGGTGTGGTGGCACACGCCTTTATTCCCAGTTACTCAGGAGGCTGAGACAGGAGAATCGCTTGAACCTGGGAGGCGGAGGTTGCAGTGAGCTGAGATTGTGCCATTGCACTGTAGTCTTGGCGACACAGCGAGACTCTGTTTAAAAAAAAAAAAAAAAAAACGGAAAAAGAATAAGAAAAAGAAATTGAATTTCCTGTGTGGCTTGTGTCATATTTCTATTGGGCAGTGCTAGCTTAGATGGCTCCTCTGCAAAACATCAGGAAACAAGAGATCAGATCCTGCCTGATTAAATGATGCAGACTTAGTGGAAGAGAAAGAACTCCAGGGATGCCAAAGAGGAGGAGGTGTGCTGGAGAAGGTGGGCAGAGAAGGACCGGTCTGACCTATATGGGCTGAGAGGAGGGGGAAGGCATTCCATGGAGCCCATCATGAGCAAAGGCCTAGGGGTGGGACTGAGAGAAGATGGGTCTCAGGAGAACCAAGGATGGTATGGAGTCCAGTTGAGATAGGGCATCAATTTCTCCAGGAAAGCCAGGGATCCTGGGGAAAGTGCAATAAAGAGGGACAAATATTCCATTTTCCTTTCAATCACTACACATTTTCTATGGGCATCATTTTAAAATCATTATTTATTTTTATTTTATTTATTTATTTTTAAGATGGAGCCTCGCTCTGTTGCCCAGACTGGAGTGCAGTGGCATGATCTCAGCTCGCTGCAGTCTCTGCTTCCTGGGTTCAAGAGATTCTCCTGTCTCTGCTTCCGAAGTAGCTGGGATTACAAGCGCACACTACCACGCCCGGCTAATTTTTGTATTTTTAGTAGAGATGGCGTTTCACCATGTTGGCCAGGCTCGTCTCGAACTCCTGGCCTCAAGTGATCCACCCGCCTCAGCCTCCCAAAGTGCTGGCAAGACAGGCATGAGCCACCAGGCCTGGCCTTATTTATATTTTAGAGAAAGGCCTTGCTCTGTCACCCAGGCTGGAGTGCAATGGTGCAATCTTGGCTTGCTGCAGCCTCAAACTCCTGGGCTCAAAAGATCCTGCTGCCTCAGCTTCCTGAGTAAGCTGGGGCTACAGGTGTTTGGCCACCATGTCCCGCTAATTGAAACAACAACAACAAAATTTTTTTTTTTTTTTTGTAGAGACAAGGTCTACGTTGCCCAGGCTGGTCTTAAACTCCTGGCCTCAAGCAATCCTCCTGCCTTGGCTTCCCAAAGTGTTGAGATTACAAGCATGAGCCACTGCTCCTGGCCCTGTGTGCATCGTGAGAGCCCAGAGCTGGTGCAGCCATTTCTCCAGCCTTCCAGAGTCAGAGCTAGCCCCTAAACTGCTTGGACCCAGTGTTGCAGGCCATATCCGGGACGCAAACCCATCCAAGTGGGGCTTCCAAGGAGGGAAATGGGGACCACAACCCTGGGGAGGGGAAGGAACCCACAGCTGAAGCCCTTTTCCACCTGCGTGAAGCCACTCAGAGTTTTGACATTTCCTCTGGAAATTCTTTATCTTCAAATAACTCCCCATTTCCCTCTGGATTTTGATATGCCTAATGCTATTTTCTCCAGGCCTGTTTGTTGCAGTCTTTCTCTATGGTTGCTGGGACTCAGATCCTAGAAGACCAACCTATGTCCTTTGTCCTGGGGACCTCAGCAGAGGATGTGCCAGCAGGGGCACAGGTGGGTCTGCCCAGGGGAGGTGCCTGGACAGGCAACAGGTGGACTCTTGGAGTCCCAGGAGGTCATGACAGGGTGGTGCAAGTCGCGTGCCCTGTTCCCCAGCCAGAGACACGGTGGGCAGGGCAGGGGAGGGTGGGGGCTGGGGGAGTCATGTTTCCCAAAATGCACTGCTTTTGCAACGTGAAAGGAAAAAGAGCCATGAAAATTACTTTTCATTCTAAAAAAAGAGCATTACTGATGCCTCCTTTGTTCTCCAAAGGTTTCAGCAGATATACAGAGCAAGTTTCTTCATTTATCAAGTTCCTCATAAAAATGAGAGTCTGATGCAAAATTTTTCTAGGTCAGGTTGTCTGAGAAAGTTTCCAAGTTGCTGAAGGAGCTCAACACCTTCACCCG
Source organism: Homo sapiens (assembly GCF_000001405.40). Classification (NCBI taxonomy): domain Eukaryota; kingdom Metazoa; phylum Chordata; class Mammalia; order Primates; family Hominidae; genus Homo; species Homo sapiens. The sequence goes on from NC_000016.10 coordinate 57,311,350, forward strand.
CCCTCAGCTCTCCTCTGGTTCCCTCCCACGGGAGCCTTTCCTGACCTCCAGCCTGGGTCAGCTCCCCTGTCTGCACCAGAACCCTTGGCATGGTGTGTGTGTGTGTGTGTGTGTGTGTGTGTGTGTGTGTGTGTGTGTCAGAGAGAGAGAGAGAGAGGAGAGTCTTAGGCTACGTGTGTCCCCACCAGACCCCACACTCATGTGAGCTGGGACTCTTCAATCCCCACAGATCTTGGTGCCTGCTTCCCTGTAGGAACTGTTTTTGTTTTTGAGACAGGGTCTTGCTCTGTCACCCAGGTTGGAATGCAGTGGCTCGATCATGACTCAATGCAGCCTCAACCTTCTAGGCTCAAATGATCCTCCCACCTCAGCCTCCCGACTTGCTGGGACTTTAGGCATGCACCACCAAGCCTGGATAACTTTTGTATTTTTTGTAGAGACAGAGTCTCACTATGTTGCCCAGGGTGGTCTCGAATTTCTGGACTCAAGTGATCCTCCTGCCTTGGCCTCCAAAAGTGCTGGGATTTCAGTCACTGAGGCTGGCCTCCTTGTAGGAAGTATTTATTAATTGAAAGAACAAATGAATAAATCCCCCAATAAATCCCCAATTCAGAGTGTTTCCCCCGTATGTTCATAGCACCCCAACTAGGGCCCTCAGTACTTGTGCTCAAGTCCTCAAGATTACATTTTGGGGATCCAGTTCTCTCCTGGTTAATGTCTGACTATGGAAGAGAAGGATGTTCCTCTCTCCACCTGCCCAGCTCTTCAATTGACCTCTTGGCCATCAGATTGAGTGGCCACCCTGTGCCAGCCCCAGAGACCCCACGTGGGTCTGGGGGCAGTACTGTGTGTTTTCATGAAGTTCCTAGTTGTCTCTGGAGTGTTCGGGAACCACATTTACAGGTGAGTCAAATGGAGCCACAACTGAATGTTCAGGTCCCCATCCTCTGAGAACTGTTGGGGGAAAACTGAGGTAAGGGATTTGGAAACGTTCAGAGAAGATGAAGAGGGTCTGGAGCAAGGGTGAGTGCAGATCCTCAGGAGCAGATGGTCCCTTTCAAGCTATTTGTGCACACCTCAGGAGGCAGGAGTGTTGAACTGTGAGGTTCTTCATCAAATCTCTTCAAGGCATTAGTGCCATGTGGGTGGGAGAGGTGACGAAAGGAAGCCCTAGAATTCTGCTAGCTTGGCGAGGGGCGGTGGCTCACGCCTGTAATCCCAGCACTTTGGGAGGCTGAGGTGGGCAGATCACCTGAGGTCAGTAGTTCAAGATTAGCCTGACCAACATGGAGAAACCCCGTCTTTATTAAAATTACAAAAAATTAGCTGGGCGTGGTGGCACATGTCTGTAATCCCAGCTACTCAGGAGGCTGAGGCAGGAGAATCGCTTGAACCTGGGAAGCAGAGGCTGTGGTGATCCGAGATCACGCCATTGCACTCCAGCCTGGGCAACAAGAGCGAAACTCCGTCTCAAAAAAAAAAAAAAAAAAATTCTGCTAGCTTACCGGCAGATCACCTGAGATTAGGAGTTTGAGACCAGCCTGGCCAACATGGTGAAACCTCGTCTCTACAAAAAATACAAAGATTAGTTGGGCATGGTGGCACATGCCTGTAGTCCCAGTTACTCGGGAGGCTGAGGCAGGAGGATCAGTTGAGCCCCGGAGGTGGAGGTTGCAGTGAGCCGAGATCGTGCCACTGCACTCCAGCCTAGGCGACAGAGTAAAACTCTTTCTCAAAAATAAATACATAAAATAAAAAGAATTCTGCTGCCTTGGAATCTTGGGCAGAAGGGCAAGGGCATTGAGGGAGGGGCCCAGCTTTGGCCGGGGGACAGGTGGCATCTGGCTGGCACAATAGTGTAACTAGAAGACCACAACTAGGACTTGATCGGGCAGAAGAGGACAGGACTTTGGCGGTGATGGCTTGGCCACAAGATGGATGTGGCGTCTCTGAGGGGTGGGCTCTGACAGAGGGTATGAGGGGAGGCTGGTGGGGATGGGTGTGTGCCAGCATCTATGTCTATGGGTGTGTAGAAGTGTGTCTTTGTGTCTCTGGAAATGAGAACACGTGTGAGTGTCTGAAGTGTGTTTTTGTACATTGCACATGTGTGATTGTGTGCAAGTGTATATGTTGGTTCAGAAATAGTCTATGGGGATGAGGGCACTGGGCTGGGTGAGTGTATATATGTCTGTGGAGGCATTTTCATGCAGCTGGGTTAGTCACTGTGGGGTTTTGTGTGTATGTGTGTGTGTATGTGTGTGTAAGTGGGTGTATATGTGTATATATGTATATATGTGTGTATGTGTGTATGTGTGTGTATATGTATATGTGTGTATGTCTGTGTGCATGTGCGTGTATATGTGAGTATGCATGTGTATGCATGTGTGTGTATGTGTGTGTATATGTATGTGTGTGTGTGTATGCGTGTATATGTTTGTGTGGTGGGGATGAGGAGTGATAAGGATGGGGCAAAGAAGCACTATGAACTTGGGATTGAGCTGATCAGAGCTGTACTGCTGGTAGACTTGTGGAAAGTTCTAGACTTGGGGGCAGAAGAGCCATATTCAAATCCCACCTTTGCCACTTTTCAGCACATGGCCTCAATGGTTTCTCCCCCTCTCCGTGCCTCAGTTTCCTCATCTATAAAATGGGCATCATTACCCTTATGATCTCCTGGGGCTGACCAGGACACCAAGAACCCTGGTGGCTCAGTTCACCCTGAGGAAAGGGAATGAGAAGGGGGCTCCTGTTCTTCTGTGCTCTTGGAATTTCTTACCAAGAGCATGTGTTATTTTTATAATAAAAAAGAAGCTGGAAAAAGGTGTCGGTGAACTGGAACCCCTGGACACATTTCTCAGCCCAGCTGGGGAGATGCTTGTGGTTCTGGAGAGAGAGGACCACAGTCAGGGCTTGAGGTTGTTTGCCAGGGGATAGGGTGTGAGGCTGGGTAGGCTCTGGATGGCCTCTCCCTCCCCAGGAGCCAGCTCTGAATGTCATTGCCTAACTTTGAGAAGATAGGGATGCTGCTTCCAGGAGGCCTGCCAGCTTGTATACCTGACCAAGGAGAATGGAACCCCACCCAGTGCCTGGACAAACAGGACAAAATCACCTGCAGAAACAGCTCCTACCAGACATGAGATTAAGTCAAATGGAAACTTAGCTTTCACAATGTCAGTTTCTTTTTCTTTCCTTTTACTTATTGACTTTTAATTCTCCCATGTCCCAGATGAATCACAAAAAGCTGTTATCAGAGATTTCCTCTGATTACCTTGCCTCTGGGGAGGGAGGTAAAGGCTTTCACTTTCCTTTTTTGTACCTTTCATAATAAGGTTTGAATTTTCTAACCTTGTGTATCTCTTTTCCCTGTTTCTGCCCCCACTTCCTCCTCCTGCAGGCATTAGGTCTCTGACCAGAGATCCTGCCTTTTGGGGGGTTTTCTTCTTGGAATCTCAGTGTATGTGTATTAAAAGGAAACAAAAACTGCAGTCAATGTTATATAATTTTTTAAAAATACCAAAGTGCTGGATTTCAATACTTTTCTATTTTTTACAGTGCATACATATATATGTATATATATGTGTGTGTATATATATCCCCCCCACAGGGATTACATTTGCATAATTTAACTTTCAAAAGGTGCAAAGTAAGAATAAACAGATGAAAACTTTCCTTCCATCCCTGACTCCTGCTTCCTTCCCCAGAGGCAAGCCCTGCGGTACTGGTTCCTCATGTAGCCCTCCAGGAAATTTTCTGCATATACAAGTTGATGTATACAGGCATTCCCACCTTCCCCCACCTTTCTCCTTAAACTGTCATCTTCTATGCATACTGGCCTTGTTCTTTTTCCTCCTCCACTTAACAATGTATCTTGGTGGTTGTTTGCAAGAGCACAGAAATGCCTATAAAATCTGGTCATTTTACAGAAGGGGAAACTGAGGCCCAGAGAGGTCTAGAACCCAGTCTTGAATCACGGTTCAGGGCTCCTTCTTCAAGTTGAAGGTGAAATGGGTAGGGATAAACTTTTCCTGCTCAGACACATCCTTTTACAAGGCTCCTTCACTGAGTGAAATGGAACTTAGGCCAAGATTTATTTGTTTGTTTGTCTTAGGTGCCTCGGATTCTCAGAAGGAAAACAGGAAACCAGTGCCTCGCTCCCTCAGAGATGGCTGCCTTCCAGCCCAAACAGGGGTCTGGTCTGTGGAACTCCCTCCAGCTCTGCCACGATAACTGTGTGGCCTCCGGTGGGTCGCCTCCCCTCTCTACATCTCCCCAGCTGGAATTTGTTGCTTTCTCTTCTGGGTTCCCACAACATGGTTTATAACCATTTCAACCAACCCCCTAACTTCCTCTTCTCACCCTTAAATCATCTTTAGTTAATTGAGCATTTACGATGTTCCGGGGCTGTGTCCAGTACTTTTCATGTGTTGAAGTCTCAAAACAATATTGAGAGGTAGGGGGAATTTTTTTTTTTTTATGAATAAGAAAACTGAGGCTGGCTCATGCCTGTAATTCCAGCACTTTGGGAGGCCAAGATGGGCAGATTACTTGAAGTCAAGAGTTCGAGACCAGCCTGGGCAACATGGTGAGACCTCATCTCTAAAAAACAACAACAACAACAAACCACACACACACACACACACACACACACACACACACACACACACACACAATCCTGAGGCTTAAAGAGGTAAAATAACTTCCCTTCTTCCCTTACATCACACAGTTAGTGTTGAAGGCAGAAATCATACCAGGGCAGCTCTGCCAACTCAGAGTTCCTAATGTAATCCACTGCTCCCTTGCACCTAGATATTAAAGTGTGAGCTTAGGCATCCCAAAAAGGCTGGGCCCAGAGAAGGAAGGCAGATAGCCCAAAGACACACAGCTACTGGGGGTGAGTGGGAAGTGGAACGTTTCTTAGGCTTTTTGGATATTTATCATGTGCTGGATGCTGGTGACATGGAGATGAATAGAACACCTTCTGTTTGCTCCCAAGTTGCTCAGGGGATCTTCTCATCTGTATAATGGTCGGAGTTAGGTGTTGGCCAGCACCTACCTGGCTTAGACCATTGGTGCCTCCAGAGTGATGAGCAATAGCTAGGCACCAGGCACTGTGCAGTTTGCAAGTGTATTCTTCATAGCAACCTAAGAAAACAGGTGCCCTTGTCCCATTTTATAGATGAGGAAACTGAGGCATGGAGAGGCGAAGGAGCAGCAGCCCTGGCACCAGAGCTCTGGTCTGACCCAGCCTAGTCCTAGCTATCCCACAGCTCTATCTCCTTGGCTTGGGAACTGCAGGGCACTGTGAATGAGTATGGGGGAAGGTAGTGTATAAATCATACTTCCGATTATTATTATCAGTGGGGTATTGGCACTGGAGGGGCATCATCAAGTCTGGGTGGGAAGAGTGGATGTTTGGACAGAGGCCCTTTCCTGGCCTTTCATCATCCAAAACAGAGCAGCCAAACTCCTTCCTCAGACAGGAAGGTGACTCAGATGTTCCTCTAGGAAAGTCCAAGTCCAGCTGGGAGCCCAGAAAGTCCCACTGGCCCTCCCAGAAGCTCCTTGGTTTCTCTCCACAGCGTGGTCTGAGAGGAAAGTTCCCAGGTGATTTCTCTGGCAGGGAGACATAGAGCTCTCAGCAGCTGAAGAACAATCAGAAAAAATTTTTTAAAAATCTCAATCCTGGGATCCCTAGATATGGGGAAACTGAGGTCACAGAGAGGCAGTGGTTTACCCAAAGTCCCACAGAAAGTTAGAGGCAGAGGCCAGTCCTATCTGGAACGCGGAACGGCACTGGCCAAGGCTGCTGTGTGCTGGAGGCTGAGGACACTGTGATGGGCCAGGCCCAGGGCCTGCCGGGAAGTGCTTCTGGCTCAGCAGGGGGCAAGGCCCTGGCTGGGCAAAGGCTGCATGGCATGTCCACTCTGTGCTGGAGGGAAGTGGCTGCCCAATGGCCCAGAGGAGGACACCATGAAATTCTGTCTGGTGTGTGTGCACGTGCTGGGGACATATCAGGGCTCTCAGATGGGGGTCTGGAAAGATGCATTTTGCCAGGTGGAGAAGGGAGGAAGGACTTTCCTGTAGGAGGGAACAGCATGAGCTGAGGCTCAGAGGTGGGCACTTTGCCCAGGGACTGTGAGGTGCAGTGGAATGTATGAGTTGAGAACATGGATGTTGGAATCAGACTAGTTAAGTTTGAATCCTGGCTCTATCACCTACACCTGTGCACCTTGGCAAGCATTCTAACCTCTTGGTGCCTCAGTTTCCTTCTCTGTTTTTTGTTTGTTTGTTTGTTTTTGAGATGGAGTCTCACTCTCGCCCAGGTTGGAGTGCAATGGCGTGGTCTCGGCTCACTGCAACCTCCACCTCCCAGGCTCAAGCAATTCTCGTGCCTCAGCCTCTCGAGTAGCTGAGGCTACAGGCACGCGCCAACATGTCTCTCTAAATTTTTTGTATATTTTGTAGAGATGGCATTTCGCCATGTTGACCAGGCTGGTCTTGAACTCCTGACCTCAAGCAATCCACGGGCCTCGGCCTCCCAAAGTGCTGGGATTACAGGCGTGAGCCACTGCACCCAGCCTCAGTTTCCTTCTCTGTAAAATGGAGAGAAAATAGTACCTACCTCAAAAGATTTTTGTGATAATTAAATAAATTAATCCACATAAAAGGCCTAAACAGAGATAGGCACATAGTTATTAATTGCTATTTCGAACATTGTATTCAGGTTCAGCGTGGTCCAGAACTAGATCTGGATTCTCCTTCCGTGCTCTTACCTCTGCACTCAGTTCCATTTTGCTATTTTGGGGCTCCAAGAAATCCTTCTCACAACCTCACTCAGTGTTGCAGACCCCTGAAGGGTGGTATGGAGAAAGGGCAATCCGGGAAAAAGGGCTTGTGGGGCTTTTGGAAAATTCCCAGCTGTGGGATTGGGATTCAACCCTAGAGGTTAGGACAAGAGGGAGGAGGTTTCTCTAGGAAGATGGGAGTTGAGGAAGGGGGGCTGCCCCAGATGGAGCAGAGAGACACCCCCGCCCCCTGCAGGGGCCCTCTTGCCTCTGCTCTGGAAGGACAGGTCCACCGGAGAGGGAGGTCACAGATTTACACGCATCTGTAACACAGAAAGAATTTGCATGGGCCTCCCAGGCAGGGACACAGAATACCCAGAATAGCAGGAATAGCTGGGCTGGGAATAGCAGGGGAGGGCAGAGTGGCGCTCGGGACTCTTTGAGCAGCTCAGCCTCCTGCCCTGGTTTGGGGGTCCTCTGTCCCTCCTGCAGCCAGCACTCTGCCATCTTTGTGACCCAGCTGCTCTCTGGGTCTGCATCTTTTTCTGTAGTGGCTGCTGCTACATTCTCCTTAGGTCAGCCACGGCTCCCACTTCCTCACGTCCTTCCCTGGGGTGGGTGGGGGATGGGGTCTTGGCTTCTGTGACATTCCCTTCCCCATGTCAGAAGCACAGCGGGGGCCGGACGTGGTGGCTCACGCCTGTAATCTCAGCACTTTGGGAGGCTGAGGTGGGCAGATCACCTGAGGTCAGGAGTTTGAGACTGGCCTAGACAACTGGCGAAACCCTGTCTCTATTAGAAATGCAAAAATTTGCTGGGCGTGGTGGTGGGTGCCTATAATTCCAGCTACTCAGGAGGCTGAGGCAGGAGAATCGCTTGAACCCGGGAGGTGGAGATTGCAGTGAGCCGAGATCGGGCCACTGCACTCCACCCTGGGTGACAGAGCAAGACTCTATCTCAAAAAAACAAAAAAATCTTTGCTATTGTGAATAGTGCTGCAATAAACATACGTGTGCATGTGTACTCATAGTAGAATGATTTATAATCCTTTGGGTATATTCCCAGTTGATAGACTGGATAAAGAAAATGGGGCACATATACACCATGGAATACTATGCAACCATAAAAAAGAATGAGATCATGTCCTTTTCAGGAACAAGGATGAAGCTAGAAGCCATCATTCTCAGTAAACTAACACAGGAACAGAAAACCAAACACCACATGTTCTCACTCATAAGTGGGAATTGAACAATGAGAACACATGGACACAGGGAGGGGAACATTACCCACTGGGGCCTGTCAGGGGGTGGGGGCAAGGGGAGGGATAGCATTAGGACAAATACCTAATGCATGCAGGGCTTAAAACCAAGATGACAGGTTGATAAGGGCAGCAAACCACCATGGCACATGTATACCTATGTAACAAACCTGCACATTCTGCACATGTATCCCAGAACTTAAAGTTAAAAAAAAAAAAAGAAGCACAGCAGGGGTGGGTTAGAGGGGCTGGCAACCCTAACACATTCTTCCAGAGGAGTGCCTTCCCAATGATTGTCTTTTCAACCTCGTAATGATTTAATATCTAATTTATTTATGTATTATAACATAAATACTAAATTTACTTTTCAATCAACCTTACGTGGGCATGATATAACAGTGAAATGTAAGCCTCCCTCCCTGTCCCTGACCTCTAGTTACCCTCTCCAGAGGTAAGGACTTTTGCCAGTTTTTTCAACAATGGTTTTTATGGTGATTTATGCATTTGAGAGTTTTTGAGATGCTGATGAAAAGTCCCTAGAGGAAGCAATAGGAAAGCAAGATCATGAAATGCCCAGAAAACATAGTCAAACAATCTTTTCTCTGGGCCATCTTCCTTTGCAAACAGTGGTGAAAGCTCCCCTTCCTGTATCCCAGCTAAGCACCTCTTCTTGGTGTGAGAAACTGACTGTGATTCTGCTCTGTGGGTCTCCAAATCTGATGAGACAGGTTATCACTCCATTCCAGATTGATCCTACTGATTGAGTTCCCAAACCAGCCCATTACATTGACCACTGGGAGGTCTGGGTGACTACTATTGGTTCTGGCTATAACCCCTAGTCCAGTTGGTTGTGGCCTTGGTGATGGGTTACTGGTTTCTAGTATTGTAAGCCTATATGTACATGGAACCCCTGTCCTTCTTTTCCTACATATATGATAGTATACAGAACAAATTGTTCTAAATGTTCTCTACAAGTGACTTGGACCACTCTCACCAGTTCTCTTTAACATTGCACTAGAAGTGGAAGCTAGTGCAATAAGTCAAGGAAAAGAAATAAAAGTCATAAGGATTTGGGGGGGAAGCAAAATTCATTATTATTATTATTATTATTATTATTATTATTATTATTAGAGACGGGGTCTTGCTTTGCCACCCAGGATGGAGTGCAGTAGTGCAGTCATGGCTTACCACAGCTTCAAACTTCTGGGCTCAAATGATCCTCCTACCTCAGCCTTCAAAGTAGCTGGGACTACAGGCTGATCTTGAACTGGGCTCAAGAGTTCCTCCCGCCTTGGCCTCCCAAAATGCAAGCCACCACGCTCAACTCCAAACTATCATTATTTACATGACATGATTAGGTACAGAGAAATTTCCAGTAAGTCTACAGACAAGCTACTGGAATCAATAAGTGAATCTGTGCAGAAGTTGATCTTGGTTGAAAAAGAAAGAAAACAAACAAAAATAAGTGAATTTGGAATGGCTGCTGCATCCAAGGTTAATATTTAAAAGTTAATTATATTTTTATAAATAAGCAACATATATAGACATTTGCATTAAAAAATGAAACAATTGGCAGGACATGGTGGCTCCTGCCTGTAATCCCAGCACTTTGGGAGGCCGAGATGGGCAGATCACCTGAGGTCAGGAGTTCGAGACCAGCCTTGCCAACATGGTGAAACCCCAGCTCTACTTAAAATACAAAAAATTAGCTGGGTATGGTGGTGTGCACCTGTAATCCCAGGTACTCGGGAGGCTGAGGCAGGAAAATCGCTTGAACCTGGGAGGCAGAGGTTGCAGTGAGCCGAGATCGCGACATTACACTCCAGACTGGGGGACAAGAGCGAGACTTTGTCTCAAAAAAAAAAAAAAAAAAAGAAAAGAAACATTTTAACTAAAAACTTAAAATGCTATATGATAGAATAAATGATGAAAAATCTCGAAATAGACCCTTTTCACAAGATGGCACCAAAGGCAAAGAAGGAAGCTCCTGCCCCCCTAAAGCTGAAGCCAAATCGAAGGCTTTGAAGGACAAGAAGGCAGTGCTGAAAGGTGTCCACAGCCACATAAAAAAGAAGATCCACACATCACCCATCTTCCCGTGGCCAAGACGCTGCGACTCCAGAGGCAGCCCAGATATCCTCAGAAGAGCACCCCAGGAGAAACAAGCTTGACCACTATGTTATCATCAAGTTTGTACTGGCTACTAAGTTTGCCATGAAGAAGATAGAAGACAACGTCTGGGCGCGTTGGTTCACGCCTGTAATCCCAGCACTATGGGAGGCTGAGGCGGGCGGATCACGAGGTCAAGAGATTGAGACCATCTGGCCAACATGGTGAAACTCCGTCGCTACTAAAAATACAAAAATTAGCTGGGCGTGGTGGCATGTGCCTGTAGTCCCAGCTACTTGGGAGGTAGAGGCAGGAGAATCGCTTGAACCCTGGAGAGGTGGAGGTTGCAGTGAGCTGAGATCGTGCCACTGCACTCCAGTCTGGCGACAGAAGGAGACTCCGTCTCAAAAAAAAAAAAAAAAAAAAAAAAAAAAAATTCATTGTGGATGTTAAAGCCAGCAAGCACCAGATCGAACAGGCTGTGAAGAAGCTCTATGACACTGATGTGGCCAAGGTCATCACTCTGATTCAGCCTGACGGAGAGAAGAAGGCACATGTTAGACTGGCTTCTGATTACGATGCTTTGGATGTTGCCAACAAAGTTGGGATCATCTAAACTGAGTCCGGCTGGCTAACTCTAAATATATATATCTTTTTGCCTTCCTCCAAAAAAAAACTAGAAATTATTACAATGAAAGACATACAAGACCTCTGCACTGAAAACTACAAAGTAATTTTCCAAAAAAGTTAAAGATAGCTAAATAAATGGAGAAACATACCAAAATCATAGATTGGAAGATTTATATTATAATGAATTTTTCTGATTTCTTCAAATTGATCTATAGACTTAATGTAATTCCAGTAAAATCTCAGAATGATTTTCACTGCAAGCTCATTCTAGAATTTATATGTAGAAGCAGAAAACCAGGAATGGCCAAAGTAATCCTGAAGAATAAGAACAGAGTTGGGGCTGGGCACAGTGGCTCTTGCCTGTAATCCCAGCACTTTGAGAGACTGAGGCAGGAAGATTGCTTAAGGCCAAGAGTTCAAGTCCAGCCTGGGCAACATAGCGACACCTCATTTCTATAAATAATTTTAAAAATTAGCCAAGTGTGGTGGTGTATGTCTGTGGTCCCAGCTACTCAGGAGGTTGAGGTGGGAGGATCACTAGAGCCCAGGAGGTCAAGGCTGTCGTGAGTCATGATTGTGTCACTGCACTCCAGCTTGGGAGACAGAGAGAGACCCCACCTCAAAATAAATAAATACATAAATAATAAATAAAATTTAAATTAATTAAATAAAAATAAAATTAATTAATTAATTAAGAATAAAAGAATGGCCGGGTGCTGTGGCTCACGCCTGTAATCCTAGCACTTTGGGAGGCTGAGGTGGGTGGATCACGAGGTCAGGAGATTGAGGCCATCCTGGCTAACACGGTGAAACCCCGTCTCTACTAAAAATACGAAAAAATTAGCCAGGCGTGGTGGCGGGCGCCTGTAGTCCCAGCTACTTGGGAGGCTGAGGCAGGAGAATGGCATGAACCCAGGTGGCGGAGATTGCAGTGAGCCAAGATCACGCCACTTCACTCCAGCCTCGGCGACAGAGCAAGACTCCGTCTCAAAAAAATAAAAATAAATAAATAAATAAATAAATAAATAAACAAACAAAGTTGGAGAACTTCATCAAATTCAAGACTTACTATAAATCTGCAGTGCTTTTTTAAAAAGTGGTGTTGCATCAATCAGTTACCCAAATAGGAAAATATAAATGTTGACCCCTTACCTTACAGTATATACAAAATCAACTTCAGATTTATTGTCGATCTAAATGTGAAAGATAAAACAATAAATATTTTAGAAGAAAACAGGAAAATATCATTGTGGCCTTGAAATAGGCAAATATTTTTTAAATGGTACATCAAAAAACACTAAAACTGGCCGGGGGTGGTGGCTCATGCCAGTAATCCCAGCACTTTGGGAGGCTGAGGCTGATGGATCACTTGAGGTCAGGAGTTCGAAACCAGCCTGGTCAACATGGTAAAACCCCATCTCTATTAAAATACAAAAATTAGCTGGGCGTGGTGGCGGGTGCCTGTAATCCCAGCTACTCAGGAGGCTGAGGCAGGAGAATTGCTTGAACCCAGAAAGCAGAGGTTGCGGTGAGCTGAGATCGCGCCACTGCACTCCAGCCTGGGTGACAGAGTGATACTCTGTCTCAAAAAACAAACAGACAAAACACTAAAATCTGGCTCATGCCTGTAATCCCAGCACTTTGGGAGGCCAAGATGGGAGGATCACTTGAAGCCAGGAGTTTGAGACCAGCCTGGGCAACATGGTGAAACCCTGTCTCTCCTAAAAATACAAAAATTAGCCAGGCATGGTGGCATGTGCCCATAGTCTCAGCTACTCAGGAGGCCGAGGTGGGAGAATCACTTGAACCCAGTAGGCTGAGGCTGCAGTGAGCTGAGATTGTGCCCCTGTACTCCAGCCTGGGAGACAGAGTGAGACTGTCTTAATAAATAAATAAATAAATAAATAAATAAATAAATAAATAAATAAAAAACAAAAGATAAACAAAAACCCACTAAAACCATAAAGGAAAAAAAATGGATAAGTTAGACTACATTAAAACTAAAACTTATGCTTATCAAAAGACATTGTCAAGAAAGTGAAAAGTTGGCCAGGCGTGGTGGCTCACGCCTATAATCCCAGCACTTTGGGAGGCTGAGGTGGGCAGATCACAAGATCAGGAGATTGAGACCATCCTGGCTAACACAGTGAAACCCCGTCTCTACTAAAAATACAAAAAATTAGCCAGGCATGGTGGCAGGTGCCTGTAGTCCCAGCTACTGGGGAGGCTGAGGCAGGAGAATGGCGTGAACCCGGGAGGCAGAGCTTGCAGTGAGCTGAGATTCTGCCACTGCACTCCAGCCTGGGTGACAGAGCGAGAGTCCATCTCAAAAAAAAAAAAAAAAAAAATGAAAAGTCAAGCCAAAGAGTGGAAAAAAATAATTTCATTTAGTTTTATTTTTTTGTAGACAGGGTCTTGCTATGTTGCTTAGGGTGGTCTTGAACTCCTGGCCTCACTTGATTCTTTCACCTCGGCCTCCCAAAGGGATTACAGGCAAGAGCCACTGTGACTGGCTTGGAAAAAAAACTTCTACAAAAATCAATAAGAAAACAACAGACTACTTAAGGGGAAAAAAGGGCAAAAATATTTGAATCAGCATTTCACAAAGAGGATTCCCAAATAGCCAAAAACCAAAAGAGAAAAACTTAAAATAGTGTTCACTTTCACAACCATAATAAGGAACCACTACACACCCAGCAGAATGGCTGAACAGATGCCAAATGTCAGCAAGGAAGTAGAGTATCTTAGTCCATTTCATGCTGCTATAACAAAATACCCAAGACTTGGCAATTTATAAAGAACAGAGATTTATTTCACACAGTTCTGGAGACAGGGAAGTCCAAGGTCGAGGGAATTGCATCTGACCAGGGCCTTCTTGCTGCACCATCCCATAGTGGAAAGTGAAACGGCAGAAGTGCTCATGTGAGAGAAAAGGGAAGGAGGTAGAACTCACCCTTTTATCATGAACCAACTCCAGTGATAACTAAATCACTCCTACCATAATGACATTATTCATGAAGACAGAGCCCTCAGGATCTCTAATCACCTCTTAAATGACCCACCGCTCAACACTGTTGCTTTGGGGATTAATTTTCCAAGACATGAACTTTGGGGGACACATTCAAATCATAGCATAGGGAAAGTAGAAATTTCATATACTGCCAAAGGACATGTAAATTGGTAGAGAACCTGGCAAAAAGTCTTTGGCAGTATCTGCTAAAGCAGAATATATGCATACTCATGACCCAGATGTTCTACTCCTAGATATACACTCAACAGAAATGGGTACATATGGGCTAGGCATGGTGGCTCATGCCTGTAATCTCACCCCTTTGGGAGGCTGAGGTGAAAGCATCCTTTTAGGCCAGGAGTTAGAGATCAGCTTGGGCAACATAGCAAGACCTCATCTCTGCAAAATTTTTTTTCTTTTTAAGTTAGCCTGGTGGCATGTGCCTGTAGTCCTGGCGACTCAGGACTTTGTGATTACAATGAGCTATGATTGCACCACTGCATTCCAGCCTGGGTGAGAGAGCAAGACCCCATCTCCAAAAGACAATGAAAAAGTTTACAGATGTTTACTGCATGACATATACAAGAATGTTCACAGTAACAGTATTTATAATAACTCTACACTGGAAACTACTCAAATATCTATCAATAGTAGAATGAATAAACAAACTGGTTTATTTACATATTTGTGGTTTATCTTTTTTTTTTTTTTTTTTTTTGAGATGGAGTCTTGCTCTGTTGCCCAGGCTGGAGTGCAGTGGCGCGATCTCGGTTCACTGCAACCTCTGCCTCCCGGGTTTAAGCAATTCTCCTGCCTCAGCCTCCCGAGTAGCTGGGACTACAGGTGCATGCCACCACACCCGACTAAGTTTTTCTATTTTTAGTCGAGATGGCGTTTCACTGTGTTAGCCAGGATGGTCTCGATCTCCTGACCTTGTGATCCACCCACCTCAGCCTCCCAAAGTGCTGGGATTACAGGTGTGAGCCACCGTGCTTGGCCAGTTTATCTTTTTAAACTATTTTTGTTTTAGTCAGGTCTTTTTATTTTATTTCATTTTATTTTTAAGTGTACAATTCAATGATTTTTTAGTAAATTTACAGAGTTGTGCAATAATCACCATAATTCAATTTTAGAACATTCCATTACTCAAGAAAGATCCCTCATGACTGTTAACAGTCACTCCCTTTTCTAACCAGCCCCAGTCAACTGTTGTTAATCTAATTGCTATCTCTGTAGATTTGCCCTTTCTGGACATTTCAAATAAATTGAATTATCCAATATGTGGCTTTTTATGTGTGGCTACTTTCACTTAGTATAGTGTTTTTGATGTTCATCCATGTTTTAGCATGTACCAGCACTTCATTCTTTTTAATGGCTGAATAGTATTCCATTGTAAGGACATACCATATTTTGTTTATCAACTCATCAGCCGATGAACATTTTGGTTTCCATTTTTTGGCTACTAAGAGTAATGCTGCTATGAACATTCCTATAACAAGTCTTTGTGTGAACATGTCTTTTCGTTTCTCATGGACAAATGTTCCCAGGAGGGCAATTGACAGGTCATATGGAAAATTTATGTTTAAATTTTAAGGAGACTGACAAACTGTTTTCCAAACTGGGTGCACCATTTTACATTCCCATAATCAATTTATAAGGGTTTTACTTTCTCCACATCCTTGTAAACACTTGTTATTATGTCCTTTTAAAAAAAAAATTATAGCTGTTTTTGTGGTATAAAATGGTATCTCTTGTGGTTTGTATTTCCCTAATGAATAAAAATATTGAACATCTTACCATGTGCTTATTAGCCATTCATATATCTTCCTTGGCAAAATATATATTCAATTATTATATCTACTTTTAAAATTGGATTATTTAACTTCTTGATATTGAGTTGTAAGTATTCTATATATTTTGGATACGTGTCTTTAAGCAGACATACAATTTGCAAATACATTCTTCCAATGTTTAGATTTCCTTAATGGTGTCTTGTAAAGCTTTTAATTTTGATGAAATCCAATTTATCAATTTTTAAAATTTTATGGATTGTGCTTTTGCTGTCATAGCTATGAAATCTTTGCCTAACCCAAAGTCACAACAATTTTCTTCTAAACGTTTTATAATTTTAACTCTATATTTAGTTCTCTGATCCATTTTTAGTTTAGTTTTGCCTATAGTGTGATATAGGGATCTAACTTTCTTCTTTGGCAGATGGATATTCCATTGTTCCATCATCATTTGTTGAAAAGACTATTCTTTTTCTGAGGCATTGCCTTGGCTCCTCTGTTGCAAATCAACTGGCATCAGTGTTAAGAGTGTATTTCTGGGCTTTCACTTCTGTTCCATTGATCTATATGTCTATCCTTATTCAGTGCCACACTCTCTTGACTACTGTGGATTTATAGTAAGTTTTGAAATTGGGAAATTATGTCTTCTAGCTTTGTCACTCTTTTTCAAAATTGTTTTTGCTATTCTAGGCCCTTTGCCTTTTAAAATAAATTTTAGAAATAGCCAGTCAATTTTTGCAAAAAAAAAAAAAAAAAAAAAAAAAAAAAAAAAAAAAAATGCCTGCTTGGATTTTGAGAAGAATTGAATTGGATCTATAGATGAAATAGAGGAGAAATTCCTTATTAATAATGAGTCTTCTGATTTGTAGAGAATGTCTATTTATTTAGAATTTCTTTAATTTCTCTCAGCAAAGATTTGTAATTTTCAGTGTAACAATATTACATGTCTGTAAAATTTATTCCGAAGTTTTTTGTTTTTTTTTTTTTTTGAGACAGAGTCTCACTCTGTCACCCAGGCTGGAGTGCAATGGCACGATCTCAGCTCACTTCAACCTCCACCTCATGGGTTCAAGCAATTCTCATGCTTCAGCCTCCTGAGTAGCTGGGATTACAGGTACGTGCCACCACATGTGGCTAATTTTTGTATTTTTAGTAGAGGTGGGGTTTCACCATGTTGGCCAGGCTGGTCTTGAACTCCTGACCTCAAGTGATCCTCCCGCCTTGGCCTCCCAAAATGCTGGGATTGTTGGCATGAGCCACTGCACCCGGCCCCAAAGTATTTTATACTTTTCGATATTATTGTGAATAGAATTATTTTCCTAATTGTATTTTTGATTGTTCCTGAGTAGTATATATAAGTACAATTGATTTTTTTTTTTTTGAGACGGAGTCTTGCTCTGTTGCCCAGGCTGGAGTGTGATGGCACAATCTCGGCTCACTGCAACCTCCACCTCTAGGGTTCAAGTAATTCTCCTGCCTCAGCTTCCCAAGTAGCTGGGCTTATAGATACCTGCCACCACGCCTGGTTAATTTTTGTATTTTTAGTAGAGATGAGGTTTCACCATATTGGCCAGGATGGTCTTGAACTCCTGACCTTGTGATCCGTCCACCTCAGCCTCCCAAAGTGCTGGGATTACAGGCGTGAGCCACCGAGCCCAGCCACATTGATTTTTTAATACTGTTCTTCTATCCTGCAACCTTGTTCTACTCCTTCATTGTTTTTTTGTTTGTTTGTTTCCTTTTTTCTTTTTTTTTTTTTTTTTGAGAACTTTGTCACCTAGGCTGGAGTGCAGTGGCTCAATCTCGGCTCACTGCAACCTCTGCATCCAGGGTTAGTTAAAGTGATTCTCCTGCCTCAGCCTCCCAAGTAGCTGGGATTACAGGTGCCCGCCACCATGCCAGGTTAATTTTTGTATTTTTAGTACAGACGGGGTTTCACCATGTTGGCCGGGCTGGTCTCGAACTCCTGACCTCAAGTGATTTGCCCACCTTGGCCTCCCAACGTGCTGGGATTACAGGTATGAGCCACCGCACCTGGCCTGCCTTCATTGTTTTGTAGGCTTTGATTGCAGTTCTTTTAGGATTTTCTTTGTATAAGATGATATCATCTGTAAATGGGAATAGTTCTTCCTTTCTGACCTGATTGCCTTTTTTGTTGCCTAATTGCCTGGTTAGAACCTCCAATAACATGTTGAATAGAAATGGCCAAAGCAGACATTCTCGTTTTATTCCTGATCTTAGGGGAAAATCATTCAGTCTTTTACCACTAAGAATGATGTTAGTAGTTTTTCACAGATGCCTTTTATCAGCTTGAGATCCCTTCTATTCCTAGTTTCTGAGTTGTTTTTTTTTTTTTTTTTATCATGAAAGGTGTTGGATTTTTGTCATTTTTTTTTCTTTTTCATTTCTGTCTTTTTTTTTTTTTTTTTTTTGAGACAGAATCTTGCTCTGTCACCCAGGCTGGAGTGCAGTGGCACGATCTTGGCTCACTGAAACCTCTGCCTCCCAGGTTCAAGCGATTCTCCTGCCTCAGCCTCCCGAGTAGCTGGGACTACAGGTGCATGACACCACACCCAGCTAATTTTTGTGTTTTTAGTGGAGATGAGATTTCTTCATGTTGGCCAGACTGGTCTCAAACTGCTGACCTCAAGCGATCCCCACCCAACTTGGCCTCCCAAAGTGCTGGGATTACAGGCATGAGCCACAGCACCTGACCTGTCAATTTTTTTCTGTGTTTATTGAGGATCATGTAGTTTTTGTCCTTTATTTTACAGATATGGTGTATTGCATTGATTGATTTTTATATGTTAAACCAACCATATATTCTTGAGATAAATTCCACTTGGTCTTGGAGGATTTTTTTTTTTTTGGAGAAATTTAGCATTTATATTTATAAGAGATACTGGTTTTAGTTTTCTTTTCGTGTGTATGTGTGATGTCTTTTTCTAGTTTTGATATAAGCATAATATTGGCCTCACAGAATGAGTCAGGAAATATTCCTTCCTTTTCTATTTTTGGAAGGTTTTGAGAAAGACTGGTGTTAAATCTGCGCCTGGGCTCTTCTTTGAGGGAAATTTTTTGTTTTGTTTTGTTTTGTTTGAGACAAGGTCTCACTCCGTCTGTGCAGTGGTGTGGTCATAGCTCACCGTAGCCTTGACCTCCTGGGCTCAGGTGATCACTCCCCTAAGACTCCCAAGTAGCCGGGACTACAAGTGCATGCCACCATGCCAAGCTAATTTTTGTATTATTTGTAGAGATGAAATTTTGCCGTGTTGCCCAGGCTGGTCTTGAAACCCTGGGCTCGAGAGATCCACTTGCCTCAGCCCCGAAAAGTGCTGGGGTTACAGGCATGAGCCACCACATCTGGCTGGAAACTTTTTGATTATTAATCCAATCTCTTTACTTGTAAATAGATCTATTCAGATTTTCTATGTCTTCTTTAGTGAGTTTGTGTCTTTCTAGGAGTGTATACATTTTATCTACATTATCTAATTTGTTGTCATAGAATTGTTCATAGTATTCCATTATAGTCCTTTATCTTTCTGTAATGTGGGTATTAATGCCTCTTCTCTCATTCCTGATTTTTTTTTTTTTTGAGACGAAGTTTCACTCTTGTTGCCCAGGCTGGAGTGTAATGGCGGGATCTCGGCTCACCACAATCTCTGCCTCCTGGGTTCAAGTGATTCTCCTGCCTCAGCCTTCCCAGTAGCTGGGATTACAGGCATGTGCCACCACACCCAGCTAATTTTGTATTTTTAGTAGAGACAGGGTTTCTCCATGTTGGTCAGGCTGGTCTTGAACATCCGACCTCAGGTGATCTGCCCACTTCGGCCTCCCAAAGTGCTAGGATTACAGGTGTGAGCCACCGCGCCTGGCCCTGATTTTGTTACTTTGTATCTTCTCTCTTTTATCTGTGGTAAGTCTAGCTAAAGGTTTGCCAGTTTTGTTGACATTTTCGGAGAACCAACCTTTGGTTTCATCAATTTTCCCTATTGTTTTTCTACTCTCTATTTCATTTATTTCCACTTTAATCTAAATGACTTCATTCCTTCAGCTTGCTTTAGGTTTATTTTGCTCTTTTAAAAAATTAATTTCTTAAGGTAGAATGTTGGGTTACTGATTTGAAGTCTTTCTCTTAATATAGACATTTATGAGGAAGCTGTAGCTGTATCCTATAAGATGTGGCGTGTTGTGTTTTGTTTCATTTATCTCAAGTCTTTAATTTTCCCTGCGATTTCTTTTTACCCACTGGCTATTTAGGATTTTGTAGTTCATTTTTCACGTATTTGTGGATTTCTGAAATTTCCTTCTGTTATTTCTTTCAACTGTGGTTGGAAAACATGCTTTGGATGATTTCAATCCTTTAAGATTTATTGAGGCTTGTTTTATGGCTTAACATATGGTATATCCTGAAGAATTGTTCACGCAACTTTCAGTAGAATGTGGATTCTGCTATTGTTGGATGGAGTGTTCTATAGATGTCTGTAATATATACTTGTTTTTTTTTTTTTTTTTTTTTTTGAGACAGGATCTTGCTCTGTTGCCCAGGCTGGAGTGTGGAGTGCAGTGGCAAGATCATAGCTCACTGCAGCTTCAACCTCTTGGGCTCAAGCAATCCTCCCACCTCAGCACCCCAAGTAGCTGTGACTACAGGTACACACCAACACGTCTGGCTAATTTTTAAACTTTGCAGAGATAGGGTCTCACTATGTTGTCCAAGTTGGTCTCAAACTCCTGGACTCAAGCCATCCTCTGGCCTCGACCTCCCAAAGTATTGGGCTTATAGGTGTGAGCCACTGAGCCCAGCACATCTAGTTGTTAATGTTGTTCGAGTCTTCTATTATTGATCTTCTAGCTAGTTCTGTTCATTATTGGGTATTGAGGTCTCCAACAATTATTGTTTCATTTCTTTTTTTCTTTTTTTGAGATGAAGTTTCGCTCTGTCACCCAGGCTGGAGTGCAGTGGCATGATCTTGGCTCACTGTAACCTCTGCCTCCTGGGTTCAAACAATTCTCCTGCCTCAGCCTCTTGAGTAGATGGAATTATAGGCAGCCATGTTGGCCAGGCTGGTCTCAAACTCCTGACCTCAGGTGTTCCACCTGCCTCAGCGTCCCAAAGTGCTGGAATTACAGACATGAGCCACCGCACCCGGCCCGTTGTTTCATTTCTATTTGTCCATTCAATTCTGTCAATTTCTGATTCATATATTTTGGGGGTACTGCTGCTAGATGCATATATGTTTATAATTATTACATCTTCTTTTAATTCGAGTAAAAGATTTTGCCTTAAAATCTATTTTGTCTGATATTAGTATAGGTACTCTAGCTCTCTGTTGGTTAATATTTTCATGGCATATCTTTTTCTATCTTTTTTTTTTTTAAAGAAAAAACAGGCTTAGTTCACTTTTTTTATTTTTTGTTTGTTTTTTTTTTAAAAAACCTTATATTGTAGCCACAGTTGGAGCCTGGATCCTCTATACAGAAACTCTGGTTTGGGTCTTGACAAGATGGTTAGTGAATTCCTAATAGGAAGACCTGGTGATACTATCTCTTTCCAGATGTTGGGGGTCAGGTAGCTATAGGTCTTGGCATCAAATATGGGCTTGGTAAAGTTGCCCAGGGTGACAGTGCAGCCTCTGACTTAAGTGTAGCAGCCCTGGATGCCACTGTGGAAGCCTCTGGGTCCTTCCACTGTACCGGAGTCAACTGGTATTTGATATTTTCTTGGAGAAGAAGCTCTTTTTTATCATGTAACTTTCAATCTATATGTGTCTTTGACAAGAAAGTGTGTCTCTTGTAGACAGAATATAGTTGAATCATGTTTTTTAAGAAATCCATCCTATCAAACTCTGCTTTTAATTGGAGAATTTAATACATACATATTCAATGTAATTACGAAAAGGTAAGACTTATGTCTGCCATTTTTCTATTTGTTTTATACATATATATTATATCTATATTTATAGATAGTCTTTTTTTCTTCTGAATACATTCATGTGTAATTTTTTTCTTCTGAGTCTTGTTTTGTTCCTCTGTGCCTCCATTATTACCTTCTTTTATGTTGAATAGATATTTATAGTATTTTATTTCGTGTGTGTGTGTGTATGGTTTTAAAAATAGTTTTCAATCGTATTTTTAGTTATCTTCTTAGGGTTTCCCCTAGAGAGTACAATTAAGAACTTAATGTAAAAGAATCAAATTAGGATTAATGCCAACTTAATTTCAATGCTATAAAAAACCTTTGACCCAATATAGCTCCAATCCATTTCTTCTCCTTGTGCTATTATTTTCATATAACTTACATCTTTACACATTTTAAACACATCAACATAGTTTTAATAATGATTGCTTCATGCAGCCATTTTGTAAATCAGATAGAAGAAAAGATTTACAAACAAAAATAATTTATACTATCATTAATATTTACCTATGTAGTTATCTTTGTTAATGCTCTTTTATTTCTTTGTGTGAATTTGACTTACTATCTAATGTCCTTTCATTTTAGTTTGAAGAATTCTCTTTAGTACTTCTTGTAGACAGGTCTGCCAGTGACAATTTTGCTGTTTGTGTTTAATATAGGAATATATTTTATTTCTAATTTGCTTTTGAAGGACAGTTTTGCTGAATATGAAATTCTTGGTTGCAAGTCTTCTTTTTTTTTCCTCAGCACTTTGAATAGGTAATTCTACTACCTTCTGGCATCCATAATTTCTGGTGAGAAAATGCCTGTTAATCTTTTCTTTTTGAGATGGAGTCTAGCTCTGTTGCATAGGCTGGAGTGCAGTGGTGCAGTCTTGGCTCACTACAACCTCCATCTCTTGGGTTCAAGCAATTCTCCCACTTCAGCCCTCCGAGTAGCTGGGAGTACAGACGTGCACTACCACATCCAGCTAATTTTTGTATATGTAGTAGAAACGAGGCTTCGCCATGTTGCCAGGCTGGTCTAGAGCTCCTGACTTCATGTGATCTGCCCACCTTGGCCTCCCAAAGTGCTGAGATTACAAGTGTGAGCCAACACGCCCAGCTGACAGCTATTAATCTTATTGAGGATCCTTTGTCTGTGGTGAATGGGTTTTCTCTTGCTGCTCTCAAGATTCTCTCTTTAGCTGTCTTTCCAGGGTTTTATAATGACGTGTCTAGGTGATGATCTCTTTGAATTTATCTTACTTTAAGTTCATTGAGATTCTTTTTTTTTCCTAACCCAATTTCACACTGAGAGATTCTTAAATGTGAGGATTAATGTTGCTCATTAAGTTTGGAAAGCTTTCAGCCATTGTTTTTTCAAATAGTTTTTCTACTGTTTTTTCTCCTTCTGGGACTCCCACTACACATACGTTGGTGTGTTTGATAGCATAACACAGGTCTCTGAGGCTCTGTTCACATTTTTCATTCCCTGCCCTCTACCATTTTATAGACTGGATAATCTTTCTTTCTTTTTATTTTCTTTTCTTTTTTTTGAGATAGAGTCTCACAGTCTCACTATGTTGCCCAGCCTGGAAGGCTGTGTCACAGTCTCGGCTCACTGCAACTTCTGCCTTTGGGGTTCAAGCAATTCTCCCACTTCAGCCTCTGAGTAGCTGGGATTACAGGCATGCACCACCACATGCCCGGCTGTTTTTTGTGTTTTTAGTAGAAATGGGGTTTCACCACGTTGGCCAGACTGGTCTTGAACTCCTGACCTCAGGTGATCTGCCCACCTTGGCCTCCCAAAGTGCTAGCATTACAGGCGTGAGCCACTGCGCCTGGCCGAGACTGAATAATCTTAATTAACCTATCTTCAAGTTCACAAATTATTCCTTCTGCCAGCTCAAAGCTGCTTTAGAGCCCTTCCAGTGAATTTTTTCATTTCAGTTATTATGTTTTTCAACTCCAGAATTTCTGTTTGTTCCTTATTTTACAATTTCTATCTCTTTATTGGTATTCTCTATAGGTGAGACATTGTATATTTTAATTCTTTAGACATGGTTTCTTTTTGTTCATTGAACATATTTATAATAGTTGACTTAAAGCTGTTGTCTCACAGTTCAATGTTTGGGCTTCCTCAGGAGACAGCTTCTATTGACTACTCTCCCTCACCTAATGTATGGGTCATACTTTCCCATTTTTTGACATGTCTCCAAAATTTTTAAATTAAAAACTGGAAATTTAAAATGATACAACATGTTATCAAGCAGGGTCCCACGGAAATAAAAGAAAAAAATAAAATGATGTAACATGGAAACTCTAGCAATCACATTCCACCTTCCCAGTTGCTTGTTATGAACTGAATGTTTGTGTCTCCAAAAATCCATATGTTGAAACTCTAAGCCCCAGTGTGGCTGTATTTGGTGATGGGCCCTCTAAAGAAGTAATTGAGGTTAAATAGGTCATAAGGATGGAGCCTTGATCTGATAGGATTAGTATCCTCATCAGAAGAGATACCAGTCAGCTCGATCTCTTAGTGTCAGCTACACCCGCAATGATGTGTGAGCAGTATCTAGAACATCTTTTTTGCAAAATGGAGCTCTATGCCCATTAAACAGCTCCCCATTCCCTCATCCCCCACAGCCTTTGACAACCACCATTGTACTTCCTGTCTCTGTGAATTTGACTACTCTAGTTACCTCACATGAGGGGAATTATACAGTATTGCCTTTTGAGACTGGCTTATTTTACTTGGCGTAATGTTCTCAAAGTCATCCATGTTGTACGTGTCGTAATTTCCTTCCTTTTTAATGAATAATATTCACTTTGTGTATATGCCACATCTGGTTTATGCATTCATCTGTTGATGGACACTTGGGTTGCTTCCACCTCTTGACTGTTATGAAAAATGCCACAGTGAACATGAATGTGCAGGTATCTGTTCAAGATCCTGCTTTCAATTCTTTTGGATATATACCCCAAAAAGGAATGTCTGGATCACATAGTATTCTACTTTTAATTTTTTCAGGAACCACCATACTGTTTTCCATAGTGGCTATACAATTTTATATTCCCACCAGCGGTGAACAAGAGTTCCAATTCCTCCACATCCTTGCCATCACTTGTTATTTTCTGTCTTTTTTTTTTTAATTAGTCATCCTAATGGGTGTGGGTTGATATTTGTCTTGATTTGCAGTTTCCTAATAAATAATGATGTTTAACGTTTTTTCATCTTGGCCATTTGTCTATCTGCTTTTTTTTTTTTTTTTTTGACGGAGTCTTGCTGTGTTGCCCAGGCTGGAGTGCAGTGGCGTGATCTCGGCTCACTGCAAGCTCCGCCTCCTGGGTTCACGCCATTCTCCCGCCTCAGCCTCCCAAGTAGCTGGAACTACAGGCGCCCGCCACCATGCCCAGCTAATTTTTTGTATTTTTAGTAGAGATGGGGTTTCACCATTCATGGGATGGTCTCGATCTCCTGACCTTGTGATCTGCCTGCCTCAGCCTCCCAAAGTGCTTGGATTACAGGTGTAAGCCACCATGCCTGGCCGGCCATTTGTATATCTTTTTAGGAGAAATACCTATTCAAGTCCTTTGTTCATTTTAAAATTGGGTTATTTGTCTTTTTCTTATTGTGTTGCAGGAGTTCCTCATATATACATATATATATATATACATATATATATATATATGTGTATATATATATGTTTTTTTTTTTTTTTGAGACGGAGTCTCACTCTGTCACCCAGGCTGGAGTGCAGTGGTGCGATCTCAGCTCACTGCTGCCTCTGCCTCCTAGATTTAAGCGATTCTCCTGCCTCAACCTCCCAAGTAGCTGGTATTACAGGTGAACACCACCGCACCTGGCTAATTTTTTGTATTTTTTAGTAGAGATGGGGTTTCACCATGTTGGCTAGGCTGGTCTCTAACTCCTGACTTCAGGTGAACCACCTGCCTTGGCTTCCCAAAGTGCTGGGATTACAGGCGTGAGCCACTGCACCTGGCCGAGTTCCTCATATATTTTGCATATTAACCCTGGATATGTAATTGCAAATATAGTCTCTCATTCTATAGGTTGTCTTTTCACTCTGTTGATTGTGTCATTTGATGCACAGAAGTTTTAGATTTTGATGTAGTTTAATGTATCTATTTTTACTTTTGTTATCTGTGCTTTTGGTATGATTATCCAGAAAATCCTTGCCAAGTCTGATGTCATGAAGCTTTCTTGTATGTTTTCTTCTAAAAGTTTTATAGTTTATTTTTTACATTTAGGTTTTTGATCCATTTTGATTTAATTTTTGTATATGGTGTATAAAGTAAGGATCTTACTTTATTCTTTTGTATGTGGATATTCAGTTCTCCCATATCATTTGTTGAAGAAACTGTCCTTTCTCCATTGTATAGTCTTTTCACTCCTGTCAAAGCTCATTTGACCATATGAACAAGAGTTTATTTCTGGGCTCTGTATTTTGTTCCATCCATTTATATGTCTGTCTTTATACTGGTACCACACTGCTTTGATTACTGTTGCTTTGCAGTATGTTTTATTATTTATTTTTATTTATTATTATTATTTTTTGTAGAGATGGGATCTCACTTTGTTGCCCAGGCTGGCCTCAAACTCCTGGCCTCAAGCATTTCTCCTGCTTTGACCTCTCAAAGTGCTGGGGTTATAAACATGAGCCACCCTGCCTAGCCTGTAGTATGTTTTTAAGTCAGAAAGTGTGATGTTTCCAACTTTGTTTTTCTCTTTCAATATTATTTTGGCAATTTGGGTTCTCTTGAGTTTCCATATAAATTTTAGAATTTTTTTTAAAAATGATGTTGGGATTTTGATAGGGATTGGATTAAATTTGTAGATTGCTTTGGTTACTATTGACATCTTAACAATATTAAGTCTTTTGATCCATGAACATAGGATGTCTTTCCATTTATTTGTGTCTTTGTTTCTTTCAGAAACATTTGTAGTTTTCAACATATAAGCCTTTTATCTTGTTGGTTAGGTTAGGTTTATTCCTACATATTTTATTCTTTTTGATGCTATTGTAAATGGAATTATTTTCTTAATTTTATTTTCAGATTGTTAATTGTTAGTGTGTAGAGATGCAATTGTTGTTTGCTTTTTTTTTTTTTTGACAAGATCTGGCTCTGTCACCCAGGCTGGAGAGCAGTGGTGCGATCTCGACTCACTGCAACCTCTGCCTTCCAGGCTCAAACCATCCTCCTGCCTCAGCCTCCCAAGTAGCTTGGACCACAAGCGTGCACCACCACACTCAGTGAATTCTGGTACTTTTTGTAGGGACAGGGTTTCGCCATATTGCCCAGGCTGTTCTTGAACTTGTGAGCTCAAGTGATCCATCTGCCTTGGCATCCCAAAGTGCTGGGATTACAGGCATAAGCCACCACACCCAGCTGCAATTGACTTTTATGTGA
The DNA here is from genome assembly GCF_000001405.40 of Homo sapiens. Taxonomy (NCBI): domain Eukaryota; kingdom Metazoa; phylum Chordata; class Mammalia; order Primates; family Hominidae; genus Homo; species Homo sapiens. The sequence goes on from NC_000016.10 coordinate 57,338,266, forward strand.
CCATTTTGTGTCCTGCAACTTTACTGAATTGTTTGTTAGTTTTAATAGCTTTTTAATGGATGCAATTTTTAGGGTTTGCTGCATATAGGATCATGTCATCTTCAAACAGAGATAATTTTACTTCTTCATTGTCAATATGGATGCCTTTTATTTCTCTTTCTTGCCTAATTGCTCTGGCTAGGATTCCAGTACTATGTTATTAGAAGTGGTGAAAGCAGGCATCCTTACTTATTCCTGGTCTTAGAGAACAAGCTTTCAGTCTTTCACTATCAGGTTTGTTTTAATCTGCACATAACTATGCTTAGGTAGTTTCCTTCTATTCCTAGTTTGTTGTGTATTTCTCCATTGTTTTGGACAAAAGTCATGTGTTAATCTTACTGTCATTTCTGTGTATATGATGGATTTTCTTTTCTGCTTTCAAGTTTTTATTTTCTTCTTTTCAACAGTTTAATTATAACGTGCTCATGTGTGGATCTCTTTGAGTCTATCCTACTTCTGGCTCATTCAGATTCTAGGATGTGTAGATTAATGTTATCATCAAATTTTGGAATTTTTCAGCCATTTTTTTCTTTGAATATTTTTTCTGCCCATTTCTCTATTTTTTCCCTCTTTCTCAGAGTCCTGTTACCTGGATGTTGGTGCATTTGATGATGGGCCAAGGCTTCTTAGTCTCTGTTCATTTTCTTCAGTCTTTTTTCTCTCCATTATTCAGCTTGTATAATCTCTGCTGATCTATCCTCAAGATTGCCAATTCTTTATTTTGTCAGCTCAAATTTGCTTTTAAGCCCCTCCAGGGAAATTTTCATTTTAGACACTATACTTTTCAAATCCAGAATTTCTATTGGTTCTCTTAAAAATAATTTTTCTTGGCAGGGCACGGTGGCTCATGCCTCTAATTCCAGCACTGTAGGAGGCTGAGGCGGGTGGATCACCTGAGGTCAGGTGTTTGAGACTAGCCTGGCCAACATGGAAAAACCCCATTTCTACTAAAAATACAAAACTTAGCAGAACTTATAACAAACTACAAAAACTTATAACAAAACTGCAAAACTGTGAGAAAAAATAATCATTTGAAAACTGGAGATTGATCAAAATTATAAGTAGTAGGTAGAATAATGGGTGACAGAGTGAGATTCTGTCTCAAAAAAAGAAAAAAGAAAAAACTAACACAGTATGTAACAAATTGAGAAGTGTTTACTTTGAAAAGTCTTGAACTTTAATGAGAAAAGAATGAGGGCTTTGTGTGGGTGGGTGGGTGTTTCAGAGCTTCCTCACTCAGTCATTCTGGAAGTCCCATCTATATGTGATACATTCTTACAATGGAATACTGTGGAGGAATGAGAATGAAGTAAAAGGGCAAGCAAAGACATGGCTGAATCTCCTAAACATAATGTTGAATGAAAGGAGTCAGGCACAGGCCAGGTGCAGTGGCTCATGCCTGTAGTCCTAGCTGCTAGGGGAGCTGAGGTGGGAGGATAGCTGAGGTTGAGGCTGAAGCGAACCGTGATCGTGCCACCGGACTCCAGTCTGGGTGACAGAGCGAGACGCTGTCTCAAAAAAAGAGAAGAAGTCAGGCATAAAGGAATGCTTTCTGTATGATTCAGTGTTTCTTTCTGTTCTTTGTTTGTTTGTTTTTTTGAGACAGTGTTTCTCTCTGTCACCCCCCCCGGCTCATTGCAGCCTTGGCCTCCCAGGCTCAAGTGATCCTCCCACCTCAGTCTCTCTAGTAGCTAGGGGCCACAGGCTTGCATCACCATGCCTGGCTAATTTTTGTATTTTTTTTTTTTTTTTTGGAGAGATGGGGCCTCACTACATTGCCTAGGCTGGTCTCGAACTTGGGCTCAGGTAATCCTCCTACCTCAGCTTCCCAAAGTGCTGGGATTAGAGGCATGAGCACCCAGTGCACCCAGTCACTTTTTCTATGATTCAAATAGAAATAACTAGTTTAGGTATTAGGAGCCAGAATGGGCTTTCCTTGGTGGTGGCAGCAGAGGGGTTGTGATGGAAGAGGTCATGAGGGGGTTTCTGGGTTCTTCTTCTTCTTCTTCTTCTTCTTTTTTTTTTTTTTTTTTTTTTTTTTTTGAGACAGAGTCTTGCTCTGTCACCCAGGCTGGAGTGCAGTGGCGTAATCTCTGCTCACTGCAACCTCTGCCTCCCGGATTCAAGCAATTCTCCTGCCTCAGCCTCCCGAGTAGCTGGGACTGCAAGCACCCACCAACACGCCTGGCTAATTTTTGTATCTTTAGTAGAGATGGGGTTTCACCATATTGGCCAGGCTGGTCTCAAACTCCTGACTTTGTGATCCGCCTGCCTCGGCCTCCCAAAGTGCTGGGATTACAGGTGTGAGCCACCATGCCCAGCTCTTGTTCTTCTTCTTCTTTTTTTATTTTTTAACTTTTTATCTTCTAGTAATTTCAAACTTACAGCAAATTTGCAAAAATAGAGTAAAGAAATCCTGTATTTCCTGTATTTCCATCATCCTGATCCACCAACTGTTAACATTTTACCACTTGAGAAAATAATAATTCTTTCCGTACGAGGAGTCCAAGCCCATGTAGATACAGCATCCCTGTGACAGTGACTTCCAGGATCCCACACTAAAAGAAGGGCAAGAGGAGGAGCCTTCTGACACATGGTTGGTCCTGGGGGACCCATTCCTTAGGTAGGTGGCCACTGACCACAGAAAGAGATGACACTGTTCATTGTCCAGTTTGAAGGCTCCTGAGATTCCAAACGCTCTTGGTTCCCCCCTGGTCTTCTCTATAATTCTCCATCTGTGTCCAGATTACCAGGCTTCAGGGTGAGTAAATAACAGGGAACCGAGGGTTGGGAGGCACTACGGAAAGAACCCTGGGCTCTGGGATAAACGTCCATACATTTTCTTCTTCTTTCTTCCCCTCACACCATTCCTCATGCTTTTCTGCTTCCCCTTTCTGCTTCCTTCCCTATAAGATGTCACCTCCTCTCAGTTTCAGCCACTACCTCTTGTCTGGGGACTGGGAGTTGGAGTTTCCCTGGGTCAAGCATGTCACCGTCCAGCTCGGGTGTTCCATCTGTGAAATGTGCAAGGGGCATTTATACCCTTTCAATCACCAAAGGCTGTTGTAAAGATCATTTGGAGCTGCGAATGTGCAAGTTGTTGATCCTCAAATAGCCTGGCAGTGGCAGGCATGACCAGTCCCATTTCACAGAGTCAGGGCCTGAGTCCCAAGGGCACAGGGCCTGGTAGTCAAGCTTCACTGCCAGTTGGTAGCAGAGCCCGTATCTCTGAGACTTAGGATATAGCCATGCTACTCACACCCTCACCCTACAGGCTATAAGATGACTCTCATTTTTATAGAATACCAAAAAGCCAATTGGAAACCCACAAAACATATCAAATGGCAGAAGAGGTAGATGGAATGTGTAGAATTGTTTGCTTTTCTAAGGGTTTTCTTCTTGAAGAAAGAGCAATTGTGGTTTTACAATGGGACTTGCTCGGAAATCCAGGCCAGGACAAGCTGCTTATTCAGAACAAAGTCCTGGAGGGTAAGTCATCTTCTCTTTGCCCAATCATTGTTCCTTGGAGGATGTCCATTATTTGCAGAGCCTGGCTGGCTCTTTGCCAAACCTATTTCCTCTTCTTGAGTACACCTCTTCTGTTTCCCAGCCTTCCTTGCAAACAGGTGAGGTCAGGTGTCTGAATTCTGGCTAATGGAATGTGATCAGAGCTGATGCACCCAACTTCCAGGCTTGGACCAAAAAAGTTTCCCACGCTCCAGGCCTGCTTCTATTTTCCCTTTTATGACTTGATGTAGATGAACACGGCGATCTGTTAACAACAGCAGAACCACAAATGGGAGGAGTCCGGGTGCCTGAACCGCCACTTGGAGAAGAGCTGCCCATTAATCAGGAACATCTGTTTTGGACTTTATGTGGTGAAACATAAACTTACTGTGTCTGAGCCATTATACAATTTGAGGTTTGTTTGTTATGACATCTGACGTTACAGTACCTAATACATGCCAGTTTACCTGATTCCAATGGTTCCTTTTTTAACTACAGAAGACATTTATATCCTTCACGTGTTCAATGATTTCTCCCACATAAATCAAAAGTATTTTCTTAGTCCCCTATTAGAACCTCAGGAATAAAGTGTGCTCCAGGGTTTCATCTCTCCCCTCTCTGAAGTGGATCTTCCTCTCATGACTCTGCCATCCCAAGGAATTCCTAAGAAGTATTTGCAATCAGAATTGGAATGAAGAGACAAGAAAAAGGAGAATTGATGATAGCAAGTATTGACTGTTCTTTTGAGTTTTACTGTAAAGGTCCAGCACCTGGAAGGGGATGTGGGATCTGTTTTCCTAATGCACTGTTTTCTTAAGATGGGAGAATTACTGGTTTGTTGCATGCCAGTGAGAATGCTACTGTAGGGCCGGGCGCGGTGGCTCACACCTGTAATTCCAGCACTTTGGGACACTGAGACAGGTGGATCGCTTGAGGTCAGGAGCTCAAGGCCAGCCTGGCCAACAAAGTGAAACCCCGTCTCTAAAAACAAATACAAAAATTAGCCAGGTGCGGTGGTGTGTGCCTGTAATCCCAACTACTTGGGAGGCTGAGGCAGGAGAATCGCTTGATCCCGGGAGGCAGAGGTTGCAGTGAGCCAAGATTGCACCAATGCACTCTAGCCTGGGCAACAGAGCGAGAGTCTGTCTCAAAAAAAAAAAAAGAGAGAGAGAGAGAGAATGATACAGTAGAAAGGAGGAAATTGATGATGCAGGAAAGAAACAGGAGAATTAGGAGTGATGTCCTTCAGGGGTGCCCAAACTTTTGGCTTCCCTGGGCCACATTGGAAGAAGAAGCATTGTCTTGGGCCACACATAAAGTACACTAACACTAATGATAGCTGATGAGCTAAAAAAAAAAAAAAAAAAAAGTCGCCCAAAAAATCTCCTAATGTTTTAAGAAAGTTTACGCATTTGTGTTGGGCCACATTCAAAGCTGTCCTGGGCCTCAAGCGACCCACAGGCCTTGGGTTGGACAAGCTTATCCTTGAGTGAGGAACAAGGAAAATGCAGTGGGCAGATGCGACAGTTGCAGGTGGGTGTGGTCTTCTGGTAACTTCTCGTTTCTTGGGGACATGGGAATCAGGGTCACAGGTTTCAAGTGCAGATCAGTGAGGAGGAGTTTGAAGGTTTGAGTGGAGACAGGAAAGTATGAAATAGTCAAAGAGAGTGGGAGAGCGAATGAGTCAGGGAAACGCAGTGGGACTTTTGGGTGGCACTGAGGTGAGTGATCTTGGATTTACCATTAGCGTGACTGGGTGGCTTTCTCCAGCCGTGTCAGCTGCACTGGGGCAGGTACAGAGTTGGTGGAGAGTTGGGTTTTCCGGGTTCCGGTTTTACTAGGAGTTAGCAGGAATGAGAGTTGAAGTTATTTGGGAAGAGAGTCGAGGGTGTAGGTAAACGATGTCTGTAATGAAAGACCACGGAAGTTGGGAGCTTAGCAAGGTGACAATTAAGGACGTGAAGGAGAGGCAAGGGAAAAGGGCAGGATCAGCCTGGGTGAGCCTAAAGGACTATTGGAGTTGGATGCTCAAGGCAATGAGCTGGACAGACAGATGGTGGTGGTTGGAGAGTGCGGTGTTTTATGTTGAGACTATGCAAAGGCAGTTACTGGTAATGACATGGTTCAGGATATGACCTTGGGAGTGAGGGGCTGAGGCAGGTGGAGGACAAGCTCACGGGAGGAAAGGAGACCATGGGACAGAAAGGCTGGTTACTGAAATCACCCTGTGGCTCTGAGATATGAGGGCCTCGTTTGCTTTCCTAGCTGTACACTGTGTGGGTCACCGAGCTCTCAGTTTGGTATTAGCAATTAATTTATAACACACAGGTCCTTACCTGGGGAATTCAGCCAGATTGTATATTTGTACCCTGCTCCCAGAATGTCTTTTTTCTTTTTCTTTTTCTTTTTTGAGACAGGATTTTGCTCTGTTGCCTAGGCTGGAGTGCAGTGGTGTGATCACAGCTCACTGCAGCCTTGACCTCCTGGGCTTGAGCAATCCTCCCACCTCAGCCTCCCAAATAGCTGGGACTACAGGCATGCATCACCAGGCCCAGCTAATTTTTAAATTCTTTAGTATAGATAGCATCTCGCTATATTGCCCAGGCTAACGTCTCAAACTCCTGGCCTAAAGCAATCCTCCTGCCTCGGCCTTTCAAAGTGCTGGGATTACAGGCGTGAGCCAGTGCACCCAACCCAGAATCTTACTTTTTAATGACTGAACCGCATTTAGTGTTAGTTACACATGTGTATGGTTGAGATATATGAAAATTCAATATATTTTATAGTTGAAGTATTCTAAAGTAATGGATCTTTCTAGCAAATAGTAGTGACTTCAGCTAATGAAATATTCCTTTTGCACCACAGTCCTTGGCTTCACAAAGATGAGAATCTTTTAACACAAGAACTCTGTGTTAAAGAGATGTGATTGGCTGGGCACGGTGGCTCACACCTGTAATCCCAGCACTATGGGAGGCCGAGGCAGGCGGATCACAAGGTCAGGAGATCGAGACCATCTTGGCTAACATGGTGAAACCCCGTCTCTACCAAAAATACAAAAAATTAGCCAGGCGTGGTGGTGGGCACCTGTAGTCCCAGCTACTCGGGAGGCTGAGGCAGGAGAGTGGTGTGAACCTGGGAGGCGGAGCTTGCAGTGAGCCAAGATTGCACCACTGCACTCCAGCCTGGGCGACAGAGCAAGACTCTGTCTCAAAAAAAATAATAAAATAATTTAAAAAAACAGATGTGATCACCTGAGTTTAATGTAATGTAAGGGGAGGGCATGTGTTTCCAGCATGAGGCACTCTTAGTAAGGAATTGTGAGCAATGGATTAACCACTATATCTAAGAATCCTGCAATTAAAACATGTTCACACACACCCCCAAAAGGAAATCATGATTGTGTCAGAATCACGTTGGAGAGAATGACTATAAGCTGGGAGCTGTAACAGACATGGAGGGAGGGGGAATGACAGGGGTGTGTAGATGGCTGCAACCGGAGGGAGCAATGGATGGTAAAGTGGTGAGTTGCATTTCAAAAAAGCTGTGGGGCTGGGTGAGGTGACTCACACCTGTAATCCCAGCACTTTGGGAGGCTGAGGCAGGAGGATCACTTGAGGCCAGGAGTTCAAGACCAGCCTGGGCAAGATAGTGAGACCCTGTCTCTATTTTTTTTTAAAAATTAAACTAAGGAAAGAAGCTGGGGATTTTAGGGAGGAAAAATGTGTGGTTTGGAAGTAGCTACAAAGAGCAAGGGGCAATGCCTCTTCTATCCCCAGCCCCACAGTAGAACGGCTATTGAGGAGATAATAGCCATGTCTTAGAAACCTGCAGGGGAAGCAAGTCCCTCAGTGGATAACCAAGTTTAGAGCCAAAAATAAACAAAAAGATGAAGGGAACAAGAAGGTGCACACTGGAATGCCCATTCATTACGGAACTACCAGTAATAGTGAAAATCTGGAAACAACCAAATATTCACTGCCAGGGGAATCCAGGAATAAACAATGGATGAAACCAAAATAGAACTTGCTTCAAAGTAAAAATGAATGGACTAGATCCATGTGGATCAACATGGAGAAAAAGCTTACAAAGATAAACGTGAACAAAACAAGCAGGTTATAAAAGGTTATATCCTGTATGATGCTGCCTACGTAAAATACTAAGGCCCACAGAACAATGCTATATCTTATTTATAAGGCTATAAAAGTACAATGACATCCTTGGGAAGGACCCCAGTAACTTCCTAGGTGGTTTTGTGGTTACCCAAAAAGAGATAGGGAGGGGAAATGGGTGGGGGTAGGGGTAGGGTAGCTCTGGTTGTATCTAAAATACTTTATTTCTTTATTTTATTTTATTTTATTTTATTTTATTTTTTGTAGAGATGAGATCTCACTATGTCACCCAAGCTGGTCTTGAACTCTTGAGGTCAAGCGATCTGCCCTCCTTGGCCTCTCAAAGTGCTGGGATTACAGGCACGAGCTACCATGCCTGGCTCTATCTAAAATATTTTATTTCTTAGTGAACCAAAAGACAGTAAAATGTTAACTGCTGTTAAATCTAGGTTGTGGATCCCAAGATTTGTTTTACTTTTCTGCATATTTGAAAGATTTGTTTGAAAATTAAAAAAATAAGAAGACCTAGGAGGAGGGAATTACTATGAAGGACTAATGAAGATTGTGGACTGGGTGTGGTGGCTCATACCTGCAATCCTGGCACTTTGGGAGACTGAGGTGGGAGGATCGCTTGAGCCCAGAAGTTTGAGACCAGCCTGGGCAACAAAGTGACACCCTGTTTCTCCAAAAACAAACAAACAACAAAATTAGCCTGTTACAGTGCTGCATGCCTATAGTTTCAGTTACTCAGGAGGCTGAGAAGGGAGGATGGCTTGAGCCCAGAAGTTCGAGGCTGTGATTGCACCACTGCAAGCCTGGGCAACAGAGCAAGCTCCTTGTCTCTTAAAAAAAAAAAAAAAATTGTGTAGAAACTGAGAGTCCAGAAATAAATGAATACATTTATGGGCAGTTGATTTTTGATAAGAGTGCCAAGATAATTCAATGGGGGAAAGAATAGTCTTTTCAATAAATAACCTGACACAACTGGATATCCACATACAAAAGACTAAAGTTGGATCCCTCACTCACATCATTTACCAAATGTAACTCAAAATGAATCAAAATATAAAACTCTTAGAAGAAAACATAGGAGCAAATCTTCATGGCCATGGGTTAGGCAACCATTTCTTAGATATAATATCTAAAGCACAAGTAACCAAAGAAACAATAGATAATTGGATATTATCAAAGTGAAAAGGTTTTGTGCTCCAAAGGTGTTATCAATAAAGTGAAAAGTCAACCCAAAGAATAAAATATGTGTAAATCATACATCTGATAGAGATCTAATATCAAAATACATGAAGAACCATTACAAGTCAACAACAAAAAAGACAAACAACACAACTGAAAAATGGAAAATGGGCAAAAGACTTGAACAGACATTTTTCCAAAGGAAATAGACAAATGTCCAATACACACATGATAAGATACTCAGCATCATTAGTCATTAGGGAAATGCTAATCAAAGCCAGAGAGACAGCACGTCACCCCCACTCGGATAGCTGTAATCAAAAGGACAGGCAATAGCAAAGGTTGGTGGGAAAATAGAACACTCATGTAAAATGGTAGAACCTCCTTGAAAATGAGGCAAGAGAATAGGGAAAATGAGGCAGAAGAATAGCAAAGGGAACTGAAAGTTGGATAAAGGACAGAATAAGTAAAAGCAGAGAACAGAAACAAGGTGAAGGGGTGGGTGAGCAAGAAGTGAGATGAAAAGCAGAGGTTCAGCAGCCAAAACAAAAGTGAGATAAAGTAGTGAGCAAGGAGGCAGGGCGCAGTGGCTCACACCTGTAATTCCAGCACTTTGGGAGGCCGAGATGGGTGGATCATTTGAGGCCAGGAGTTTGAGACCAGGCTGGCCAACATGGTGAAACCCTGTCTCTAATAAAGATACAAAAAAATTAGCTGGGGCATGGTGGTGCCCACCTATGATCTCAGCTACTGGGGAGGCTGAGGCAGGAGAATGACTTGAACCTGGGAAGCGGAGGTTGCAGTGAGCCGATTTTGCGCCACTGCACTCCAGCCTGGGCAACAGAGGGAGACTCGTCTCAAAAAAAAAAAAAAGTAGTGAGCAAGGACCCCATGGCCAGCAAGATCCAGACCAAACCACTAAGGGGAAGCTCTTCAGAGATGGGCATGCGCATTAGAGAAAAAGTATCTTTCACATAATCCTGCATGATTATCAGCTACTTAAGGTTCGTGCATATGGGCTGTATATCATGCATGTACTTAAAATTATGGGATAGAGGAGACACAGAAATGCACAAGGGCCCAAAGTAACTGAGCAACACACCTATCAATCAAAAGCCAAACACTGGCTAGAGATTAGGCAGCCTTGTGACGAGAAGAAAAAAACTCATGAAAAGACCCAAATGACACCAAGCTGATGCTGATCTCATCTGCAGAGGTCAGTCCGCTCCCACATCTGTGAGTGGACACTGCACTTCTTACCCTGTTGCTGCTTTGCTTTGCTTTCCATGTGTGTCTCCTCCAGTTCTTTGTTCGGGACACCAAGAACCCAGAACTGCATGGCACCATCCAGTAACAAAACCAGCCTGGTAGGTTCTCCAAAAGTTAAACCTAGAGTTACCACATGACCCAGCAATTCCATTTCCACATATATGCCCCAAAGAATGGAGAACATGTTCACAAAAAAACTTGCACAAAATTGTTTGTAGCAGCATGATTCACAAGAGCCAAAAAGTGGAAATAGCCCAAATGCCCATTAGCTGATGAATGGATAAACACAATGGGTCCATCCATACAGTGGAATATTATCCAGCAATGAAAAAGAATGAAGTGCTGATACATGCTACAATACAGATGAACTCTGAAAACATTAAGTGAAAGAAATCAGACACAAAATGCCACGTATTATATATATGATTCCATGGGTATGAAATACCCACAAAAGATAAACCCATAGAGATAGAAAATAGATTCACGGTTGCCAGAAGTTGGGGATAGGGGAAAACGGGGAGTGACTGTTAATGATATGGGGTTTCTTTTTGTGGTGATGAAAATGTCGACCGGGTGCGGTGGCTCATGCCTGTAATTCCAGCACTTTGGTAGGCGGAGGCAGGAAGATTCCTTGAGCCCAGAAGTTTGAGACCAGCCTGGGCAACATGGTGAAACCCCATCTCTATTAAAAAATAGTCTCGGGCTGGGAGCGATGGCTCACGCCTGTAATCCCAGAACTTTGGGAGGCTGAGGCTAGTGGATCACTTGAGCCCAGGAGTGGGAGACCAGCCTGGGCAACATGGTGAAACCCCATATCTGCTAAAAATACAACAACTGAGGTGGGAGAATCACCTGAGCCTGGGGAGATCGGGGCTGCAGTGAGCTGTGATTGTGACACCGCACTCCAGCCTGGGCGACAGAGTAAGATACCGTCTTGAAAAAAAAAAAAAAAACAACGAAAGAAATCAGTGGTTGAAGTGTTCCTCTCAACCCCATACAGAGCCTCTCCTGGGGCACCCCCTGCGTCTGCTGAAAAGAGGAAGCTCCGAGACAGCTGTTCAGGGCAGGGGCTTTCTTTTTAAATCTCTGTGGATATATAAAAGCCCAGCCACCTTACTTCTAGGAATTTGCCCACCAGAAGCATTCCCCCTTGCAAGTACACTCAAGGAAGGTTATTTTGACATTATTCTATAAATGAAAAAGACTGGAAAAGCCCAAAATATCCATCAGTCGGGGACTGGCTATAGGCATTATGGTATATCCATATCGTGGAAAACCACCCAGCCAATAGAAAGAACACGGTTTGGCTAGATATTTTGATAGACGCATTTTACGTGAAAAAACCAAGGTGCAAAACAGGTTTTCGTATATCTTATCTTCTGCTCTTCCTTCCTGCCTCCTTCTTCCCTCCTTTCTTTCTTCCTTCCTTCTCTCGCTCTTCCATCCTTCCCTCCCACCATCCTTCCCCCTTCCCTCCTCCCTCCTTCCCTCTTTCTTCCTTCCCTCCCTCCCTTTCTTCCTTCCTTTTTACCCCCCTGCACCTTCCTTCCTTCCATCCCTTCCTCCCTCTCTTCCTTCTCACTTCCCATCTTCCTTCCTTTACACAGAAGCTTGCAATATGCATAGCCTATTTCTGAAGGACAAACAAGAAATCATTAAGCCTGTTTGCCTCTGAGGAAAGGAAATTAAACCTGGCATGGGGGTGAGTAGCATCTCAGAGGTGGGAAAACTGCTTTTCATTCTACCCCTTTTGTAATGCATGAATTTAAAATTTTATCTTTTTGCATAGGTCAGTCATGCACATGGAAAAATGTTCAAATCATAAGTAAGGGCATTTGGTGGAAAGTAAGTCTTCCCCTCTGAGCACCTGCCCCACCCACTACCCTGAGTCCTTGGAGGCAACTAATAGAGATTGTTTGTGTATCTTTCCACATATAAACTATACACTTGTGCAAATACACATTTATATGTTATTGTGTATTTTTATTGTGCTAAAATATACGTAACATAAAATTTACCATCTAAACCATTTTAAGTGTACAGTTCTGTGGTATTAAGTACATTCACATGGTTGTGTAACCATCACCACGTTCCATTTCCAGAATGCTTTCATCTTCCCAAAATGAAATTCCACCCTCATTAAACAATAACTCCCCATTCCCCACCTCCCAGACCCACCCTGGCAGCCACCATTCTCCTTTCTGTCTCTGTGAATTTGACTGCTCTGGGTACCTTATATTAGCAGAATTATACCCTGTTGTCTTTTTGTGACTGGTTCTAGAATTTCTTTTCTTTTTAAAGCTGAATAATTTTTTTTCTTTTTCTTTTTTTTTTTTTTTTGAGACAGGGTCTCACTCTATCACCCAGGCTGGAGTGCAGTGGCGCCATCTCGGCTCACTGCAGCCTCCACCTCCTGGGTTCAAGCGATTCTCATGCCTCAGCCTCCCGAGTGGCTGGGATTACAGATATGCGTCAACATGCCCGGCTTAGTTTTTTGTAGTTTTAATAGAGACAAGGTTTCACCATGTTGGCCAGACTGGTCTTGAACTCTGGACCTCAAATGATCTGCCCACCTCGGCCTCCCAAAGTGCTGGGTAAGGCTGAATAATTTTCTGTTGCATGTATGTACCGCATATATTTTATGTTTTAAATTGAGATTTCATAGTTATATATATTTTGGGGGTGCATGTGATATTTTGATAACTGTATACAATACGCAATGATCAAATCAAGATAATTAGGATATCCATCACCTCAAACATTTATCATTTCTTTTATTTTTATTTATTTTATTTTTTTTACTTTTTTTGAGACAGAGTCTTGCTCTGTCGCCCAGGTTGGAGTGTAGTGGCGCGATCTCGGCTCACTGCAAGCTCCGCCTCCTGGGTTCACGCCATTCTCCTGCCTCAGCCTCCCGAGTAGCTGGGACTACAGGCGCCCGCCACCACGCCCGGCTCATTTTTTGTATTTTAGTAAAGATGGGGTTTCACCGTGTTAGCCAGGATGGTCTCAATCTCCTGACCTCATGATCCGCCCACCTCAGCCTCCCAAAGTGCTGGGATTACAGGCGTGAGCCACCGCTCCTGGCTTATCATTTCTTTATGTTGGGACCATTATAAATCTTTTCCAGGCTGGGCATGGTGGTTCATACCTGTAATTCCAGCACTTTGGGAGGCCAAGATGGGCAGATCACGAGGTCAGGAGATCGAGACCATCCTGGCTAACACGATGAAACCCCATCTCTACTAATAATACAAAAAAAAAAATTAGCTGGGCAGGGTGGCGGGTGCCTGTAGTCCCAGCTACTCAGGAGGCTGAGGCAGGAGAATGGCGTGAACCCGGGAGGTGGAGCTTGCAGTGAGCCAAGATCGTGCCACTGCACTTCAGCCTGAGCGACAGAGCAAGACTCCGACTCAAAAAGAAAAAAAAAAAAAAATATATATATATATATATATAAATCTTTTCCAGCTATTTTGAAATATATGATAAATTATTTTTAACTATAATCTCCCCACTATACTATCAAATACTAGAACTTACTCCTTCTATCCATCTGTATTTTTTACTTTTTAACCAATTACTATTTATCCCCATACCTCTCCCTTGCCTCTGGTAACCCACCATTGTACTCTCTACCTCCATGGGATCAACTTTTTAGCTCCGACATATGTGGGAACATATGATATTTGTCTTTCTGTGCCTGGCTTATTCCACTTTACATAAGGACCTCCAGTTCCATCCATGTTGCTGCAAATGATGGGATTTCATTCTTTTTTATAGCTAAATAGTATTCCATTGTGTATATATACCACATTCTTGTAATCCATTCCTCCATTGGTGGACACTTAGGTTGATTCCATATCTTGGCTATTGTGAACAGTGCTGCAATAAACATGGGTGTATGGACATCTTTTGATATACAGATTTCCTTCCTTTTGGATAAATACCCTGCAGTGGGATTCCTGGATCATACATATATCACATTTTCTGTATCCACTTATCAGTTGATGGACATTTGGGTTGTTTCTACCTTAATGTATTTTTAATAAACACATTAATTTAAACAAAAGAAGAAGGAAGGTTGAGGAAAAGAGGGTTAGATCTGGGAGCTTTCCACACATTGCAGCATGGACAGAAGGATAACACCAGCATAAAACACCTGACAGGAGGAGAGAAGACACCCCCATCAACAACAGCTGCCCTCTGTGTCTCTGATGATTCCCCACCTGCAGCCCCAAGAGGAACTCCCCTTTCCTTTCTTTGAAAGCTGGTTTCCCGTGTCCTTTTTGGCCATGGCATTGAATGCCATGCCTGCTCTTCTCCAGCTCCCAGGAGGTCAAGGGCACTGGGGGTGCAAAGGTTGCTGGCCCCCAGGTGTGACTTACCTTCCTTGTAAGCCCAGGGAGAGGGGTAATGGGGAGGGCGGCTGCTGCAAAGGCTGAGCCAGCAGCAAGGACTTGGAGCCCTGCCGAGTCCCTGGGGACTCAGGGGCTCTCCAGGGGGGAGCCCCTGAGCCCACCCATGGAGGGACCTCGGCCTTGGAGTGCCCCCTGTAAGAAAACCCCAGGTTCGGGTGAAGAGCCACCAGGCCAATTCTCTGTCACTCACTTTCAGTCCTCCAAGAGCCGCCCATAGGCCACAGGATGACTTCCACATTTAAAGATTTCTTCTCCGCCACCCCAAGTTTTTATTATGACACATTTTATTCTTATTTATTTTGTTTTTTCTTTCCCCCCACCCCAATACCTTCAGCTGCCTTTATATGATACATTTTAAATATTCAGGAAAGTCCTTAGAGTAGTTCAGTGATCACCAGTATATCCACTGCCAAGCTGCAACATCGTTGATGCTCAGTTTACCACATATACTTAGTCTCTCTTTTCTCTCTCTGGGAGATATGCACACACACACACACACACACACACACATATACACACTATACACACATATACACATACATCTATGTCTACACATGCACATATGCATATATATAAACACATGCATACTACATACACATCCATATATACACACATATACAGACACATGTTACATAAATATTCATATATATACACATAGATATGCACATACATCTATAGTTATACATACATATATATACACACTACATACACATCCATATATATACACACACATATATAGATATGTACATACATCTGTAGCTATACACACATATATGAACATATATTACATACATATTCATATATATACACATATATAGATAGGCACATACATCTATAGTTATGCATACACATATGTATACACACATATTGCATACATATCCATATATGTCTACACACATTTTTTTCCCATGAACTCTTTGAAAGTAAGGTGATCATGACCTTTATCCCTAAATACTTCAGTGTTTTATGACCTTTATCCTTAAATACTTCATCTTCTAGGAATGAGGACATTTTCCCACATTACACTGAAGAAAATCAACAATAAAGCACGAATATCTACTATAATATCCAGCCCATATTCACATTTTCACATGTCCCCGCTGGTTCCCAAAAGATCTTTTTAGAGCTGTTTTTTTCTTTTCCTTTTTTTTTTTTTTTTTTTTTTTTTTTGAGATGGAGTCTTGCACTGTCGCTCAGACTGGAGTGCAATGGTGCCATCTCGGCTCACAGCAACCTCCACCTCCTGAGTTCAAGCAATTACCCTACCTCAGCTTCCTGAGTAGCTGGGATTACAGGTGCGCACCACCACGCCAGGCTAATTTTTGTATTTTTAGTAGAGATGGGGTTTCACCATTTTGGCCAGGCTGGCCTTGAACTCCAGACCTCAGGTGATCCACCTGCCTCGGCCTCCCAAAGTGCTGGGATTACAGGCGTGAGCCACTGTGCCTGGCCCCCTGTTTTTTCTTTTTCTTTTCTGAGATAGGGTCTCACTCTATCACCCAGGCTGGAGTGCAGTGCTGTGATCTTGGCTCACTGTAACCTCCACCTCCTGGGCTCAAGTGATCCTCCCATCTCAGCTTCCTGAGTAGCTGGAACTACAGGCGCATGCCACTACACTCGGTTAATTTTTTTTGTATTTTTTGTAGAGAGGGGTTTTCACCATGTTGCCCAGACTGGTATTAAACTTCTGGCCTCAAGCGATCCTCAGACCCACAAAGTGCTGGGATTACAGGCGTGAGTCACCGTGCCCTGACTTTTTTCAAAACTAGGATTCAATCAAGGTCCGTGTATTGCATTTGGCTGTTATGTCTCTTAAGCCTCTTTTAATCTTAAATGTTCTATTCACTTTATTATTTTTTTAAAACAACATTAACTTTTTTAAAAATTTTGGATACAGAGTCTCACTTCGTTGCCCAGGCTGGAGTGCAGTGGCGCGATCTCGGCTCACTGCAACCTCCTCTTCCCAGGTTCAAGTGATTCTCATGCCTCTGCCATCCAAGTAGCTGGGACTACAGGCACGCACCACCACACCCAGCTAAATTTTTGTATTTTTAGTAGAGATGGGGTTTCACCATGTAGGCCAGGCTGGTCTCAAACTCCTGACCTCAAGTGATCCGCCTTCCAGGGCCTCCCAAAGTGCTCACAGGCTTTAGCCACCACGCCGGACCAACATTAACTTTTTGATGATCTGAGGACTGTTATCCTGAAGAGCATCTGGAAGGTTCCACCTTCTGGGGTTGTCTGATTGCTTCCTCACAGGGCCATTTATCTTTTTCCTCTAGCCCCTGTATTTCTTGTCAACTGGTAATTAATACTAGGGACTTGATTTGATTGTAGGGGAGCACCTTTTAAAAAATGGTGAAACTGTGAATCACATACATTTACCATTGTAACCATTTTTAAGTGTACAGTTCAGTGGAATTAAGTACATTCACATTGTTGTGCAACCATCACTATCATCCACCTCCAGAACTTTCATCTTGCAGAATGGAGACTGTGTCCCCATGAAACACTAACGCCCATTCCCCCACCTCCAGCCCCTGGCAACCACGATTTTGCCTTCTGTCTCTGTGAATGTGACTATTCCAGGTTCCCCAAAGCAGTGGAATCATACAGTGTTTGTTCTTTTGTGACTGGTCCTGGGTCATGGCTTTTGAAAAGAGGTCCTCCGAGATGATGCCGTGCACTTCAGATTGCATCCTAGCAGGAGCTCACAGGAACCCTGCGGTCCCTGCCTGCCAGCCTCTCCACTCAGCTGTGCTCTGCATCTCTACCCATTCTGTCTCTACCCACACTGTCTCAGCTGTTCAGCCCTCTCACTCTGTCTGGGCCTTTGCATTTGCTGTGCTCCCTGGCAGGCTCCTTCCTATCTTCTTTTTTTTTTTTTTTTTTGAGATGGAGTCTCGCTCTGCCACCCAGGCGGGAGTACAGTGGTGCGATCTCAGCTCACTGCAATCTCTGCCTGCCTCCGGGGTTCAAGCAATTCTCCTGCCTCAGCCTCCCAAGTAGCTGGGATTACAGGTGCATGCCACCATGTATGGCTAATTTTTGTATTTCTGGTAGAGATGAGGTTTCACCACATCGGCCAGGCTGGTCTTGAACTCCTGACCTCAAGTGATCTGCCTGCCTCAGCCTCCCAAAGTGCTGGGATTACAAGCATGAGCCACCGTGCCTGGCCTCCTTTCTATCTTTGAATTTCAGCTGAAATGTCACCCCGTTCTAGAGGCCTTTCCCGACTGCCTATCCCAAAGCTGCTTCTTTGTTTCATTCGCTTCCCGGTGTTCCTCCCAGCCTGACATTACCTTGTTTGCCATGTTTGTCTGTTGTGGAAGACAAACTCCATGAGAGCAGGGGCCCCTGCTCTCCTGTTCAGGCTGCCTTCCCAGGCTCTGGCAGTGCACTTGGCACATAGTAGGTGCTTGTATGAGCTTCCTCTGGCTGCTGTAACAAATGACCATGAACTTGGTGGCTTAAAACATCACAAATTTATTATCCAATAGCCTGGGAGGTCAGAAGTCCTAAATCAGTCTCAGTGGACTAAAATCAAGGTGTGGGGAGGGATAAGTTCTTTCTGGAGGCTCTGGGGGAGAATCTGTTTCCTTGCCTCTTCCAGCTTCTCCAGCCCGCCTGCATCCCTGGGTTCACAGTTCCACGTCACTGGGACCTCTGCTCTGTCATCCATCATCTCTTCTGACTCTGACCCACAGCCTCCCTCTTGAAATAACTCTGTGATTGCCTTGGGCCTGTCTAGATAATCCAATAAATCTCCCTCTTTAAAGATCCTAGGTCAGGTATGGTGGCTCACACCCATAATCCTAGCACTTCAAGAGGCCAAGATAGGAGGATTGCTTGAGGCCAGGAGTTCAAGACCAGCCCTGGCAACATAGTGAGATCCCCATCTCTACAAGAAATAAAAATGAGCAGGGCGTGGTGGCACACACCTGTAGTCCCAGCTACTTGAGAGGCTGAGGCAGTAGGATCGCTTGAGCCCAGGAGGTCAAGGCTGCAGTGAGCTGTGATTGCACCACTGCACTCCGGCCTGTGTGACAGAGTGAGATCCTGCCTCTAAAACAACGACAACAACAACAAAAATCCTAAACCCTAAACAGTCACATCTGCAAAGTCCTTTTTACCATGTAAGGTAACATATTCATAGGTTTTGGGGATTAGAATGTGGACATTTAGGGGGGCCATTATTCTGTTTACCACAGCGTTCAATAAATGTTTGCTGAATGAAGGAATTGGATGAATGGATGGGTCCCTTTATACATGGAGTCCCAAGTTCTGAGTTCCAGGCCTGGCGTAGCCTCTGTGTGGCTGTGTGAACTGGGCAAGTCCTCTCTCTCTGAACCTCAGTTTCCTCCTTCATTAGATGTGTTCTTTTTTTTCTTTCTTTCTTTCTTTTTTTTTTTTTTTTTTTTTTTGAGATGGACTCTCATTCTCTCACCCAGGCTAGAGTGCAGTGGCGCAATCTTGGCTCACTGCAACCTCTGCCTCTCACCGGATTCAAGCGATTCTCCTGCCTCTCAGCCCCCCAAGTAGCTGGGATTACAGGCGCATGCCATCACACCCGGCCAATTTTTGTATTTTTGGTAGAGATGGGGTTTCTCCATGTTGGCCAGGCTGGTCTTGAACTCCTGACCTCAGGTGATCCACCTGCCTGGGCCTTCCAAAGTGCTGGGATTACAGTCATGAATCACTGCACCCAGCCCATGTGTTCTGAGCACCCAACATGTGCCTGATCCTCAGAGGGCCCTGGGAATGCCAAGAAAAATGAAGGGAGACCCCAGCCTCCTAGAGCTTGGAGTCTGACTTCTAGGGAGGGGCTTGAGAAAGAGAAAACCTGACCCAGTCTGCTCAGGGCCACATTCCAGGTCCCCTAGAAGGCTTTGAAGTCCTGAGAGGGTGTGCTTACCAAGGACATGACATTTCAAACAGCTTTGACGCATAAGTAGGAGTTTATGTGGTAGAGATGTGGAAAGTGACATTAAAGGCCAGGGACAGGCCGCAGTCCCTTTTGAGGAAGTGTGAGGAGTGTGGTGTGATCCCTCAGGGGAAGGAGACCAGTGGGGAAAGGCCTGTCCGGAAACGGGGCCTTGAAGGCCACAGACAGGAGCCCGGGACCTGCCTTTAGGTGAATGGGGAGCCACGGCAGGGTTCTGAAGCAGGAGAGAGAGTGTGTAGCTCTGGACCACTCACGCTGGCTGCTGCAGGGTGGGGATGGCATTGAGGAGGCCAGCATCCCAGCCTGAGGTGGAGGTGGCCTGGACTGGGCAGGAACAGTGGGGTTGGAGAGAAGGAGCAGATCTGAGAGAGATTTAGGAAGCAGAATCAACGGGACATGGACATGGTGAGGGACTGAGACAGGAGTGGGGGAGGGAGAGCCCGGCAGCCACTGGGAAGGAAGATCAGGCAGGACAGAAGTGTGGGTAGATGCTTTCCATAAACCGTTGAGAAATCCACGACCTGGCCCAAATGTGGACTTCACGAGAAGCCCCAGATGGGTCAATGGGTCCATAGGCCTCTCCCATTGAAGAGAGACCAGTAATGCCGTCATTAAGGGTACAAGACAGGCCTCAATTCTAGGTGAGGG
This sequence comes from Homo sapiens, assembly GCF_000001405.40. Classification (NCBI taxonomy): domain Eukaryota; kingdom Metazoa; phylum Chordata; class Mammalia; order Primates; family Hominidae; genus Homo; species Homo sapiens. Next base: position 57,358,392 of record NC_000016.10, read on the forward strand.
TTGGTCCACGTTCTCACTTGATTTACAACCAGTGAAGTCAACAGAGCTGTGAAACCATCTCCCCCATTTCCAGATGGGGAAACCAAGTCCCAGAGACACCCAGACATGGCCAAGGCCACACAGTGCAGAGACCCTGGGGAGCACAAGCCTCTAAGAGGGGGATTTTACAAGTCTGTCTGAAACCAGAGGCGAGGACAGAGTTGAGGGGGGGTCCCCTCTGAGTGGTTCCCCGCCAAAGAGAATTTCTCCACTTTGGAGGAAGTGGGAGGTAGTTCTTCTTTTGAGATGTGAATGTCAAGTGACTCTGGGCACCCCGGTGACTAAGAGGTAAGTAAGTGAGGCTTGTGGGTGGAGCCAGCACCTTAAATAGCAGGTCTTCCTATGTCCCTTTGCAGACACCTGGGCTGAGACATACAGGACAGAGCATGGATCGCCTACAGACTGCACTCCTGGTTGTCCTCGTCCTCCTTGCTGTGGCGCTTCAAGCAACTGAGGCAGGTGAGGCTGGGGAGCAGGAAGACCCCCTACAGAGGCCAGGGCAGACGGTGGGGTGTCTTCCTCATGTCTTGGACAAGCACTGGACCAAGAGCAGAAGACCTCAGTCTGCTGTTGGCTCTTGCGGCCTTCGGCTAGTTGCAGTGCTTCTCTGGGCCTCAGTTTACAAGTCTGTTGAATGGGCAGTCTTGAAGACTTGGAGTCTAGGATCTGTCTCACCTGGGTTGGGGGTTGTGGTGGGCATAGCCTCGGGATCTCCTGCCCCAGAAAACTCAAGCATAGGGCCCTAGGGGTGTGGGTGAGGAGCTTCTAAGGGTCAGGTCTGAGTGGGGGAAGGCAGGGCTGGGGCAAGGGGTTCTCCCTTGGAAAGCTGGTGCTGCCCTCCCACCATCCATTTTTTAAAATGTTATTATTATTATTTTTTATTTTATTTTATTTTATTTTTTGAGACACAGTTTCACTCTTGTTGCCCAGGATGGAGTGCAGTGGGGCAATCTTGGCCCACTGCAACCTCTACCTCCCAGGTTCAAGCGATTCTCCTGCCTCAGCCTCCTGAGTAGCTGGGATTACAGGCATGCACCACCACACCTGGCTAATTTTTGTATTTTTAGTGGAGACAGGGTTTCACCATGTTGGCCAGGCTGGTCTCAAACTCCTGACCTCAGATGATCCTCCCACCTCAGCCTCCCAAAGTGCTGGGATTACAGGCATGAGCCACTGCGTCTAGCCTAAATTTATTTTTTATTTCATTTTATTTATTTATTTTTTGAGATGGAGTCTCTGTTGCCCAGGCTGGAGTGCAGTGGCGCAATCTCAGCTCACTGCAACCTCCACCTCTGGAGTTAAAGTGATTCTCCTGCCTCAGCCTCCTGAGTAGCTGGGATTACAGGCACCTGCCACCATGCCCGGCTAATTTTTGTATTTTTAGTAAAGATGGGGTTTCACCATGCTGACCGGTCTTGTCTCGAACTCCTGACCTCAAGTGAAACTCCCATCTTGGCCTCCCTAAGTGTTAGGATTACAGGCGTGAGCCACTGCTCTGGGCTCACTATCCATTTTTGTCCAGAACCTGTCCTCAGCATGGATTCCTGACTCCTCTTCTCCACCCCACTCTATACTTTTGCTGTGTTGGGTGGAGGAGTGAGCACTGGAGTGGGGTCAGGCAGCTATAAACAAGAATTGCTCCCAGCTGCTGGGCTTTCTGAGTGCTTTTCATGCATTAAAGACCCTCTGAAGCTGGTACTGTTATTACCCCTTTGGTCAGAGGAGGAAATTGGGCCTCAGGCTACAGCTGATGCTTAGTTGTTCTGAATCCCCGCTCCTAGAGCTGACTGTCCCAGAGTGTAGACATTGGACCCTAAGTGGCTTCTCAGAAGCTCCAAGGGTAGGGTCTTGGAGGGCTCAGAATCCTCTGGTCACCATCCTTCCACATGAGAACAGAAAAACTGCATCTCTTTCCTGGAGCCTGGAGAGGCCGAGATCAGGGGCTGGGGCCGAGGGTGACCTCTCTGGGCTCCAGCTTGTGAATTCACTGGGGACCCCTCCCCTAGGCCCCTACGGCGCCAACATGGAAGACAGCGTCTGCTGCCGTGATTACGTCCGTTACCGTCTGCCCCTGCGCGTGGTGAAACACTTCTACTGGACCTCAGACTCCTGCCCGAGGCCTGGCGTGGTGTGAGTAGGGAGCTGGGGCCACAGGGCCTTGGTGGGCCTGACGGGTACAGCCTGGGATGGCCCAGGTGCTGGTGGGTGGGACACACCCAGGGATGAGAGGAATGTGGCAGGGCTACCAGATGCCTGCCAGGATGGCTTGGCTGGAAGAGATGGCTCAGTTCAGGCTTGGGTGGACTACAAACAAAAATAATGTGATCGTTTAGCCAATATCCTCAGGCGCTTACTAGGTGCCAGGCAACATGTCAGGTTCTGAGGATGCAGAGCTGAGTGAACAGGGTGCCACCACAGTGTGGGTATGGCAGTAGGTAGTCAGTAGCTGTGGCATCTAGGGTATTTGGGTATAGCAGGTATAGGAGTATACCTAGTGCCACTGAGTCAGCAAAGATGCTCCCAGGTTCTGGGCAAAAATGGATGGTGAACCAGGCGTGGTGGCTCATGCCTGTAATCCCAGCACTTTGGGAGGCCGAGGCAGGCAGATCACTTGAGGTCAGGAGTTCAAGATCAGCCTGGTCAACATGGTGAAACCCCATCTCTACTAAAAATACAAAATTAGCTGAGTGTGATGGTGCGTGCCTGTGGTCCCAGCTACTTGGGAGGCTGAGGCAGGAGAATCATTTGAACCTGGAAGGTGGAGGTTGCAGTGAGCCGAGATCGCTCCACCTCACTCCAGCCTGGGCAACAGAGGGAGACTCTGTCTCAAAAAAAAAAAAAAAAAAAAAATGCTCACACCAGAAGTGTCTTGGATCCTCTCCAGGCTCCCAGAAGTCCAAGGCAGCCCATTTTGACCAGAAGAATAACATTAAGAGCTAAAATTTCCAAGGTGCCTCCCGAGTGCCAGGCACTGTTCTGATCATTACCTGTGTTAACTGGTTTAATTCTCACAACAATCCTACGAGGAAGTTCAACGATTCCCATGGTAGAGATGGAGAAACAGGCTTAGCAAGGGACAGTGACCTGCTCAAGGCTGCCCAGGTTGGAGCCAGAACTCACTCCTGGTTCCTCGTTCAGGGCTTTCTCCTGAGTTTCTTGTTCTCCTTTGCTTCTTTCTCTGGCTTCTTTGCCTCCTTTTCCCTGGCCTGGGGCCTGCACCTGCACCTGGCTGGGTGACAAGTCCTGCCCTCTCTGCGGTAGCCTCTCTGGCTGCTTCTCCAACTGCTCAGAGCCTGCTGCCTACCAAATCTCACACCTGGGGAGGCTGGGTTTGGGGACTCATGACCCACTTTGGGCCTCTATTATCTTCTCATCTTCCTCCTCCTTATTGCTGACACCATCTCTTAGAGGGATCTGCAGGTGAATAATAAAAAAGGCTGAAGCAGGAAGCCCTCCCAGAGTTCTTGTCTCTTTAACTCTGAGCCTCAGTTTCCCCAACAGTATAATGAAGTAATAACCTAAACTTATTTGACTTATTTGTATTTATCAAACACATAGAGAGTGCTTGCTAAGTGCTAGGCTCTGCCGTAAGCACTTTATAAATATGAACTCATTTAATCCTTGAAACAATCCTATGCAGTAGGTGCCATCGTGACCCCCTTTTCACAGGTGAGGAAATGAGCACAAAAAGGTTAGGGGGCCTCTTGAGCATTACAGGGCACAGTAATAGTAAGAGGAAGGTGAAGAGCTCAATGTCTGGCACATAATAGATGCTCAATTGCTGGGCATGTAGTGCTTCTCAGTTACTTGGGAGGCTGAGGCAGGAGGATTTCCTGAGCCCTGGATTTTGAGGCCAGCCTGGAAACTTACTGAGACTCTGTCTTTATTTCATTTTTTTAAATAAAAAAGGCTGAGTGCAGTGGCTTACACCTGTAATCTCAGGACTTTGGGAGGCTGAGTTGGGAGGATCACTTGAGGCCAGGAGTTCAAGACAAGCCTCAATAGAGTGAGACCCTGTCTCTAAAATCAATCAATCAATCAATCAAATCATATGTGATCACTGGATTTTGAGCCAGAAGGGACCCTAGAAAGAATGTGTCTGGAGGCTCAGAGTAGTTAAGTGATATTATAAGACTCTTGGGGATTCTGGCTTGGCGCAGTGGCTCACTCCTATAATCCTAGCCTTTGGGAGGCCGAGACAGGCAGGATCACTTGAGGTCAGAAGTTCAAGAGCAGCCTGGCCAACATGGTGAAAACCTATCTCTACTAAAAATACAAAAATTAGCTGGGTGTTGTGGCGGGCACCTGTAATCCCGGCTACTCGGGAGCCTGAGGCAGGAGGATCGCCTGAACCCAGGAGTTGGAGGTTGCAGTGAGCCAAGATCGTACCACTACACTCCAGCCTGGGTGACAGAGACTCCATCTCAAAAAATAAAAACAAAACAAAACAAAACAAAAACAAAAACAAAACCCAACTCTTGGGGATTCTATTTCATGGCCTGATCTGGAACTCAAGGCTGGGATTCAAGAGCTGAGGGTCCTGGAAGTCCTTGCTGCCTCTTCCTCTTTTTTTTTTTCTTGACACGGGGTCTCATTCTGTTGCCTAGGCTGGAGTACAGTGGAGCAGAGATCTGGGCTCACTGCAGCCTTGACCTCCTGAGTCCAAGCAATCCTCCCACCTCAGCCTCCCAAGTAGCTGAGATCACAGGCAGATGTCACCATGCCTGGCTGACTTGTACGTTTTTGTAGAGACAGGGTTTTGCCATGTTGCCCAGGATGGCCTTAAACCCCTAGGCTCAAACAATCCTCCTGCCTCGGCCTCCCAAAGTGCTGGGATTACAGGCGTGAACTCCTGGCCTCCTCTTCCTCCTGAGAAATATTCTTTTCACACCACAGGTGGCTTGTAAATTTTGAACCACTCTATTTAGCAGATAATGTCATATGTAGTAGGTGACTCATAAATGCTGAGCCCTGCATAAAGTAGGTGGCTCATAAATGCTAAGCTCCCGAGGGTGTGGCATCCTTGCTGCGTGCTAATGTTGCTGCATTGTCTCTGGGGTCTCCTTCTTCCAGGTTGCTAACCTTCAGGGATAAGGAGATCTGTGCCGATCCCAGAGTGCCCTGGGTGAAGATGATTCTCAATAAGCTGAGCCAATGAAGAGCCTACTCTGATGACCGTGGCCTTGGCTCCTCCAGGAAGGCTCAGGAGCCCTACCTCCCTGCCATTATAGCTGCTCCCCGCCAGAAGCCTGTGCCAACTCTCTGCATTCCCTGATCTCCATCCCTGTGGCTGTCACCCTTGGTCACCTCCGTGCTGTCACTGCCATCTCCCCCCTGACCCCTCTAACCCATCCTCTGCCTCCCTCCCTGCAGTCAGAGGGTCCTGTTCCCATCAGCGATTCCCCTGCTTAAACCCTTCCATGACTCCCCACTGCCCTAAGCTGAGGTCAGTCTCCCAAGCCTGGCATGTGGCCCTCTGGATCTGGGTTCCATCTCTGTCTCCAGCCTGCCCACTTCCCTTCATGAATGTTGGGTTCTAGCTCCCTGTTCTCCAAACCCATACTACACATCCCACTTCTGGGTCTTTGCCTGGGATGTTGCTGACACCCAGAAAGTCCCACCACCTGCACATGTGTAGCCCCACCAGCCCTCCAAGGCATTGCTCGCCCAAGCAGCTGGTAATTCCATTTCATGTATTAGATGTCCCCTGGCCCTCTGTCCCCTCTTAATAACCCTAGTCACAGTCTCCGCAGATTCTTGGGATTTGGGGGTTTTCTCCCCCACCTCTCCACTAGTTGGACCAAGGTTTCTAGCTAAGTTACTCTAGTCTCCAAGCCTCTAGCATAGAGCACTGCAGACAGGCCCTGGCTCAGAATCAGAGCCCAGAAAGTGGCTGCAGACAAAATCAATAAAACTAATGTCCCTCCCCTCTCCCTGCCAAAAGGCAGTTACATATCAATACAGAGACTCAAGGTCACTAGAAATGGGCCAGCTGGGTCAATGTGAAGCCCCAAATTTGCCCAGATTCACCTTTCTTCCCCCACTCCCTTTTTTTTTTTTTTTTTGAGATGGAGTTTCGCTCTTGTCACCCACGCTGGAGTGCAATGGTGTGGTCTTGGCTTATTGAAGCCTCTGCCTCCTGGGTTCAAGTGATTCTCTTGCCTCAGCCTCCTGAGTAGCTGGGATTACAGGTTCCTGCTACCACGCCCAGCTAATTTTTGTATTTTTAGTAGAGACGAGGCTTCACCATGTTGGCCAGGCTGGTCTCGAACTCCTGTCCTCAGGTAATCCGCCCACCTCAGCCTCCCAAAGTGCTGGGATTACAGGCGTGAGCCACAGTGCCTGGCCTCTTCCCTCTCCCCACCCCCCCCCCAACTTTTTTTTTTTTTTATGGCAGGGTCTCACTCTGTCGCCCAGGCTGGAGTGCAGTGGCGTGATCTCGGCTCACTACAACCTCGACCTCCTGGGTTCAAGCGATTCTCCCACCCCAGCCTCCCAAGTAGCTGGGATTACAGGTGTGTGCCACTACGGCTGGCTAATTTTTGTATTTTTAGTAGAGACAGGTTTCACCATATTGGCCAGGCTGGTCTTGAACTCCTGACCTCAAGTGATCCACCTTCCTTGTGCTCCCAAAGTGCTGAGATTACAGGCGTGAGCTATCACACCCAGCCTCCCCCTTTTTTTCCTAATAGGAGACTCCTGTACCTTTCTTCGTTTTACCTATGTGTCGTGTCTGCTTACATTTCCTTCTCCCCTCAGGCTTTTTTTGGGTGGTCCTCCAACCTCCAATACCCAGGCCTGGCCTCTTCAGAGTACCCCCCATTCCACTTTCCCTGCCTCCTTCCTTAAATAGCTGACAATCAAATTCATGCTATGGTGTGAAAGACTACCTTTGACTTGGTATTATAAGCTGGAGTTATATATGTATTTGAAAACAGAGTAAATACTTAAGAGGCCAAATAGATGAATGGAAGAATTTTAGGAACTGTGAGAGGGGGACAAGGTGGAGCTTTCCTGGCCCTGGGAGGAAGCTGGCTGTGGTAGCGTAGCGCTCTCTCTCTCTGTCTGTGGCAGGAGGCAAAGAGTAGGGTGTAATTGAGTGAAGGAATCCTGGGTAGAGACCATTCTCAGGTGGTTGGGCCAGGCTAAAGACTGGGATTTGGGTCTATCTATGCCTTTCTGGCTGATTTTTGTAGAGACGGGGTTTTGCCATGTTACCCAGGCTGGTCTCAAACTCCTGGGCTCAAGCGATCCTCCTGGCTCAGCCTCCCAAAGTGCTGGGATTACAGGCGTGAGTCACTGCGCCTGGCTTCCTCTTCCTCTTGAGAAATATTCTTTTCATACAGCAAGTATGGGACAGCAGTGTCCCAGGTAAAGGACATAAATGTTACAAGTGTCTGGTCCTTTCTGAGGGAGGCTGGTGCCGCTCTGCAGGGTATTTGAACCTGTGGAATTGGAGGAGGCCATTTCACTCCCTGAACCCAGCCTGACAAATCACAGTGAGAATGTTCACCTTATAGGCTTGCTGTGGGGCTCAGGTTGAAAGTGTGGGGAGTGACACTGCCTAGGCATCCAGCTCAGTGTCATCCAGGGCCTGTGTCCCTCCCGAACCCAGGGTCAACCTGCCTACCACAGGCACTAGAAGGACGAATCTGCCTACTGCCCATGAACGGGGCCCTCAAGCGTCCTGGGATCTCCTTCTCCCTCCTGTCCTGTCCTTGCCCCTCAGGACTGCTGGAAAATAAATCCTTTAAAATAGTGTCTGCTTTGGTTTCCTGGCATTTGCTGTCCCTGTGAGATGGGGCAGGGGGCACCATGATCCCCTCTATCCCACTGGGGAAGCCTTCCCATTGAAATAGGTGGTGACTTGCCCAAGGTCACCCTGTGAGTGGTGGGAGTCAGGGCTGGACACAAGGGCCTGGGAGGTGGCTGCACAGGTGCTGATGGAGAAGCCCAGACATTTGTCCCAGAGTTCCCAGCCCACCTTGGGACCAGCTGTCAGGAGGATTTGATGAAACCATTAAAGCAGTCCCCACATCTCGAGCTTTCAGCAGCATAATCACTCAGCCACTCAGCCTTCACCTTCCCCCTGCACGGGCAGACACTGGAGAAAGGGAGGGAGTATTAGTCAGGAAAGGCTACCTCCTGCAACAAACACCTCCAAATCTCAGTGGCTCAACTCAGCAGAAGCTATTTCTTCTCACACGAAGTCTAATCAAGCATTCTCAGTCTTAGGCAACCTTCCATGTGGTCATTTCAGGGACCGAGACCCCTTCCTTCTGGTACAGCCAGCGTGGTCACAGGCAGAGGAAATGCTAAGCACACGTGGGCAATCCTCCTTACTGGCCAGAAAAGATAAGCTGGGAGAGCTGGGTGGGACTGGGTCCCAGGGGCCCTGGAGGTGGCGGCAGGGGAGGCCCCCTGGTCATGCCCATCCCTTCTCCCATCCTGGTCCTGCAGGAGTGCCCCGATCTCCCCATCCTCCTCTCCAGAGCTGTTTCTGTGCTACTTCCAGGGCTGGGGAGTCCCTCATATCCCTCAAGAACAGCACAGGCTCCCTGCTCTCTGGGGCACAGGGTCCTGGCCACCTGAGGGCTTGTGGAAGGTGGGGACAAGGACACCCCCATTCTCACCACCCCCACCCCACCCCAGAGGAAATTTTTGCCGTCCAGTGCTACCCATTTTTTTTTCTCATCATTACTCTAGTTATCCCTCAGTCCAAGACCTTCCCAGCTCTCTCTGGCCTGTGAACAGCATCCTCATTCTTCACTCCCGCTTCACAATTCTCTGCAGTTGGGCCTAGCCGCAGCCTCCATTGGAGCCAATGGCATCCAGCCATTCCTCACCCCTGAATACGTACTGTGCCTTCCACCTTGGTGAGGCTTTCACCTCTGCCTGGAATGGTCTGTCAAAATCCTGCCTAGGTGCATGTGGCAGGGTGCCAGCCCAGCATGCCACAGCTGACTTGCAAATCACAAGGGGACTAATTCTTCTATAATAAAGATGTCTAGCAATCACCCATCGATCCATCAATCCCATCCATCCAAGGAAAATTGGAGCAACTGGTCCATGTGAAGTGTACAGTATTACTCATAATAGATTCTTGCCAAGAGTATGTAGCCTGGGTCTAATCAAGCCTTTAGATCTAACTTTCGGTTTACAGGAAATAAATAGGATAGAGGAACAAATTAGATGACATCACAAGGAAATAACTAAATAACTAAATTAAGAATGAGAACACCGTATAAGACAATGGACTTGACTTTGCTCTTTTTTTTTTTTTTGAGGCAGAGTCTCACTCTGCCGCCCAGGCTGGATTGCAGTGGCGCGATCTCAGCTCACTGCAACCTCCACCTCCAGGGTTCAAGCAATTCCCTAGCCTCAGCCTCCCAAGTAGCTGGGATTATAGGTGCATGCCACCATGCCCACCTAATTTTTGTATTTTTAGTAGCGACGGGGTTTCACCATGTTGGCCAGGCTGGTCTCAAACTCCTGACCTCAAGTAATCTGCCTGCCTTGGCCTCCCAAAGTGCTGGGATTACAGGCATGAGCCACCACACCCGGCCGACTTGACTCTTAAGAAAGTTGAAGTCATTAAAAAATGTGCAAGTGGTCTGTGTAGACTCAAAAATACCCATATGCAGTGCATGAACCTAGATCGGATCCTCGTTCAAAAGATAAAAGCAAGGAGGGAATAAAGGAAAGAAAGAAGGAAGGGAGGGAGGCGCCAGGTGTGGTACCTCACGCCTATAATTCCAGCACTTTGGGAGGCCAAGGTGGGCAGATCGCTGGAGCCCAGGAGTTTGAGACCAGCCTGGGCAACATGGGAAAACCCCATCTCTACAAAAAAAAAAAGTACAGTAATTAGCCAGGCATGGTGGCGTGAGCCTGTGGTCCCAGCTCCTCGGGAGGTTGAGCTGGGAGGATCGCTTGTGCCTGGGAAGTCGAGGCTGCAGTGAGCTGAGATTACACCATTGCACTCCTGCCTGGGTGACAGAGAGGGACCCTGTCTCGAAAAGATAAATAAATGGCCGGGCGCGGTGGCTCATGCCTGTAATCCCAGCACTTTGGGATGCCAAGGCGGGTGGATCACAAGGTCAGGAGATAAAGACCATCCTGGCTAACACAGTGAAACCCCATCTCTACTAAAAAAAAAAATACAAAAAAAAAAAAAAATTAACTGGGTGTGGCGGCGTGCGCCTGTAGTCCCAGCTATATTTGGGAGGCTGAGGCAGGAGAATGGCGTGAACCCAGGAGGCAGAGCTTGCAGTGAGCCGGGACGGCGCCACTGCACTCCAGCCTGGGTGACAGAGCGAGATTCCGTCTCAAAAAATAAAATAAAATAAAATAAAATAAAAATAAATGAATAAAATAAAAAAGAAAGGGAGTGAGGGAGAGAAGAAAGGAGGCAGGAAGAAGGAAAGAGGGAGAGAGGAGAAACCACAAAATACATTTTGGGGACAATTGGAGAAATTTGGGTATGAACTGGGTGTTAGATGACATACAGGAATTATTGTTAATTTTGTTAGATGGGATAATGATATTACATGTATGTAAGACAATAGCTTTATTCTAAGGAGATGCATGCTGGAATATTTAGGGGAAAAGTGTCAAGCATCTATAATTTACTTTGTAATGGTTTGGCTAAAAAATAAAAATAAAAAAGATAAAACAAATATTAAAAAATGCTAATCATTGGTGGTAGAGGTTTTGTTTGTTTGTTTGTTTGTTTGTTTGAGGCAGAGTTTCTCTCTTGTTGCCCAGGCTGGAGTGCAGTGGTGCAATCTCGGCTCACCGCAACCTCTGCCTCCCGAGTTCAAGCAATTCTCTCCCAGCCTCCCAAGTAGCTGAGATTACAGGCACCCGCCACCACACTCAGCTAATTTTTTGTATTTTTAGTAGAGACGGGGTTTCACCATGTTGGCCAGGCTGGTCTCCAACTCCTGAGCTCTGGTGATCCACCCACCTCGGCCTCCCAAAGTGCTGGGATTATAGGCGTGAGCCACTGCGCCCAGCCATTGGTGGAGATTTGAAAGTCTTTGTACGATTCTTTCTTTTGTATTGTTGAATATTTTCCAAAACAGAAATTTTAAAGAGACAAAGCAAAATTCTGCCCATCTTCAGATGGAAAGATCATCTCTCTCACCCACCTTTCTTGTTTCCCCAACAAGCATGCAGTTCTCCCTTCCTGCCCGAGCCCACAGCCTCTAGCCCTCTGGTAGGGCTGGCAACTTCTCTCTCCTACTGAGCTACAGCTCCTGGGGGCAAGGACTTCAGCTCACTTGCCTTTGTGTCCCCCATCCCACCACATTGCCTGGCACACACCGGGCTCAATAACAGATACTAATGCCTCCTGCGTGCCAGGCACTGTGAAAGTCCTTAGTTTTATTCACTGTCGTGGTGGCTTGATGAGGTGGCTGTTTGCATCCCATTTTACATATAGGGAAGCTGAAATGCAGAGAGAGGTTAAGTCACTTGCCCAAGGGAACACCCCTTATCCGTGGTGGAGTCCTGCTGATGTATTTATTTATTTTTTTTCAGATAGGGTCCCACTCTGTGCCCAAGCTGGAGTGCAGTGGCATGATCATGGCTCAATGCAGCCTCAACCTCCCCAGGCTCACTTGATCCTTCCACTTTAGCCTCCTGAGCAGCTGGGACTGCAGGCACAGGCCACCACACTAATTTTCGTATATTTTTTGTAGGGAGGGGGTTTCACCATGTTTGTAGAGAGGGGGTTTTGCCAGGCTGGTCTCAGATTCCCGGGAATCTGCCTCTGCCTCCTGCCTCGGCCTCCCAAAGTGCTGGGATTACAGGTGTGAGCCACCACATCCGGCCTGGAGTCCTGTTTAGCCTTGGGTCTGGCTAGCCTGAAAGCCTGGTTATTGTGTCCAAATTAAATCTAAATTCAGTTCTTAACATCCTAATGAGATAGATGGGGGTGATCATTCCCATTTTATGGGAGTAGAAGCTGGACCTGGGGAGGGTAGAGGGTGTCCAAAGGGTCAAATGAGGAAAAGCAGAGCCGTGCTTTGCATTTTCGCTTCTATTTTATGCCAGGCTCTGTCCCGTACCCTATGGACATAAACTCACTTAGTCTTCACATTGGTCCTCGCAGTGAGGGTGGAGGCAGGTGGTGGACCCTACTGGTCTTGAGCTCAGACCTCAGAGCCAGCTGGCTGGGACGAATCCAGGATCCCTCATTTCCTGGCTGGTGAACCTAAGAAAATGTCTTTTTTTTTTTTTTTTTTTAGACAGAGTCTCACTCTGTCACCCAGGCTAGAGTGCAGTGGCGTGATCTTGGCTCACTGCAACCCTCTGCCTCCCAGGTTCAAGCGATTCTCCTGCCTCAGCCTCCCAAGTAGCTGGGATTACAGGTGTGCACCACACCCAGCTAATTTTTGTATTTTTAGTAGAGACGAGGTTTCACCGTGTTGGCCAGGCTGGCCTCGAACTCCTGACCTCAGGTGATCCACCCACCTCAGCCTCCCAAAGTGCTGGGATTACAGGCGTGAGCCATCGCACTCGGCCTCCTCCTCTGTTCTTACATGAACAGAGCAGAAAGAACACGACCTCAGTTTTTATCCCTCCTTGTCCCTCTCTGGGCCTCAGTTTCACCAGTTATAAAAAGAGGGATTGGACATTGGGAATGAGAAGGCTACTAGCTTCCCATGTGCACAGGCCAGGACAGATTCTCTGAGCATGAGTGGACCTTGGCTCCTGCCAAGGGTGTTCCGCTACTTCAAGAAGTATCTAGCCTCCTAACCCCTAACCCCATGCACCAGGCAGCCCATTGGGTTGGGTGGGGGGGCGGGGGGGGGTGGTTGAGGAGAGAGAGGTCCCTGGCCTTGGGATCTGTGGCCCCTCTGCCCAGCCCAACTGGCTCATAGCGTGGGATGCTGGCTCCACAACTGGTTTCCCTCAGATTGGCAGCCTGGAGACACCAGTACAGCTCAGTCCTATACCAAGGCAGAGCTGCTGACTCTTCTGGAGTCTCAGGGATTGTTGCCACTGCCTTTAGGGAAGGCTGCCATGAAGGCAGACTGTGTTCTAATGTGCTCCCAAGGCTGGCAAGCCTCTGCACCCTTCGGTGAGAGCCTGTTGGAGGGCCGGTGCTGGGAAGCCCTCTCCCCATTGCACTAGCCCAATGCTCTCTTTGGGCAGATAGAGAACTCAGGCCCCACGAGAGGCAAGCCTTATCCAAGCCACGGCTACAGAGTTGAGGAGCCAAGAGCCACAGAGTTATCGGGGATGGGTTGGCAGCCACCTTGTTCTTTGGGCTAACAGGGGCCAGAGCAGAGGTGGGAGTGGGTGCAAAGCAGGGAGCGGGAGACCGGGAGGTGGAGGCAGGGAGGCCAGGGCTCTCTCCTGGGTCCTGAGCTGTCCACATTCTGCTCATCATGGTGGTGGGAGGGGAGTTCTCCACTCTGATGCTGTGGATAACCTGGGGTGGCTCCGGGCCTCAGTTTCCCCATCTATCCATATGAAGTTGGACTCAATCCTTCTTTCAGCAGACCCTGCACCAAGCCCCTGCTGACTTCAGGCTCCCTGCTGGGCTCTGGAGATGCATAGATCAACAAGGTCCCCCAGGAGCTTGGGATTCTAAGAGGGGAAATTTAGGGGTCCATCCTGATGTGGGCGAGGCATTCTCTGGATCAAAGAAGAGCTTGTCAGACCCAGGATGGAGGGGCCCTGAGTCTCTCCCGGCCCCTTGGCGCCCCGCTCTCTATTCCACGGCCTGCTGGCCTTTTGTGTGTTGCCCACTTAGGATCAAGGGCCCCAGGCCAGATCCTAGGGCATGTTCCCAGCTTGTGGCAGGAGAGGAGGCCTTTGTACCCAGGCAGGCCCAGTCCAGCCTCCCGGGGAAGGTCCCAGTATGACAAGCCTAGGATGGTGAGAAGCCCAGGGACACAAAGCCGGCTTGGTTCCTTGGCAACATCCTGAGGAATCCAGCGGCTGCACACTGGCTCCCTTCCTCTCCCCTCCCACCCTCCTGCCTGCGGGGGCTGGAGGCGGAGGCAGCCAACCCCATTATAAAAAGCCACAGATCTCTGGCGGCGGCAAGGGGACAGCACTGAGCTCTGCCGCCTGGCTCTAGCCGCCTGCCTGGCCCCCGCCGGGACTCTTGCCCACCCTCAGCCATGGCTCCGATATCTCTGTCGTGGCTGCTCCGCTTGGCCACCTTCTGCCATCTGACTGTCCTGCTGGCTGGTAAGTGGGGCTTGACTTGGGCACAAACAGGGTAGGGAGCCCCCAGCCCCTTGTCTATCCCTCAAGCCTGACATCAGGGGCCCCAGACCCTGCCTGGGTAAAGCTCAAGGCCGGTGGCAGCCGCTTCCCCAGGGATGTGCGAGAGGGGGCTGGGCACCTCGCTTCCCCCAGATGCAGCGCTGGACAGATTTCCAGTTGCCAGCGACCGCCCTGCCTGGCCCAGCGAGCAAAGTGGCTGTGCCTGGAAGCACAGAGAGGTGGTGTGGGTGGCATAAGGGAGCCAGGTGTGGGTGTGCCAGGAGGGCGGGGGTGGAGAGAGCCTGCAGAAGCTCCTGCTGGGCACTGGGGTGGGAGGCCCTGGCTGACAGTGGCTGGCTCTTTCCATCAAGCGTTAATGTGTAACCCGCAGCCCTGGCCCTGGGCCAGGCCACAGTTGGGACTTTCTCCTGTCCTGTTTTCAAAGCCCCCAGGATTAGGGGGCCCAGGACCAGTGAAGGTCAAGGTCACTGCAGCTCATGGTTGGGGCTTGCCACTGCTGTGCTAGTCTATAGCCCCAGTTGCTCTGCCTGTGTCTACCCGTCATGCTGTCTTCCTCCTCCAAGCACAGTGTAGAAAATGCTTTTGCCTCTAGTCACTTGCTTACTGAAGCCCAGGACCTGGTAGGGGTACATAATTAACCATCCTACCTGATATGGATAAGATGGAGGCCCAGAGAGGTTTAGAAACTGGCCTGACAATGCACAGCCAGCAAGTAGGGCAGGAGAAGGTAAGACACATGGGACTGAATGCAGGAGAGAGCACAGATGCACACTCACCACCTCTGTGGGCCACATCACCTCCATGAACCGCTAGCCAGCCCCCTCCTCAGGGAGTGCCCCCACCATCTGGCAGGGTGACCTTCAGAGAAGGTGGGCACACAGCAAGTCTGGGAGAATGAGAAGTAGTCCCCACTGTCCAGATATTTCCATGGAGCAAACTCACCCTGGGGCAGGGAGCAGGTGTGTGGGTGGGTGGGCACGTGAGAGTGGTGGAGGCAAATTCCTGCTGGCTTCCTGCTGTCTGGGCTGGGGCCCTGAAGCCTGAGGTGTCTGCGGACAGTGAGATCTGGAAAGCAGGGAGTCAGATGGCGGCTGCTTTGCCACAGTCCTGTTATGTGACCGTGAGCAGGGTCTTGCCTCCTCTGGTCCCAGTTGCTGCATCTTTAAATATAGCTATTACCTCTCCGGTGGATTGGGGGAGGGTGACGAGGTTCCAATGCCTATGGAGGTGTTTTGAAGAGGGCGGAGGAGGAGGATTACTTTTACTAAGCTGAGAGAGGGAAGGGTCCTAGGCTAGGATGGAAAGGGGACACTGGGGGACCCTGGGTGCTCAGACTAGCAGCCTGAGGCTTTAGAACCAGGCTTCTGCCCTCATCTTGGTCATTGGCTTTACTGGAAGATCCTGGGCATTATTGGAACCTTTCTCAGCCTCACTTTCTCCTCCTGTAAAACTAGGCATTTGACCAGGCTCACCTTGGAAGTCCTCTCCCACGCTGACATGTATGGCTCTGAGAGGCCCTCGGGAGCCCCTGTAGGACAAGGGGGTGGTTTGGAAGCCAGAGAGACCCCGAGAGGAGGCTGGGGGGTTCGTAGCTGCTGCCCTGACTAGTGTGGGGCAGCTGCGTCAGTCCCCAAATGTGGGTTTGTGGGGCTGTGTCAGGCAGGAGGCTTCTGTACTTTATATAACAAACCTGCAGCTACGAGTCAGTGCAGAGCATTGCCCCCCCACTCCAAGAGCTGACGCATTCACTCCCACTCAAGTCCTGGCAAGAAAGAGAAAAAAAAACGAATCTGTTTTAAGCTCCTATAGCCTACCCGCCTCATTAGCAGTGGGGGTGGATGGGGAGGGCATGGGAGGATAAATTCAAGAGTGTCAGATCCAGGCCCCTGTCTAATTTAAATAAAAATTCCTCCATTTTTCTGTTGGTTAAGGTATTATGCCACAAAGCGCTTCCTTAGGCATTTTGTCCATTCATTCAACAAATAGTTATTGGACACCTACTGTGTGACAAACCTGGTTCTAGGTACTGGGGCGGCATCAATAAATAAAACAGCCAAGGACCTCAGCCCTCGAGGTGCTGTAATTCAACTGCAGAGGACACATAACACACAAAGTAAATCAGTAAACAATGTGGTCTGTTGGAAGGAGAAAAGGCACTGTGATAAAAAAATAGAGAGGGGTGGCTGGGCGCAGGGGCTCATGCCTGTAATCCCAGCACATTGGGAGGCCAAGGCGGGCAGATCACCTGACGTCAGGAGTTCAAGACCAGCCTGGCCAACATCATGAAACCCTGTCTCTACTAAAAATATAAAATTAGCTGGGTGTGGTGGTGCATGCCTGTAGTCCCAGCTACTTGGGAGGCTGAGGCAAGAGAATCGCTTGAACCTGGGAGGCAGAGGTTGGAGTGAGCCGAGATCGTGTCACTGCACTCCAGCCTGGGTGACAGAGTGAGAGTCCATTTAAAAAAAAAAAAAAGAAAGAAAAGAAAAGAAAAAGAAAAATAGAGAGGGGAGAAGAGAGGTGTTGACATTTTAAATAGGGGGTTAGGGAAGCCCACTGAGTAGGTGGCTTTGCACAGTTTGGAGCGGGGTGAGGGCGGGAGCCATGTGGATATCTCTAGAGCAATGGTCCTCAGTGAGTAATTTTGCTCCCCTATGGGCCATTTGGCAATTTCTAGAGAAATTTTTTACTTGTTACAAATATCCCAATGTTTTTGGTTCAGTTGAGCTACTCGCCTCTAGTGTGTAGAGGCCAGAGATGCTGCCAAACCTCCTATAGTACCCGGGACAGCCCCCAAAACAAAGAATTGTCTGGTCCAAAATGTCAGTAGTGTCACTGTTGAGAAACCTTGCCCTAAGGGAAAAATGCTCCAGAAGTTAAAAAATTCTTATTCTCACAACCACACTGTGAAGCAGGTATTGTCACATCCATTTTACAAGTAAGGAAACTGAGGCTCAGGGAGTCCGAGTGACTTGCTCAGGACACACAGCTGGGCAATGGCTCAAGCCCTCCCTTTATCACCTCATCCAGCAACCCAGGACATTTCCTGAGTCTCCTTCTAAGACCCTGGAAGACTCTTAGAAGTCCTTGAGGTCCAGCCTAAAGGAGAATTCCTCCAAGAAGCCTCCCCTGACCATTTGAAGTTGGAAGTGGTCTCTCCCTCATGTAAACCCCAATATGTTTGTGGTATGTTCTGGAACACTGTGTTTCTACCTGGCATCTAGGGTAGCCTAGAACAGTGGGGTGTTTAGGGGCTGAGTAGAAAACTAGCTCTGCCACCATGCAGCTGTGTGGCACTGGGCACATTTAGCCTCTCTTATTTCCAGCTTCTGCATCTGTAAAGTTGGGATAATACTCCCTTTGCAGGAATGTTGGGAATTAAAGAGAGCAGATGTGTACATGCTGGACACAGGGTCCAATACACAGTAGGTGTTCAATTAAAAAAAATAAATAAAACCTCTGATACTTTGTGTGCCTAATTTACCTGTCCATCAGGCTGGGAGCCTTCTGAGGCCAGAGGCATTCCTTGTTCATCTCACTGTACCTCACAGCACCCAGCACAGGGCCTGGCAAGAGGAACCAGCATTTGTTGGTTGACTGAATAAACAGAGTGATCTGATGGCATTTATTGGGATGGAAGCACTCTCTTCAAACTCAGCACCAGTGCCTATGGGAGAAAGAGCTCAAGGTTAAGGATAAGAGGGCCTGAGATTTTTGTATATACTCAAAAGTAATTCCAGCCAGTGTTGGCTGAATCAGGAAGTGGATGGATGGATGGATGGATGGATGGATGGATGGATGGATGGATGGATGGGTGGATAGATGGATGAATGGATGGATGGATGGATGGGTGGATGGATGGACAGATGGATGGATGGAAGAAGGGATGGGGAGGGGATGATGAGGGATGGATGAGTAGGTGAGATAAAAGGGGGCGGAAGATTGACAGGTGGTAGGTAGGGGAGAGGGAGTGGGTAGATGGATGAATGGAGATGAATAGGGGTTGGGCAGGAGGTGGCAGGTGGGCGAGGAATGGGTAGAAGATTGATAAGAGTGGGTGGACGGGTGGATGGATAGGTAGATAGATGCATTAAAGAGAGATAAGTAAACTGAGACTAATTTCATTCAATGAATATTGATTGAGTATCCACCTTGTGCTTGATGCTGGGAAACTATGATACCAAGACAGACAAGGTCCCTGCCTTCCTGACACTCCTATGACAGATAATATATGACTGGCTGGATGAGGCATTGTCTCCATTTACAGAAAGGAAAATTTCAGCTCTGAGAAGGGACAGGCTCCCCAGGTCAGTTAAACAATCTTCCTGGCAGAACCAAGAACTGAGCCGGGCCAGGACCATTCAGGGACCGTGGCAGAGGGTGGGGACTTTGGAGACAGGATGACTCTGTGGCTCTTTAAAGCCCTGGAGGTGGGCAATGGCTTTTCCCATCTTGGATTTGGGGAGCACAGAATGGACCTTCTTTCCTATCCATTGGGCAGCCTCCCTTGCCTCCTCCTGTCTCTGGTCACTCAGGGGCACCGTATTTTCTGGGGCTTCCCAAAGAAGACACCTGCAGGCCATTTTAGGGGACTGCCACCTGGCTCCACTCAATAGGGCCTGGGGAGGCTGCAGGTGAGTCAGTCTGAGGTTCCATTGCAGAAGGAGGGTGGCCAGCCCACACAGTGACTTTTATATCCTGGTTACTCAGAGAGAAAGGACAGCCCTGTGACCTGGGGAGCCCCTCCTGCACACAGCCCCCAACCCCCTGAAGCTACTAGTGCTTCTCCTTGATGACTCAACCCAGACCTGCCGGCCCTAAACCACCTTCCCACAAAGCAGGGTGGGCCAAAGCTAAGGGGGAGCGATGGAGAGAGGAAGCAGCAGACTCTACAAAGTCTCTCTGTGTGTGCAAGCGTGCATGTGCCTGTATTTGGGAAAGTGGTGTATGTTTGCATGGCCACATATATGTAAATATTTATGCATGAGCAGTTCGTGTTCTGGTGGAGCCCAGGGATGCCCTGGGGGTTTCCCAGGCTCTGAAGGGCTAGATAAGATCAGCTTGCTCTCTTGACTGCCCTGGTCTCCAGATGTTTGCAAAACCCTCTGGGGTCTTGCTTTTGCTGCATATAACCTTGACTCAGATCTGAAACTCAAGCTCTTCCTTGTTTTTTATACTCATCCTCCTTGAGCTCAAGCTAAGCAGAAGAAAATTTGCTGGAGATTATAGAGGAAGAGAAAAGGTGGAAATTCAATGTAAACAACTTCAAATGTTTATATCAAATAGTTGGGTTTATTTGTCCTGTCCCGGGGTTTCTCTCTGGTTCCACGTGACACTCAGCTACTGCCTGCCCCTTCCGCCCCACTCTGCCCCCACCTTATTCATACCGTCCATCTCCAACCCTCCTCCTTACTCTTCTTGCTCCAGGAATTTCAAATGCCTCTTCCCTCCTAGGCAGGATGACTCAGTACCTTTCAGCAACTGCTCTCGGGCTCATTCTGGCTCTCAGCAGCAGAACAAAGGATCATCTATTCAGCAGACCCCACCTTCCTTAGAAAGCAGTTGTACTTATATATTTTTTAAAAAGTTTATTGCTGGGCATAGTGGCTTACATCTGTAATCCCAGCTATTCCGGAGGTTGAAGTGGGAGAATCACTTGCGGTCGGGGTTCAAGACCAGCCTGGGCAACATAGCAAGACCCTGTCTCTTAAAAAAATTAGCCAGGCATGGTAGCAGGCACCTGTAGTCCCAGCTACTTGGGAGGCTGAGGCAAGAGATCTCTTTTTTTTTTTTCTTTTTTTTTTGAGACGGAGTCTTGTTCTGTCACCCAGGCTTTAGTGCAGTGGTATGATCTCAGCTCACTGCAACCTCTGCCTCCCGGATTCAAGCAATTCTCCTGTCTCAGCTTCCCGAGTAGCTGGGACTAAAGGTGCACACCATCATGCCAGGCTAATTTGTGTATTTGTAGTAGAGACAAGGTTTCACCATATTGATCAGGCTGGTCTCAAACTCCTGACCTCAGATGATCTATCTGTCTCGGCCTCCCAAAGTGCTGGGATTACAGGTGTGAGCCACCGCACCCGGCCAGGAGGATTTCTTGAGCCCAGGATTTTGAGGTTGCCGTGAGCTAGGATTATACCACTGCACTCCAGCCTGGGCAACAGAACAAGACCCTATCTCTTAAAAAAAAATGGCAGCGGGAAGAAATAAGGCAGAGGTGAGGGGATAGGCAAGGCCACAGGCCCGGTGGGGACTAGAGCAGGAGAACCTGCTCCATCACTTGCTGGCTGTGTGACCTTAGCAGGTCCCTGTCACTCTCAGATTCATCCCCCCTGCTGCACAATGGACCACTTAATTTTAAAAATTAACTCGGGCATGGTGGCTCACGCCTGTAATCCCAGCACTTTGGGAGGCCAAGGAGGGCAGATCACCTGAGGTCGGGAGTCTGAGACCAGCCTGACCAACATGGAGAAACCCCGTCTCTACTAAAAATACAAAATTAGCCAGGAGTCGTGGCACATGCCTGTAATCCCAGCTATTCGGGAGTCTGAGGCAGGAGAATCGCTTGAATCTGGGAGGCCGAGGTTGCGGTGAGCCGAGATCATGCCATTGCACTCCAGCCTGGGCAACAAGAGCAAGACTCCAACTCAAAAAAAAAAAAATTAAACTCTTAATATGTGCCAGGCAAAAAGAACTCTATAAATAAGAATTCACGTTTCTTATTCTTACAACAAGACTATGAGGTAGATGCTATTTTTGTTCCTATTTTACAGGTGGGGAAACTGAGGCATAGAGAAGTTTGGCAGGGGAGGGAGGCTGAGTCAAAGGCCTTGAAGGCCAGGGTGTACAGGGGATCAGTTTTGGCTTGGGTGGTGTGGCCGGGACAATCTGGCACGGGGTTGGGAAGCCAGATGCCCACAGACATCCCTGCTGACCAGGAACCTCTTTGAACTCAGGACAGCACCACGGTGTGACGAAATGCAACATCACGTGCAGCAAGATGACATCAAAGATACCTGTAGCTTTGCTCATCCACTATCAACAGAACCAGGCATCATGCGGCAAACGCGCAATCATGTAGGTACTGCCCTCGAGGCCTCTGAAATCCCCTTTGGGCCCTTGGAATATTCCCAGACCTCTGAGAATCTACGTCCACACCTCCGCTCCCAGACCTGGGCTCCCAGCCAAAGGCCTCAGCACACGCTTCTCTTGCCCCTGGCCTGCAGGCCACCTCACTGACCTTAATTTCTGTGCCACATGGCTAAGGTGGAGAGTGGCTTCCTGAATGGCCCAGTGTGGCTGGGTGGCAGCCACCCTGGCTTGTGGCCTGGAGCAGCCATGAAGGGTGGTAATTCCTCCTGGGCTGAAGCACATGTTACCCCACACTCGAACCCACTATATTTCATGGGGCGGTGTGGGTAGGTGTAAAGCATGAGGGTCTTACTTAAAATGCAGGTTCCAGACTCTAACAGACCTGATGCAAATCCTGCCTTCCCTCTTACTGGCTGGGTGGCCCTGCTTCCATTGCTTACTTTTTGCAACTTGGTTTCCTTGTCTGTAAAATGGGTAGCTAGGACAGGATGTAACTAAAGTGCTTGGCAAGGGCGCGGTGGCTAATGCCTGTAATACCAGCACTTTTGAAGGCCGAGGTTGGTGGATCACTTGAGGCCAGGAGTTCAAGACCAGGCTGGCCAACACGGTGAAACCCCATCTCTACTAAAAATACAAAAACTAGCCTGGCATGGTGGTGGGCGCCTGTAATCCCAGCTACTCGGGAGGTTGAGGCAGGAGAATCGCTTGAACCCAGGATGCGGAGGTTGCAGTGAGCCAAGATGGCACCACTGCACTCTGGCCTGGGCAACATTGTGAGACTCCATCTCAAAAAAAAGAAAAAGACAAAGAAAAGTAAATAAAGTGCCTGGCAGGGTGCTGTCAGTAGGAGCTGCAGAAATCACTATCTCCATTGGACAGACAGGAAACGACCATTTCGAGACTTTGGGGAGGGATTGAGCCATTGTAACCCTGGCTGTTGAAGACCCTGGCAATCTTGGTCACTTGCTCCTCCTGGGGGCTCTCTTGGGTCCTGTCTAACCAGCCAGCCCTGAGGCCTTTCCCCAGGACTGACTTTTGGGACCTAAAGCAGCCTCAGCCAGACCTAGAGGCCGGGCAGCAGGAAATGGCCAATGGCCCTTTGCTTTCTAGGCCCAGCTAAAGGAAGTCTGGCACTTCCTCTCCTCAATTATGCAGTTTCTAAGGTGGGCAAGGTACTGAGTGTGCTCCTGCCGGACCTCTTTGCTGATCAGTCAAGGCTTACTTCTCCAAGACACCCCCAAGTATTTTTTGTTTTCTAGATGAAGGGGAAGAAGGAAGTTGGGGAGGGGATCACTGTGCCCAGGGGGCCTGCAGGGTCATACTTGCTTCCTGGACTTCTCTGGTTTCCCGGCATCCTGGAGCCAGATGCCTTTACTTCACCTCTCTGAGCCTTGGTTTCCTCATCTGTAAAATGGGGATGAGCCTGGTAGCCACCTTGTGGAATGGATGTAAGGTTTAGACATGGGCAAAATGCCAAGCACAGGCCGTGGCATGGAGCCAGGGCCTCTGTCAGCTCTGAGCTGTGGGCTTGGTGGTGAACTAGCCACACAGGGCTTCAGAGGAAGTTCAAGATTTGGAGGGCGCTCGGGATCCCAGTGAGGCTGCCACATATTTGGCTCTAGCCCCTTCTGCCCGTGAACACACATCAGGAGGGGAGGAGAGGGGCCCGGAGCACAGCCTGTAGCTGTGAAACCGAAGGAGAGGAGCAACAAGACTCACAAAGTCTCATAAGGCCTGTTCCAGAGTGAGGAGGCCCCATACAGAGCTCACCTGAAGTCCCCCCCAGCAGAAGACTCAAAGCCCAGAGCCCCCTGCCTTAATGGTAACAATATTATCGACATTGTTATTATTTTCAGCTATTACTGATCTACTCTGAGCTGGGTGCTTCACATAATTTACCTTTTTTTACAGTAACACAGAAGTAGGGTGATCAACTCGTCCGTGTTTGCCTGGGGACTTCCCCAGTTTTAAAATGGAAAGTCCCCCATCCTAAGCACCCCCTCCATCCCAATTTTTCTGGGATGGCTGGTCACCCTACAGATGGGAGGCTTTCCTATCTCCATTTCTAGGGTGAGGACCTGGATGCTCAGGAGAGCGGGTTGCCCCAGCTGGTCAGTTGCCTCACAGACGCTAAGTGGGAGGACAGGGTTTCCAGCCGGGTGTGTTCACCTGCAGAGTATTGGTGCTGTGCCCCCACACCACGCTGGCCCGGGTTTCTGGTATCTGGGCATAACCGAATCCCTGTCTTCCTCCCTTGTAGCTTGGAGACGAGACAGCACAGGCTGTTCTGTGCCGACCCGAAGGAGCAATGGGTCAAGGACGCGATGCAGCATCTGGACCGCCAGGCTGCTGCCCTAACTCGAAATGGCGGCACCTTCGAGAAGCAGATCGGCGAGGTGAAGCCCAGGACCACCCCTGCCGCCGGGGGAATGGACGAGTCTGTGGTCCTGGAGCCCGAAGCCACAGGCGAAAGCAGTAGCCTGGAGCCGACTCCTTCTTCCCAGGAAGCACAGAGGGCCCTGGGGACCTCCCCAGAGCTGCCGACGGGCGTGACTGGTTCCTCAGGGACCAGGCTCCCCCCGACGCCAAAGGCTCAGGATGGAGGGCCTGTGGGCACGGAGCTTTTCCGAGTGCCTCCCGTCTCCACTGCCGCCACGTGGCAGAGTTCTGCTCCCCACCAACCTGGGCCCAGCCTCTGGGCTGAGGCAAAGACCTCTGAGGCCCCGTCCACCCAGGACCCCTCCACCCAGGCCTCCACTGCGTCCTCCCCAGCCCCAGAGGAGAATGCTCCGTCTGAAGGCCAGCGTGTGTGGGGTCAGGGACAGAGCCCCAGGCCAGAGAACTCTCTGGAGCGGGAGGAGATGGGTCCCGTGCCAGCGCACACGGATGCCTTCCAGGACTGGGGGCCTGGCAGCATGGCCCACGTCTCTGTGGTCCCTGTCTCCTCAGAAGGGACCCCCAGCAGGGAGCCAGTGGCTTCAGGCAGCTGGACCCCTAAGGCTGAGGAACCCATCCATGCCACCATGGACCCCCAGAGGCTGGGCGTCCTTATCACTCCTGTCCCTGACGCCCAGGCTGCCACCCGGAGGCAGGCGGTGGGGCTGCTGGCCTTCCTTGGCCTCCTCTTCTGCCTGGGGGTGGCCATGTTCACCTACCAGAGCCTCCAGGGCTGCCCTCGAAAGATGGCAGGAGAGATGGCGGAGGGCCTTCGCTACATCCCCCGGAGCTGTGGTAGTAATTCATATGTCCTGGTGCCCGTGTGAACTCCTCTGGCCTGTGTCTAGTTGTTTGATTCAGACAGCTGCCTGGGATCCCTCATCCTCATACCCACCCCCACCCAAGGGCCTGGCCTGAGCTGGGATGATTGGAGGGGGGAGGTGGGATCCTCCAGGTGCACAAGCTCCAAGCTCCCAGGCATTCCCCAGGAGGCCAGCCTTGACCATTCTCCACCTGCCAGGGACAGAGGGGGTGGCCTCCCAACTCACCCCAGCCCCAAAACTCTCCTCTGCTGCTGGCTGGTTAGAGGTTCCCTTTGACGCCATCCCAGCCCCAATGAACAATTATTTATTAAATGCCCAGCCCCTTCTGACCCATGCTGCCCTGTGAGTACTACAGTCCTCCCATCTCACACATGAGCATCAGGCCAGGCCCTCTGCCCACTCCCTGCAACCTGATTGTGTCTCTTGGTCCTGCTGCAGTTGCCAGTCACCCCGGCCACCTGCGGTGCTATCTCCCCCAGCCCCATCCTCTGTACAGAGCCCACGCCCCCACTGGTGACATGTCTTTTCTTGCATGAGGCTAGTGTGGTGTTTCCTGGCACTGCTTCCAGTGAGGCTCTGCCCTTGGTTAGGCATTGTGGGAAGGGGAGATAAGGGTATCTGGTGACTTTCCTCTTTGGTCTACACTGTGCTGAGTCTGAAGGCTGGGTTCTGATCCTAGTTCCACCATCAAGCCACCAACATACTCCCATCTGTGAAAGGAAAGAGGGAGGTAAGGAATACCTGTCCCCCTGACAACACTCATTGACCTGAGGCCCTTCTCTCCAGCCCCTGGATGCAGCCTCACAGTCCTTACCAGCAGAGCACCTTAGACAGTCCCTGCCAATGGACTAACTTGTCTTTGGACCCTGAGGCCCAGAGGGCCTGCAAGGGAGTGAGTTGATAGCACAGACCCTGCCCTGTGGGCCCCCAAATGGAAATGGGCAGAGCAGAGACCATCCCTGAAGGCCCCGCCCAGGCTTAGTCACTGAGACAGCCCGGGCTCTGCCTCCCATCACCCGCTAAGAGGGAGGGAGGGCTCCAGACACATGTCCAAGAAGCCCAGGAAAGGCTCCAGGAGCAGCCACATTCCTGATGCTTCTTCAGAGACTCCTGCAGGCAGCCAGGCCACAAGACCCTTGTGGTCCCACCCCACACACGCCAGATTCTTTCCTGAGGCTGGGCTCCCTTCCCACCTCTCTCACTCCTTGAAAACACTGTTCTCTGCCCTCCAAGACCTTCTCCTTCACCTTTGTCCCCACCGCAGACAGGACCAGGGATTTCCATGATGTTTTCCATGAGTCCCCTGTTTGTTTCTGAAAGGGACGCTACCCGGGAAGGGGGCTGGGACATGGGAAAGGGGAAGTTGTAGGCATAAAGTCAGGGGTTCCCTTTTTTGGCTGCTGAAGGCTCGAGCATGCCTGGATGGGGCTGCACCGGCTGGCCTGGCCCCTCAGGGTCCCTGGTGGCAGCTCACCTCTCCCTTGGATTGTCCCCGACCCTTGCCGTCTACCTGAGGGGCCTCTTATGGGCTGGGTTCTACCCAGGTGCTAGGAACACTCCTTCACAGATGGGTGCTTGGAGGAAGGAAACCCAGCTCTGGTCCATAGAGAGCAAGACGCTGTGCTGCCCTGCCCACCTGGCCTCTGCACTCCCCTGCTGGGTGTGGCGCAGCATATTCAGGAAGCTCAGGGCCTGGCTCAGGTGGGGTCACTCTGGCAGCTCAGAGAGGGTGGGAGTGGGCCCAATGCACTTTGTTCTGGCTCTTCCAGGCTGGGAGAGCCTTCCAGGGGTGGGACACCCTGTGATGGGGCCCTGCCTCCTTTGTGAGGAAGCCGCTGGGGCCAGTTGGTCCCCCTTCCATGGACTTTGTTAGTTTCTCCAAGCAGGACATGGACAAGGATGATCTAGGAAGACTTTGGAAAGAGTAGGAAGACTTTGGAAAGACTTTTCCAACCCTCATCACCAACGTCTGTGCCATTTTGTATTTTACTAATAAAATTTAAAAGTCTTGTGAATCAATATGGGTGATTTCTCTGGGGACAAGTGCAGCAATCAGGGCTTCGGAGGGGAAGGAGTGGGGCAGGGCTGGGGGCAAGACCCCTTTCAGCCCCGGAGACCCCTATCTCCAGTTCACCTGGGGCAGAAAAGCAGACATTTTTACAGTCAGCAAGAGAAGAAGCACCAGGGATTAGAGTGAGGAGTGCCGAGCCCTCAGCCCAGCTCTGTTCTGCCCGGCTGTGTGATGTTGGGCCAGGGCCCTCACCTCTCTGGGTCTTATAAATGTGAGGCCTCTCCTAGTCTGGCAGGACTCAGAATCCCTCATGAAGCCCTACCCCATGCCTGCCGAACCACCATCCCAGGGGCCCTAGGACCACTCTCAGTGAACTGGTGCCCCATGGGAGGAAACTGGCCCATAGTTTCCTCTTTGTGGCCTTCCTGGTTCAGATGAAGATCAAAGAGGGATTACTTCTTAAGGGACTTGGGAGTTCATAGATGTGCCCCAAGTGTGAGCCTCGTGGTGGCCCCTAAGCTCTTCAGTGTTCTGGGAAGCTTCATAAGAGCTGTTGTGTACAGTTGTGCAGGTTGGAAACTGCGCAAGGCTGCCACAGACCAAGTCCAGCCTACTGGTATCCAATATTTCATGAATGTTAGGATGCATCCTTTTCACACTGTGACATGTGTGGAATTGAGACTCGTTTTGTAATCAATGGCTTGTCACAGCTTAATTGGCAGGCTTTTTTTCTTTATTAGTAATTTGTTAAATATCAGAACATCTTACCATCAATCGTATCTTAGATTCAATGTCTACATGAATGGTGTTTTTTAGTAGGCAGGTCCAGGCAGCAGCTGCCATTTGAGATAGAGCAGGCTTGGGTCAGCAATCCCGTTTCCTACCATCCCCTCCACCTCCTGGATCTCCTGGACCTTGTGGCCACATCAGTTACCATTTATCATTGCTTTTCTTTTGTTTTTCTTATAGTGAGGATATTTTTCTCTGAGCCAAGTCTCCATCAAAAGTAGGTCAAAGGCTGGCGCGGTGCCTCACACCTATAATCCCAGCACTTTGAGAGGCCGAGGTGGGTAGAGCACTTGAAGTCAGGAGTTCGAGACCAGCCTGGCCAACATGGTGAAACCCTGTCTCTACTAAAACTACAAAAATTAACCAGGTGTCATGGCACACCCCAGTAATCCCACCTACTTGGGAGGCTGAGGCAGGAGAATGGCTTGAACTTGTGAGGCAGAGGCTGCAGTGAGCTGAGATCGCGCCACTGCACTCACTCCAGCCCAGGTGACAGCGAGACTCCGTCTAAAAAAAAAAAAAAAAGTAGGTCAAGGAAAGCCAGACCATGATGGGCACATGGCTTCTCTCATACCCTGCTGGCTTCCCTTGTTTCACTACCTGCTAAACCTCATAGATTCGGGCTTGTAGGAATCACTCTGCCTCTGTGCAATGCTGTAAATTGCGGCTCTCCCCCTGCCGTGAGCTCCCCCTGCTCTGCCCCAAACTCAAGCTTGTGTAGCTTTCGCCCCTTCCCACCCCCAGGAAGGAGCTCCACCGCAGGCCTGGTTCCAGCCCCCAAACTCTCCCTGCACACCACCCACCAGCAACACAAGACACCAACAGAGGCTTTGAAATGAAAAGATGTGTCTCTGTCTTTTCATCACATTCTTAGGTAAGATTGCAACCTTCTCAGCAGGCTCAGGATGAGAAGTAGGAGTGGGAGAGACTTGTATGCTGGCTCAGTCCAGAGCAATTCCCCAGGGATCCTGGAGTGTTTGTGTAGTTTCATTTTCTTTCAGTTTCAGAGCTAAATGTTAGCTGAAGCCATTCCCACAATTAATGCACAGTTTGAATGGGACCATTTTTTTGTTTTTTTGAGACAGAGTCTCACTCTGCCACCCAAGCTGGAGTGCAGTGGGTGATCTTGGCTCACGGCAGCCTCCACCTCCCAGGTTCAAGGGATTCTCCTGCCTCAGCTTCCTGAGTAGCTGGGACTACAGGCGCGTGCCACCATGCCCAGCTAATTTTTTTTTTTTTGTATTTTTAGTAGAGATGGGGTTTCACCACGTTAACCAGGATGGTCTTGATCTCCTGACCTTGTGATCCACCCCCCCTCGGCCTCCCAAAGTTCTGGGATTACAGGCATGAGCCACCACACCTGGCCCTTGACCTACTTTTGATGGAGACTTGGGCTCAGAGAAAAATATCCTCACTATAAGAAAAACAAGAAGAGCAATGATAAATGGTAACTGATGTGGGCACAAGGTATGGGGGATCCAGGAGGTAGAGGGGATGGTAGGAAACAAGAGAGCTGACCCAAGCCTGCTCTATCTCAAATGGCAGCTGCTGCCTGGACCTGCCCACTGTCACCCTGGGGGAGTACGGGTGTTATTATATAACATTAGTTATAAAATAATAGCAGACATTGTTCATGTAATGTTTACCATGTGCCAGGCAATGTGTGAAATTCTTTATGTACAATGATCCTCATCTTACTAGTGATGAAAGCAAGGCTCTCAGGTTGGGCGTGGTGGCTGAAGCCTGTGGTCCCAGCACTTTGGGAGGCAGAGGCCGGCAGATCACTTGAGCCCAGAAATTAGAGACCAGCCTGGGCAACATGGTGAAACCACATCTCTATAAAAATACAAAATTAGCTGGGTGCAGTGGCATGTGCCTGTAGTCCCTGTTACTTGGGAGGCTGAGGTGGGAGAATCACCTGAGCCCAGGGAGGTCAAGGCTGCAGTGAGCCATGATCATGCCTGTGCATTCCAGCCTGGACAAAAGAGCAAGACCCTGCCTCAAAAAAACAAAAAAAAAGAAACAGGGGAGACAGAGAGAGAGAGAGAGAGAAAGGGAGAGAGAGAGGAGGCAAGGAAGGAAGGAAGGGAGGGAGGGAAGGGAGGGAGAGGAAGGAAGGAGAGAGAAAGAGAAGAAAGAAAGAAAGAGATGAAAGAAAAAGAGGAAAGAAAGAAAGAAAAGAAAAAGAAAAGAAAGAAAGAAAAAGAGAGAAAGGAAAGAAAGAAGGAAAGGAAGAGAAAGAGAAAGAAAGGAAGAGAGAAAGAAAGAGAAAGAAAAGAGAAAGAGAGAAAGAAAGAAAGAAAAAGAAAAGAGAAAGGCTCTCAAATGACATGTGACTTGCTCAGGGTGAAGCAGCTTATAAGCAGCAGAGCAGGGATAGAACTCAAGGTCTTTCTCCAGAACTCAGCCTGAGCATTACAGAGAAAAGTGTGAGACACAGACTCTCAAAAGTGTAGGCTCCTGAGCCCCACTTCTGACCTGCTGAGTTCAGGCTTCAGGCGTGGGGGTCGCCCCTTCAAGCTGCACCATTCTCCCACCCCCGCCTCAGCCTCCTTCTCTCTCCTCTTCCTCAGTCCACCCTGCACTGCCTCCAAATTAGGGGATTTGATGCCTGTCCAAAGTTTTGGAGCCCACTGCACCGGACCACCGGCTCCCACCCCCCAAGGTTCTCAGGCCCTGAGCTTCTCACCCTCTGATCTTTGCCATTGAGTCCCCTGTGTCCTCTGTACATTCCCCAAAAGGGTGAGGCCAGACAGAAAAACACAGAAATGAATGGCTGGGAATTTCCTGCTTGAGGTTGAATAACAGGTGCCCGGAAGGCATGGTGTATTTGTGTGTATTGCGTGTATGTGTGTTGTGTGTGTGAGCATTATGTGTATCTGTGTAGTATGTGTGTATATGTGTAATATGTGTGTATATGTGTATATGTGTATTGTGTGCATGAGTGTAATATGTGTGTATATGTGTATATGTGTATCGTGTGTATGTGTGTAGTATGTGTGTATATGTGTATAGTGTATTGTGTAGTATGTGTGTGTATATGTGTGTGTGCATTGTGTGTATGTGTGTAGTATGTGTGTATATGTGTGTGTAGTGTATGTGTGTGGTATGTTTGTATATGTGTGTATGTGTATTGTGTGAATGTGTGTAGTGTGTCTGTGCATTGTGTGTATGTGTGTAGCATGTATATATGTGTGTATGTGTATTGTCTGTATGTGTGTAGTGTATGTATGCATGTGTTTATGCATATACGTATATGTGTATGTGTGTGCTGTGCATATGTGTGCATTGTACATATGTGTCGTGTATATATGTGTGTAGTGTATGTATGTATGTTTATATGTATGTGTGTATGTGTGTACTATGCATGTGTGTGTAGTGTGTGTATGCATGTGTATGTGTGTATTGTGCATGTGTGTGCATTTTGTGTATGTGTCGTGTATATGTGTGTATTCATGTAGTGTATGTATGCATGTGTTGTGTGTATGTGTGTATGCATGCATATGTGTATACTGTGCATGTGTGTGCATTGTGTGTATGTGTAGTGCATGTTTGTATGAGTGTGTGTAGTTTGCATATGCGAGTGTTTATGTGTATGTGTGTATATGTGTGTTCTGTGTGTATATGTGTCTGTGCTCTGCACATGTGTGTCTGTGTGTGTGCGCACATGCCCAGTTCCTCCCAGATGTACATAAGCGCTCAGGAGACCACCCGTGCCCTGTTCACTTCTGCTCAGACATGTGCTTTCCTGGATAAATAATGATTTAGCTGCAAAGACTTAAGAAAAGATCTACTGCCAGGCTGGCTTTCCTGAACTGGCAGCAAAGTTCAATGACTGAAACCCAAGCAGGATCTCTTTAATCATGCCAAACTGAGGTGGGGAGTGTGCCTCTGAACCCAGGAGAATTCCAGAGCAGCACATGTTTTGAAGAGATGCCCCTCTCTTACCTTCAGGGGATCCTGTTATCTTCAGAGGCCAGAATAGGATTATTTGCAATGAGCAATTTCTAGCAATGCAGGAGCAAAACATAACATGGGACTCCCTGGCTGCATGACTTTGGGCAGGTTACTTAACCTCTCTGGGTCTTGGTTTTCTCTGTTGTAAAATGGGAATAACAACAACTCATCTCAGGGGTGAAGGTATCATGAGATAACCCTTAAACATGTAGAAAAATGACATTCCCATAGTGAGCTCTCAATAAACAGACGTATGATCATGCAATAGATGTTTTCAAAGGGTTTGAAGTAACCTATTTATATTTGCTTTTGTTATTGGGTACCCAAACAAGACTATAGAATTATAAGATATCTATAAAGAAACGCAGTCTTCTTGGTTTTCAGTAAAGTAGGGTGAAGAAACATTATAGTGTCATTAACGAGAGCAGAATAATTTGTGACTGAGTGCAGTGGCTCACACCTGCAATCTTAGCACTTTGGGAGGCCAAGGCAGGAGGATTGCTTGAGGTCGGGAGTTTGAGATCAGCTTGGGCAGCATAGTGATACCCTATATATACAAAAAATAAAAAATTAGCCGGGCATGGTGGCACACATCTGTATTCCCAACTATACAGGATGTTGAGGCAGGAGGATTGCTTGAGCCAGGAGTTTGAGGTTACAGTGAGCTATGACTGCACCACTGCACTTCAGCCTAGGTGGCACAGTGAGACCCTGTTTCGAAAAATAAATAAATAAATTGATTAATTAAAAAATAATCATCTTAACTTGCATAATTTTTCCCTAAGCCCATAGATGCTGTTCAAGTTGATGTAGCTTTTCTAAATTACTTTTGAACTTGGTGCTATTGCTTGAATATGACTCCCAAAAGTTTGTGTGTTGGAAACTTGGTCTCCAATGGCGGCAGTGTTGAGAGGTGGGATCTTTTGATTGGGTCAGGAGAACTCTGCCCTCATGAATGAATTAATCCATTCATGGATTAATGGGCTATCGCAGGGGGGTTAGTTTTCACAAGAGTGTGTCTGTTATAAAAACCAGTTTCGCTCTCTCTTGTGAGGCTCCTCACCATGTGATACCCTGCCCCACCTTGGGACTCTGCAGAGGCCCCATCAGCAAGATGGTTCTCACCAGATGCAGCCCTTCAACCTTGTGCTCTCTAGCCTGCAGAACTGTAAGAAACAAATTTCCTTTCTCCATAAATTGCCCAGTCTGTGGTATTCAGTTAAGCAACAGAAAATAGGCTGAGATACTTGGTAAGGTCAAAATGCACAAATCTCAACTAATTAATTGTTGACTAGCAGGCTGACTTGGGACAGAAAGGAAAGTCTGTTTGCTTTCAAGAACTTGGCAACTGGAGTACTCAGTTTCCTGAATATTTCTGGCTTGCTGCCTCCTGAGCACTCGAGGGGACTGCTCTTCCTGAGCCTTTTGGGGTTTTGGTGGGAGTCAAATGATCAGTTCTGGCCAGTGAGCTGGGAGTGGAAGCAGCGTGTGCCACACAAGCTTCAAGCATTTAATTGCTGATGGAAGACCCACCAGAGCTTTCAGTACCTCCAGCACAGCATCTGACAACACTCCAGAAAATGGCTGGGTCCTACAGTGAGGGTGAATCAGAGCCTCCAGCCATGGAAAGAGCCCCAGCTAATCTATGTCACGAAGTGTGAGGAAGAAATAAACCTTCGTGGTTTAAGCCACAGAGAGTTTGAGGATATTTGTTATTGCAGCATATCCTAGCCCATCCTGATGGATACAGCATCCAGGAAGAAAAAATATGACTGCTTGGACTAAATAGGCATGACTTGTCTGTAATCTGCATGATGCTATTAAAAAGCTTGAAAACACCAGGCACAGTAGCTCACACCTGTAATCCCAGCACTTTGAGAGGCTGAGACGGGTGGATCGCTTGATCCCAGGAATTCAAAACCAGCCTGGGCAATTTGGGGAGACCCCATCTGTACTACAAACACAAAAGTTAGCCTGGTGTGGCAGTGTGCATCTATAGTCCCGTTCCAGCTACAGGGACTCAAAAAAAAAAAAAAAAAAAAAAAGGAAAGGAAAAAAAAAACTTGAAAACAAGCTGGGCGTGGGGGGCTCACACCCAGCGCTTTGGGAGGCTGAGGCGGGAGGATCGCTTGAGTCCAGGAGTTGGACAGCAGCCTGGGCAACATAGGGAGAGCCTATCTCTACAAGAAAAACAAAACAAAACAAAAACAAACAAACAAACAAAAAACAAGCATGGTGGCACACACCTGTAGCTCCAGCTACTGAGGTAAGAGGATTGCTTGAGCTTGGGAGGTTGAGGCTACAATGAGCCATGATTGTGCTGCTGCACTCCAGCCTGGGCAACAGAGCAATTCCTTGTCTCAAAAAAAAAAAAAAAAAGCTTGAAAACATGCTGTTAGCTGGCTCTCCTCTTCATCTCTTCATTCATCCTTTTTGCAGATGCTTGGAGGTCACCCTCAGCACGGCCCACTGTCTATGGTGTCTGTGGATTTATCTGGAATTCTCACTGAGTGGAGTTGGAAAGAGGAAAGGCTTTACAGTTTCTCTGAAATACGTTGGTGCTCGAGAGTTTTAATGGCTCGGATGTTGTGATGGTTAATGTTGAATGTCAACTTGATTGGATGCAAAGTATTGTTCCTAGGTATGTCTGTGAGGGTGTTGCCAAAGGAGAGCAACAGTTGACTCAGTGGACTGGGAGAGGCAGACCCACCCTCAATCTGGGTGGGCACAATCTAATCAGCTGCCAGCACGGCTAGAATAAAAGCAGGCAGAAGAACATGGAAAGACTAGACTGGCTTTGCCTCCCAGCCTACATCTTTCTCCCATGCTGGATGCTTCTTGCCCTCCAACATCGGACTCCAAGTTCTTCAGCTTTGGGACTCAGGCTGGCTTCCTTGCTCCTTGGCTTGCAGATGGCCTGTTGTGGAATGTCACCTTGTGATCATGTGAGTCAATACTCCTTAATAAATTTCCCTTTATATATACATCTATCTTTTTAGTTCTGTCCCTCTAGAGAACCTTGACTAATACAGATATGCTTCAGCAGACAAGGAAGTAAATAGGGAAAAGAATAGTAACATTATCCAGCCTCACCTCATTGCCAGTTGATCTGGGTCGGCCAGTTTTGCAAGCACCTCCTAAGCCCAGAAGCCAAACCAGGGTAACCTGGGCCTGTGGGCACAGGAATCAGGTGTGTAGGCACAGCTCTAGGGACCAGCAAGGGCAGTTTCTGTGTCTCAGCTTTCCTGGAGGGTTTCCATGGGTCAATTGGCTTTACCCTCATCCTCCTACTGCCAGTTCCCATCCTTCTCACCCTCTCCCAGCACATTTGTCCACAGATTTTTTTTTTTTTTTGAGATGGATTCTCGCTCTGTCACCCAGGGTGGAGTCCAGTGGCACACTCTTGGCTCACTGCAACCTCCGCCTCCTAGGTTCAAGCAGTTCTCCTGTCTCAGCCTCCTGAGTAGCTGGGTTTACAGGCACACACCACCATACCCAGCTGATTTTTTTGTGTGTATTGTTTTTGTTTTTGTATTTTTTGTATTTTTAGTAGAGATGGGGTTGGCCAGGCTCGTCTCAAACTCCTGACCTCAGGTGATCCACCTGCCTCCCAAAGTGATTGGTGCTGATTGGTGCATTTTATAGATTTTTAAGTATTTTTTTTCTTTTTTCTTTTTTCTTTTTCTTTTCTTTTTTTTTGAAACAGAGTTTGTGCTCTTCTTGCCCAGGCTGGAGTGAAATGGCACAATCTTGGCTCACTGCAACCTCTGCCTTCTGGGTTCAAGCGATTCTCCTGCCTCAGCCTTCCAAGTAGCTGGGACTACAGGTGCGTGCCACCACGCCTGGATAATTATTTGTATATAGTAGAGACAGGGTTTCACCATATTGGTCAGGCTGGTCTCAAATTCCTGACCTCAGGTGATCTACCCACCTCGGCCTCCCAAAGTGCTGGGATTGCAGGTATCAGCCACCACACCCAGCTGATTTTCTTTATATTTCAAGTCAGTCTTCTCTCTATCTGAGAGAACTTACCCCTTAACTAGTCCCCTGGCCAACTTCTATTCATCCTTTGTCTCAGCTTAGATGTCACCTCTTCCAGGAGGCCTTCCCTGACTTCTAAGTTTAAGGAAGGTTTCCTGTTAAGCGGACTCATGGCCCCTGGGGTCTTCCCTCATAACCCTCACGTGACCTGGCTGTACCTGCCTGCCCCACTGTGTTTCTGAAAGATCTGTGAGGGAAGGCATGGATGTGCCCTGTTTCCCTTTGTGTCCCAGTGACCACTGCAGATCCTGGAAAGGGTGAAGAGGGGAAAGGCCAGAGCCCACCCATCTGTGTCTTTTGACACTCCTTGTGCCGTGCCCCTTTCCAACTGATGGAAAAGCCCACCTTGTCCTTGTGGGGCGCTGAATTTCAAGGAATTTCCTGGTGGAAAGTATTTAACTCCCTCAAACGACTGTCAGAGACTGAAAGTGATCATCTGTGATGTGTTCGAGTCACTCCTGAGCTCCTCGAATCCTCCAATTGTTACAAAGTAATGGACTTGCTGCCCGATGTGAGTAGAAGCCAATATTATAGCACCACTTTTGCGAAAAGAAAAAGCTTTATTCCAAGTCACCTGGCAAGGAGACAGGAGACAACACTCAAATCTGCCTCCCTGATCCCTGGGTGGGTCAAGTTGTTATGGCACTGTTAACTAGTCCCAGGGATGCCAATGTGGCCGGTTGCCACGTTGGTGGTGCTAACTCTCAGGAGGTGGAAGTTTTCTCTGATTGCACCGGGCCAGGCTACATGACATGCAGTTTTGGCTCCGTGCCATCTGTAACAACTCAAGCAATGGTAAACTAGTTTGAGCTGGTCCTGTGGTTATGCAATCACCAGCACATCCCGGTCAAGACATTGTCCCCAGGCAGGCCAGAATCCCCAGGAAGCCTGGACTGGGTCACACCCTGCTTGTCGCCCAATCTCTCCAGAGGAGTGAGGAGGCAAGGGAGAATCTAGAAGCTCTGGAGTCTCAGTGTGTCTCCAGTTGGTTCCTGCCAGTGGGTTCATGGTCTCGCTGACTTCAATAATGAAGCCGCTGACCTTCGCAGTGAGTGCTACAGCTCTTAAAGATGGCACGGACCCAAAGAGTGAGTGGTAGCAAGGTTTACTGTGAAGAGCAAAAGGACAAAGCTTCCATAGCATGGAAGGGGACCCAAGCAGGTTGCCGCCGCTGGCTGGGGGTGGGCAGCATTTAGTCTCTTATTGGCCCCACCCATGTTCCATTTCTGTCCTATCAGAGTGCTCTTTTTTTCAATCCTCCCCACGATTGGCTACTTTTAGAATCCTGCCAATTGGTGTGTTTTACAGATTGCTGATTGGTGCATTTTACAGAGTGCTGATTGGTGCATTTTACAATCCTCTTGCTAGCTACAGAGCACTGATTGGTACGTTGTTACAGAGCGCTGATTGTGGCATTTTATAATCCACTTGCTAGCTACAGAGTGCTGATTAGTGCATTTTTACAGAGTGCTGATTGGTGCATTTTACAATCCCCTTGCTAGCTGCAGAGCGCTGATTGGTGCATTTTGCAATCCTAGCTACAGAGTGCTGATTGGTGCGTTTTACATTCCTCTTGCTGGACAGAAAAGTTCTCCAAGTCCCCACTCGACCCAGGAAGTCCAGCTGGCTTTACCTCTCAATCCCCGCTCTAAACAGGACACCCCAACTGCTGTTGAGAATTGGGTAATGACTGCTCTAGCTACTTCCTGCTGGATAGGGACAAAGAAGGGGCCCTGCAGTGGTAGTGTCCTCCAGAGGGGAACTCTCTGGGCCAAAGGGCCAGTGGGTCGATCCAGGGGTCCTCGGTAGAAGTTGTTAGTTGAGCTCATTTGGGGTTCCATTTTTAAAACCATCTATAGCTTGATGGCCTCAATCCTGGAGGAAACAAATTTGACAAGGAGGTCAAAAATACAGGGCCCGAAGGCAAATAATAGCAAGATGGCTGTCACGGGACCTAGAAAAGGGAGAAGCATGTCGCCCAACTCCAGAAGTGGGTATAAGAGTTTGAAAGGCATTGTCTGATTTCAGAAGCCTTTTCCTGTAAACACCGGGTGGTGTCTCATACTATCCCTGACAGGTTACTGTAAAAACAACACTCTTCCCCTAAGAAGGTACAGAGTCCTCCTTTCTCAGCAGTGAGGAGGTCTAGGCCTCAGTGGTTTTGGAGAGTCACTGCTGCCAAAGAGTCTATTTGGGACTGTAGAGTAAGGATAGATTTTGTTATTTCTTGCAAACTATCTTAGAGAGTGTGTGGTAGTAGGATAATGAAGTAGATACACTGGCTATTCTGGTTCCTGTAACAGTGGCCATTCCTAACCCTATAAGTAGGGGTATTAGTTGTATTGCTCTGCACTGACAGACTTGAGCTTTGAGGTGCACTGATAGGGTCTGATTTCCTGGGGCAATGTCAATGTTGGGACTTAGGAAGACTAAGGTGCAGGTGCCTGTCCAGTTGGTGGGGAGGCAGATATAGGTTGAAGTTCCACATAAGAAGAATATGCCTTGGCTGGGTACACAGAACTGGTTGTGTATGTTAAAAAGGTGTGTGAGTTTGTTGTTTTCATTTTCCCATACTCCTAGAGTACTTGCCAAGGTAGCTCCAGTGAGCGGCTGGAAAGGAGTGTTGGGAGCAAACTGAGTGGCTCCCTGTGTTCTATTTTACCATTGGAGAAAAAATCGTTTTGTATCTACTAGGAACCATTCAAGAGAGTGATTGAAATAGGGGATGAGAAGGCATTCACTAGTGGTGGGGGCGCTGCTGCAGGGGGTCCAGGGGTGAATGGTCATGCAGGGAGTATGTTTGCCATTATTAAACCTAGACTGTTTGTTAAGCAGGAAGGAGGTGATGATTTTTGGAGGCTCTGAGAAGCGGACAAGCCATCTGAATGGAGCTGTTTGGGTGAGTCGGAAGTTACTGTGATCAGTTGGGGCTTGAAGTTGTAGGGTGTAATTACACTGATGGGATAGTAGGTGCCCCAGGGGCAGTCCTGATAACAGGTTGCATTGGATGCATAAAGGGGCTTGGAAAGTTAAGACAGTATTCGTGGTTGCAGGGCCATGTATGGTTTTTTCATTGCTTGTGTAATAGGTTAGGTTGGAAATGTAAGAGTGTAAAAGCTGGATTGCGAAGCTTTGGGGAAGCCCAAATCTAGGAATTATTTCATGAATTAGGACTTTAACCACTTCCTGATCCTTCTCTGTCTTGCAAGGGAAGGCTTCTATCCAATTTGTAAAGGTTTCAACACAGACTAACAAGTATTGAAATCCCCTTGACTTAGGCATATGAGAGACGTCTAACTGCCAGTCCTCTCTGGGATGGTGCCCTATTCTTTGTTGTCCCAGAGGGGCCTTACGATGGGCCAAGGGATTATGCCTTTGGCACACATCACAGGCTTTGACTACTTGTCGGATGGTCCGGAGGAGATTTGGCCCTGTAAATAGGGATTTGGCCATTTGATGAGTGTTCTCAATACCCATATGAAAACTTTGGTGGAGGGTCTTAAGTATTTTCCACTGGCTGCCCTCTTCTGTCGTTAACCATCCCGAGGGGAGAAAACTATGCCCCCATGAAAGTCCCCATTCTGTTTCAGTCAGGGAATACTGGGGCTTAATCTCTTGGAGAGGGTTGTTCCATACCAAGGGTCCTTCTCTAGGTATTTCTAATGGGAGTTTCCACCTGGCAGCAATTTTGACCTCAGCGTCTGCCTGACGGTTTCCTTCTGCCTTTTCTCCTTCACCTTTTTGATGGCTTCAGCAGTGTAAGACTGCCACTTCCTTGGGGTCTTGCACTGCATGCGATAACTCCATGATTTTCTTGTGGTATTTAATGGGAGCTCCCCCAGAGGTTAGGAACTCCCTTTCTTTCCATATTGCAGCATGGGCATGTAGGATTAGATAAGCACACTTGCTATCTGTGTACACATTTATTCTTTTTTTCCTTTCCCAGTTCTAAGGCTTGGGTAAGTGCCACTAGTTCTGGTAACTGGGCGCTGGTCCCTAGGGGAAAAGGCTTACTTTCAAGTACTGTTACATCAGTAACTATGGCATAACCTGCCCTTTGTATCCCATTCTCCGCAAATGAACTTCCATCAGCATATAGGTTAAGGTCAGGATTAGCTAAGGGGACTTCCAAGAGATCCTCTTGGGTGGCATAAGTCTGGGCTGCAATTTGTTGGCAGTCATGCTCAATTGGTTCCCCATCCTCTGGGAGAAAAGTAGCAGGGCTGAGGGCCGCACAGGTGCATATTTGAAGCACCGGTCCCTCAAGGAGTAGCACCTGGTATCTAAGCAGATGGTTGTCTGATAGCCATAAATTTCTTTTGGCACCTAGTATGCCATTTACATCATGAGTAGTCCAGATGGTGAAATCCTTTCCTTGTATTATTTTGATAGCCTCTGATACTAACATGGCCACCACCGCAACTACCCATAAACAGTGAGGCCAGCCTTTAGCTACTACATCAATTTCCTTACTTAGGTATGCCACTGGTTGTGGGGTTATTCCTCGAGTCTGAGTAAGGACTCCAAGAGCTATTCCCACTCTCTCTGTGATGTGTAAAGAGAAGTTTTGTCCTCTGGGAAGGCTTAAGGCTGGAGCTTGTACTAGGGCCTGCTTTAAGGTTTTGAAGGCTGTTTCTGCCTCTGGTTCCCATTCTACTAGATGGCCCTCTGGGTCTCCTTGATTAGAGTATAGAGAGGCTTGGCCATCTCGCTGTATCTGGGGATCCATAGTTGGCAAAAGCCAGTGATCCCAAGGAACCCCTGCAACTGTTTTAATGTCTTAGGGTGAGGATAAGCCAGTATAGGCTGTATTCATTCTTTGCTGAGGGCCCTGGTTCCTCTGGCTAAGATTAGGCCTAGATATTTGACTTGTTGTAGGCAGAGCTGGGCCTTCAATTTAGATGCCTTGTACCCTTGATTAGCTAGAAAGTTCAAGATATCTAGAGTAGCCTGCTGGCATGAGGCTTCCAAACTGGTAGCCAAAAGTAAATCATCCACATACTGAAGGACCAGAGTCCCTGAACTTGAGAAGTGGCCGAGATCTTGGGCCAGTGCCTGACCAAACAGATGAGAGCTATCCCTAAACCTTGAGGCAAGACCGTCCATGTAAGTTGGGATGTGTGGTCTGTGGGATCCTCAAAGGCAAAGAGAAACTGGGAGTCAGAGTGCAGGGGAATGCAGAAGAAGCCATCCTTGAGGTCCAGAACAGTGAACAATTCTGCTTCCTCTGGTATTTGAGAGTAGGGTGTAGGGGTTGGGTACAGCTGGATATAGAGGAATTACTGCCTCATTGATGAGTCTAAGATCTTGCATCAGGACTCTCTGAGTGCCAGAGCTTCTGCCACCTGGATGTTTTCCTGGGCCTCCCCTTCTCCCCACCCCTGGTTCTCACCTGGACCTGTCTGACCTGTTTCCAGGTGCTTATACATTGCCACGACCACCATCAGATCAATGAAGGAGAAATCCCATCCACATGGCTGGGGCCCTCTTTCTAGAGTGTCAGGGGTAGGTAACCACCAGGGCAACAGCAGTGGTGGCCTGGGGAGAGGTGGAGGAAAGGAGTCATTAGTTTATTGCCAGAGATGCTGATCAA
Organism: Homo sapiens; assembly: GCF_000001405.40. Taxonomy (NCBI): domain Eukaryota; kingdom Metazoa; phylum Chordata; class Mammalia; order Primates; family Hominidae; genus Homo; species Homo sapiens. The sequence continues at coordinate 57,399,421 of NC_000016.10, forward strand.
TAAGACATTGACCTTCTTTTTTTTACTTATTTATTTTTTTTATTTTTGGAGAAGGAATCTTGCTCTGTCGCCCAGGCTGGAGTGCAAAGGTGGGATCTTGGCTCACTGCAACCTCTGCCTCCTAGGTTCAAGCGATTCTTCTGCTTCAGCCTCCAAAGTAGCTGGGACTACAGGTGTGTGCCACCTTGCCCAGCTAATTTTTTATTTTTAGTAGAGATGGGGTTTCACCATGTTGGCCAGGCTGGTCTTGAACACCTGACCTCAGGTGATCTGCCCCCTTGGCCTCCCAAGTGTTGGTATTACAGGCGTAAGCCACTGCTCCTGGCCTGACATGGACCTTCTTCTCATGAGGTTCACTGTCCACATGATATCCCTGTGAGCCTTTGGATGCATTTTCTCATTGTCATCCCTGTCACAGCTCAAAGATGAGCTCGTGCTCATAGTGTTACCAAAACACCATGGGTGCAGTCTAGGTCCTGCTGCTCCCCACACAGAAAGCCAATCACTGAGACACCAAGTATTGCCAAGGAAGACTTTAATCGAGTGCTGCAACCAAGCAGATGGGAGCTCAGTCTGAAATCCATCTCCCTGATTGACTAAAACCAGGAGTTTATACAGCAGAGAAGAAATGTAACAATGTATAAGAAAACAGGAACTGGCAGGACGCGGTGGCTCACGCCTGTAATCCCAGCACTTTGGGAGGCGGAGGTGGGCGGATCACGAGGTCAGGAGATCGAGACCATCCTGGCTAACGCGGTGAAACCCTATCTCTACTAAAAATACAAAAAATTAGCTGGGAGTAGTGGCGGGCGCCTGTAATCTCAGCTACTTGGGAGGCTGAGCTAGGAGAATGGCGTGAACCCGAGAGGCGGAGCTTGCAGTGAGCTGATATTGCGCCACTGCACTCCAGCCTGGGCAACAGAGCGAGACTCCGTCTCAAAAAAAAAATTATAAAATATAAAAGAAAACAGGAACTAGACAGGGGCAATGAAGCAATCATGGTGAATGAGGGGGTCTGGTATCTGGTACAGTAATCTGGTGGGTTTCAGTTCTTTGACACTTTTTTTTTTTTTGAGAGGCCCAATGGTCATTCCTTGCAGAAGGAACCCAGATAAAGCAAATATAAGTTTCAAGCTTTAAGACCAGAAGGGTCAATTTCCATGTTTGTCCAAAGAACAGTGTATGGGAGCATTGGGCTGGTTTCCATCTGAGCCTCATTTTCCAGATGGGAATGCAAAGGCACAGAGAGATTCAGAAATTTACCCGGGCCGGGCACAATGGCTCATGCCTGTAATCCCAGCACTTTGGGAGGCCAACCGGGGTGGATCACCTGCGGTCAGGAGTTCCAGACCAGCCTGGCCAGCATGGTGAAACCCCATCTCTACTAAAACTACAAAAATCAGCCATGCTTGGTGGCGTGTGCCTGTAATCCCAGCTACTTGGGAGGCTGAGGAAGGGGAATCACTTGATCCTGGAGACAGAAGTTGCAGTGAGTCGAGACCATGCCATTGCACTCCAGCCTGGGTGACAAGAGCGAGACCCCATCTCAAAAAAAAAAAAAGAAACTTACCCAAAGCCACGCACTTAGTAACTAAGCCAGCAGGCAGCCTCACTCCAGACACCCTTCTTCTTCTTCTTCTTCTTCTTTTTGTAAATTGTGGTATAGTTGGTGTATAGAATAGCATACAATGATGAAAAGAAAGAACTATACATTTGGCATATATCAACACAAATGACACTGTCAGGTGTGATGCCGCAAGATGTGGAAGTATAGATACAAGATGATGGTGTCGATATAAAGCTTAGAAATGAGCATGAACAGGCCCGGTGTGGTGGCTCACGCCTGTAATCCTAGCACTTTGGGAGGCCAAGGCAGGAGGATCATCTGAGGTCAGGAGTTTGAGACCAGCCTGGCCAAGATGGTGGAACCCCGTCTCTACTAAAAATACAAAAATTAGCTGGGCATGGCAGTGCACCCCTATAATCCCAGCTACTCAGGAGGCTGAGGTGGGAGAGTCGCTTGAACCCTGGAGGTAGAGGTTGCAGTGAGACAAGATCACACCACTGCAGTCCAGCTTGGGAAACAGAGCAAGACTCTGTCTGGAAAAAAAAAAAAAAAGAAAAAAAGAAATGTGCATGAACAATGCTATATATTGCTTAAGGACATACACACATATGAGTTAGTGAGCTGTGAAGAAATGCGTGGGACTAATGGCTGCCAAATTCTGTTCCTCTAGTGCATAGAGGCTGTGATTAGGGGAGGAAAGCGGGGCTCAGTGACGTGGTAATACATCTGTTAACCTGGTGGTGGGTACAGTAGTGTGGTTAGCAACGCTGATGCCCTACCCAGGCCCCACTCCTTTTGGTTGATTTTACTTTCAATCACTCTCCTGTGCCCCTCCAAGGAATCTGGCTGAAGCTGCCCCCCGGGGACGTCACCTGAGGTCACACCCTTGCTGGGTTTCCACTCCTTCTCTGTCTTCACTCCCCAACTTTCCCTCCACTTCCCCAAGGAGCACATCCTTAATGAACTCAACCTGAGACAGTGGAGAGAGCCCAGTCACCCATAAGCTGAGAGAGCAGAGCCCAGGCAAGGCAGAAAGGAAGGGGGACCCTATTGTTAGCCAAGTGTGGTTCAGGCGAAAGCCCCACAGTGCAGAGGGACAGCCACAGCTCAGAGGGCAGCTGAGGTGCTGGTTCTTCCCTGCAAAGGGCTCTCTAGGGACTCCTGCTTCCCAGGTCTGGGGCTTGCTCAGAAGTGGCCACAGCCCTTCCCAATACCCTCAGCCTCCCCTGGGGAGAGCCATGACCCAGGTGGCATTGTGCGACGTGTCAAATCTCCAAATGCTGTTGAGTCGTGACCCCATTCCCTGCTGGCTTTTGCAGTGGCTGAGATTCCCAAGGCCTTTCAAAGAGGCCAGATCCACCAGGCTCCTTGGAAAGGGTGTGAGGCTTCTTCCCAGGATGCTGGGTGCTTGTCACTGACCCTGGTGCTGAACAGATCTTCCTCGGGTGCCCAGAGGGTCGAGTTTGGCAGGACAATCCCCCCACCCCGACTGCAGGCAGGCTGCCAGACTAGGAGCAGAGGACTTCTGAGTTCTCAGTGACTTCTGTCACTACACCCTGAGGGGTGAACCTCAAATTTTCCCAATGTCATCAGGGGACCATAGACCTGCCTTTGAAGTAGCTTGGAAACAGGGACAGATGTTCCTTGGAAAGAGAGTCAGACTCTAGCAATGAATAAAAGGCACTCATTTACAAGGCTTGAGTGGAAGCTCAGAAGTCCTGGAGCCCAGGCATCAGAGAGACATTGAGACAAGTCCATTGGTAAGAGTGAGAGTAACAAGAAGGGTTTCTGCATTCTGCTTCAGGAACAACACCAGCCATTTATCCATTCACTCACTTAATCCAAAAACTATGTATTGAAGGCCTACCATGTGCCGAGATATATTCCATTAAAGAAAAGAAACAGAAACCTCTGTCCCATGCAACTTACATCCCAGTAGGATGGGGGTGGGGGTACAGGTGGGAGACAGATAGTAAACAGCAGACATAAGTAAGCGAATGGCCTAGCATGTCAGAGGATATAAGCATTTCAGCAAAAAAAAAAAAAAAAAAGAGCAGAGGAAGAGATGGGGATGGCATGCAATTTGACTTCACTGAAAGATGTAATCTAAACAAATACATATATATATTTATAATATATATAATATATATTATTATCTATAATATATATAATATATATTATTATCTATAATATATATAATATATATTATTATCTATAATATATATAATATATATTATTATCTATAATATATATAATATATATTATTATCTATAATATATATAATATATATTATTATCTATAATATATATAATATATATTATTATCTATAATATATATAATATATATTATTATCTATAATATATATAATATATATATTATAATATATATAACATATATTATATATAATATATATATTATAATATATATATTATATTATAATATATATTATAATATATATATTATATTATAATATATATTATATTATATATATTATATAATAATATATATATTATAATATATATATTATATTATATATATGTTATATATATTATAAATATATATTTTATATATATATAATATATATTTATAATATATATAATATATATTTATAATATATATAATATATATTTATAATATATATTATATATATTATAAATATATATAATATATATATATATATATTTTTTGAGATAGAGTCTTGCTCTGTTGCCCAGGCTGGAGTGTAGTGGTGTGATCTTGGCTCACTGCAACCTCTGCCTCCTGGGTTCAAGTGATTCTCCTGCCTCAGCCTCCCAAGTACCTGGGACTACAGGCACCTGCCACCACGCTCAGCTGATTTTTGTATTTTTAGTAGAGATGGGATTTCACCATGTTGGCCAGGCTGGTCTCGAACCCCTGACTTCAAGTGATCCACCTGCCTCGGCCTCCCAAAGTGCTGGGATTACAGGCGTGAGCCACCACGCCCGGCCTAAAAAAGTTTGAAAAAGGTGAAGGAGTGAGTCCTGCAGGTATCTGGGGACAACATTCCAGGCTGAAAGAACAGTCCGTGCAAACCTCCTCAGGAAGGAGCATGTCTGTCTGGTTGGTTTGAGGCATAGGGAGGAGGCCAGGGTGGCTGGGGCAGAGTGAACCAGGGAACCAGGAGATACAGGTGGGCAGAGAGCAGGGCACAGAACTCGCGGGGCCTCGTGGCTGCTGGAGGGTCTTGGACTTGTCCTCTGCGTGAGGTGGAGAGCCACGGGGACGTTCTGAACACGGGAGATTCATGGTCCCTCTGCTGCTGTGCTGAGAATACACTGTAGGGGGCAAGGATGGAGACAGGGAGAGCACCCAGAAGGCAGTTGTAGGAAGCCAGGGATTGATGCTGGTTTCTGGGTGTATTTGGAAAGCAGAGACATGAGCTCACCCAACAGATGGGAAGTTGGGGGCGAGAGGAAGAGGCGTCAGGGATAGCGCCCAGGTTTCTGGCCCTAGTAACCGGAAGGAAGGGGCTGGCAGAGAAGGAGGAGAGAGCAGGTGTAGGGGTGGGTGGGAATCAGAAATTCAGCTTCAGACTTGGGGGGTTGGAGCTGCCTATTTGGTATGGCGAGTAGGCAGCTGGACGTAGAAGGAGGCTGGAGTTTGCGAGAGAAACTTGGGAGTGGTTGGCATATAGATGATATTTAAAGTCAGAAACGTGTACTATTTGCCAGATATAAGCAGTAAGGCAGTTGATGCAAACCAAAGCCTTCTAATGTAATTATTGTTATTATTTTCATTTTGCAGCTGTAGAAACTGAGGCTCAGAGAGAAGTGACTTTGAGCTCACAGTGTCACCGCCTGCTGATGGGAGAGCTGAATTCAAAACCAGGTGACCTGACCTAGAGTCTTTGCTCCTAACCCCTCCACTGTGAGGTGACCCCCTCGCTGGATCTTTCAGGGCATGTGTTAGATGAGCGGTGGATGGACTTTGGATCAAGGGAAGATAATCCATACAAGAAGGGGACAGGAGTTTGGAAGCAGCAAACCAAGTCACAAAGTGAGGGGACGCACTGGCCCTCAAGAAAGCTCAATGTTGGGGAGCAGGGAGATGAGACTGAATAGGAAGGAGGGGCTAGATGGAAGGTACAGCTTCAAGATTGGCCTGAAAAGTTTTGACTGGATGGGGAAGGAAGCAGGGAGCCATTGACGGTTTTGGAGGAAGGGGGCATTACATGGTCAGGGCAGCCCTTGTGAAAGATCCACCACATGTGGGCATGCAGCTGATGAGGGAGGTGTCAGGAGAGACCAGAGAGGAAGAAATAGGCCCAGAAGTTTTTGAGACTCTCTGGGTGTGAAGGATGAGGGCTGAGCCAGTGGAGATGAGAAGGAAGCAAGGAAGCCAAGCTCCCACTGAAGACAGCGCTGGGCAGAGTCTCTGCCTGATGTAATGTGGGGGATGGAGGCGAGGAATGAGTCAAGGGCAAAGTTTCAGACTTGGGGGCAGATGGGGAGATGGGAAACAATGCTGGCTTGAACAGAAAAAAAGGAGGCTGGTGTGAGAGGGAACTCGGTTTTGCCCTTCTGGTACCTGGGGCTGAGTGAACCATAGCAGGACAGACTTCTGCTTCCCAGCAGCTCACAGGTTAGTGTGGGGGACAGAACTGCACAGAGCTGGCCAGGCTGCAAGGCAGAGAGAGCTGAGGGGTGCCACAGAAAGATGGGCCGGAAGGAGGAGTGTCCAGGTGGGTGTGTCTGATTAGTTACTGGTCAGGGCTGGAGACAGAGATTTAAGAAGTATTTATCAGGCCAGGTGCGGTGGCTCACGCCTGTAATCCCAGCACTTTGGGAGGCCGAGGCAGGTGGATCACGAGATCAGGAGATCGAGACCATCCTGGCTAACACGGTGAAACCCCGTCTCTACTAAAAATACAAAAAAAAAAAAAAATTAGCCGGGCATGGTGGCGGGCGCCTGTAGTCCCAGCTACTTGGGAGGCTGAGGCAGGAGAATGGCGTGAACCCGGGAGGTGGAGCTTGCAGTAAGCCGAGATAGCGCTGCTGCAGTCCAGCCTGGGCGAAAGAGCAAGACTCCGTCTCAAAAAAAAAAAAGAAGTCTTTATCCAGAGGTAAAAGATCTGGGGTAGATGATGTCAGGGAGGAAGGGAAGGTTGCTTGAGGCAAAAACAAAGTCTAGGACAGAAGCCCAGGCTTGCTCCTGCCACCAGCTAGCTCTGTGCCCATGAAGCAGATTTATTTTGTTGTTGTTGAAATGGAATCTTGCTCTTTTGCCCAGGCTGGAGCGCAGTGCCACAGTCATGGCTCAGTCGTGCACCACCATGATTGGCTAATTTTCATTTTATTTTTTTTGTAGAGACAGAGTCTCACTATGTTGCCCAGGCTGGTCTCAGACTCCTGGGCTCAAGCGATCTTCCCACCTCAGCCTCCCAAAGTGCTGGGATTACAGTGGACCAGTTGCTTAAACTACTCTGGTCAGTTCCTAATTTTCTCATCTGTAGAAACTAATAGTTCTTACTCCCTGAAGCTGTTGTGAGGACAAAGTAAACTAATAGACTTAACTGCTGAGATTCCCCTGCCCCAACACCCACCCCAGCCTATAGTGAGAGCTCAGGGACATTTCTGAGAAGAGGAGCTCACAGGGAGCTCAGGGAAGAACCATGTCCCAAATCCCAGTGGGAGGAGCATCAAGAAGGATGGTAGGTTCCCAGGGATGACAAGGCGATTCCCTGAGCCAGCTGGAGACTAGGAACTTTATAGACTTCATCTCAGTTAGTTTTCCAGGTCATACCATGAGGGAGTGTCTTATCATCACACCCATTTCACAGATGAGAAAACTGAAGTTCATAAAATCGCTGTTAGTCACACAACCAGGAACAAGTAGAAGAGTGACTGGGACTCAGGGCTGTAGGTAATGATTCCAGAGCCTCTGCTGGTAATCACTGCCCAATGTAAGGCAGTGGGAGGTTCAGGGAGTGGCTGGAGGGGATCAAGAGGCTCAGTGAGAGCACCTTTCCTAGAGCATCAGAGCTGGAAGCCACATTGCTGAGGATTAATTAAATCACAAGTGGGCAGAGAGGAAATGGTAGAGGGAAGTACAGACCACACATCGGAGCAGTTTGGTCATGAATGAAAGGAGAAATGGGAGGGCAGCATGCGAGGGTGTTGAAGTCAAGGGGAGGTCTTTATGGAAGTGGAGAGACAGGATCATGTTGTCAGCAGAGGGAAAGGGGGTCATGGGATTGGAGACAGTAAAGAGCTAGAAGATGGCAGTGCAACTGAGGGAAGGAGGCCCCTCTGGGATGAATAAAGGTTGAGATCCAAGCCACAGTTGAAGCAATATAGGTTTGGCAAAAAATGGCCACAACCACAAGGAAGTTGTAAACTAGATGGGGGAGGAGTCAGGGTGTCCTTGGTTAGATTCCTCTGCTTTATCCATGACAGAAGGATTCGGGTGTGTCTCATGAAATGATGGTACACACTGGTTTAAAAACTATTTGGATGAAGGAGGCCCTGGGATAGAATGTGAGTTGGGCCCATGTTGTAGTTCAGAATCTCTAAGTGACCATCCATCTATCCATGCATTCATGCATGTATATATCCATTCATCATCTATCAAGCCATGCACCCATACTTCTATTCATCCATCCAACCACACATCCATCTATCTAGCCATACATCTACACATACACCCACCCATCCATCAGTCCATCCATCTGCTCACCCATCCAGTTTCATGCATCCATCCATCATCCATCAACCCATTCATCCATCCTTCCATCCATCCATCATCCATCCATCCATCCATCCACCCATTCATTCATCCATTCATGTATCCATCCATTCATCCATCCGTCTGTCCATCCATTCATTCATTCATCTACCCATCCATCCATTTATTCTTTTACCATCCATCTACACATCCATCTACCCATCCGTTCATCCATTCATCTACCCATCCATCTATCTATTTATTCTCTCACCATCCGTCCACACATCCATCTACCATCCATCCATCTATCCATCCATTCTTCCATCCATCCCTCCATCCATCCATCTACCCATCCATCCATCTATTTATTCTTTTGCCATCCATCCACACATCCATCTACCATCCATCCATCTACCCATCCATTTATCCATTCATCTACCCATCCATCTATCCATCCATTCATCTACCCATCCATCTATCTATTTATCCTTTCACCATCCATCCACCAATCCATCTATCCATCATCCATACACACATCCACCCATCCATTTATCTACCATCCATCCATCCGTCCATTCTTTCATCCACCTTCCAGCCACTCATCCATTCATCACTCACCCACACGTCCATCCATCATCCATCCTCCATCCATCCATTCACTCATTTACCCATCCATATCCATTCACCCATTCATTCATTCACCCATCCATACAACCACTCACCTATTTATACATTCAGTAAACATATATATATTTTTTGAGACAGGGTCTCACTCTGTCGCCCAGGCTGGAGTGCAGTGGTACAATCATGGCTCACTGCAGCCTCAACTTTCCTGATGTAGGTGATCCTCCCTACTCGGCCTCCAGAGTAGCTGGGACAGGTGCACACTGTAACACCTGGCTATTTTTTTTTTTCGAGATGGAGTCTCACTATATTGCCCAGGAGGGAGTGCAGTGGTGTGATCTCGGCTCACTGCAATCTCCACCTCCCGGGTTCAAGCGATTCTCCTGCCTCAGCCTCCCGAGCAGCTGGGATTACAGGCACACGCCACCACACCCAGCTAATTTTTTTTTTTTGTATTTTTAGTAGAGACAGGGTTTCACCATGTTGGCCAGGATGGTCTCGATCTCCTGACCTTGTGATCCGCCTGCCTCAGCCTCCCAAAGTGCTGGGATTACAGATGTGAGCCACTGCGCCTGGTCATTTTTTTGCATTTTTTGTAGAGACAGGGTTTCACCATGTTGCCCAGGCTTGTCTTGAACTCCTGGGCTCAAGTGATCCACCTGCCTCTGCCTCCGAAAGTATTGGAATTACAGGTGTGAGCCACCAAACTGGCCTAATAAACATATTTTATTGAGCACCCACTAAGGTGCTAAGTCCTGGAGGGATAAGTTGGAACACAAAAGAGATCCTTCAAGGATTTTACAGTCTTTTGTGTGAGTCCCAACAAATAAACTAGCAATCACAATACAATATGAAGACAGCCAAGATGAGGGAAGTCAGTGAACTCTGGGGACATAGAGGAAGGAAGGAGTAAGGGTTCAAGCTGCACTCTAAAATAAGAGTAGGAGTGAAAGGAAGTGAGACGGGGGAACAGGAAAGAATGTTCCAGACAGGAAGAACAGCTTGTACGAAGGCTTGGGCATCAGTAAAGGCCCGGCATTTTCAAGGAACTGAAAGAAGGTCCATGTGGCTGGGACAAAATGATATAGTGGGTGATGGAGCTGGAGGAAAAAGTTGAGCCTGGAGAAGTAGGCAGAAATGTGGGCTTCGTCCTGAGAGTAACGGGGAGGCATTGAAGGATTTCAAGAGGGGAGAGCCTTGCTCAGACTTGTGTTTTGGAGATCAATGGGCTTTTGAGAGGAAGATGGACTGGACCAGGAAGGCCTGGAAGCTGGGGCATGAGTTCACGGCTGTGGTCCAGCAGAGAGATGGAGGAGGAGAAGGAGACGGATTCAGGACGCATGCAGGTAGCCAACTAACACACTTCGCTGATGGACTGGATGTGGGCAGTGAGGAAGAGCCCAGGGACAGAGATGACCCTTGGGTTTCTGACCTGAGGAACCAAGAGGACACCCTGTCAGGAACGACAGACACATCAATGGGCACGTCAAGTCTTTGGGACAGGGGATTGGGGCCTATTTTGGGGTCAGGGGTGGAAATACTATTTGGGACCCTCACATCTCAGCTGAGCTGGCCCCGATCCCTGATTCCCAGCCCCCTGGGCAGGGCAGGATGAATCCAGTTTCAGCTGTCAGCGATGGAGATGAGTAAACAAATGCTCAATCCTTACTGAGCTGCTCCGGGAGACCTCGGGCAAGTCACTGCCCTGATGAGCCTCAGGTGACACTGGTGTGACCGGGATGACACTTCTGCCTAGCTGCCCCCTCCTGGTCAGCCACAGCTGTCAAATGCAACTGAAGATGATGAAGAGCTGCCGCCCCAGCCGCTTGGCTGCCCTGTGACTGAGAGCATCCTGGTTCCGCCCACTGCCTCGGGGACAGGCTTCTCCACGAGCCTGGGCAGAGCCTGGGGTTGGGGCAGGAACCTTCCTTCCCTGTCTTTCAGGGAGAAGGACCCCATATCTGCCTGGCCCAGTGCCCTCTGGCTAAAGCCGAGTTGGGTGTTGCAGCAGCCCCTGGGGCAAGGGCGGCAGGTGCCTGGGTGGTGTGCCTGGCCACTTTAGTCAGAGGCGTTGAGACAAGGAGTTACCACAGCCGCTCCTCCCACTCAGATCCAATTACCCTTCACACTCTCCTAATAGGCCTAACAGTGTCTGGCCTGCTTCCCTGCCATGGCCCTTTCCCTTCCTTTGGCCACAGCACTCTCTCCCCTGCTGCCCCTCCACAAAGCTCTGCCTCACTGCCACTTCCTCCAGGGAGCATTCCTGATTGCCCTGACAGACCTCCAGGTCCTAGAATCCTCACAGCAGCATAAAGATCTCTCAAGATGCTTCTCACAGGCCCAGACTTCAGAATAGTTTGTCTGGAAGTTCCCTTGGCATCCATCCCATAGCCTGGGAGAACTGAGGAGGGATAAACTCGGTTAATCCCTGGAGAGGAAACCACCTCAAAAATGTCCCTGGTCCCCGCTGCCTCCCAAAGAAGACTGAGGCACACTGGGCCCTTTGCATCCATCTCGCCTTCCCTTCCTTCAGTCCTGTGTTTACTCGGTCAGGTGACACTGAAGGTTCACTGCATGCCAGGCACCATGCTTGGTGCTGGGGATGCCCACGGCGCGGGGCAAGGTAGACACAGCCAGTCCTCGTGTGACTGGCTCTTAGCCTTGCATTTAGGCAGTGCCCCATGCCGGGGTTTCATGCTGTTGCCCTAATTTATCTCTGCACATTCCCCTCTCTGCACCTTTGCCTAAACAGTGCCCCCTGTGCAATGTCCTTTCTTCCAATCTCAGTATGAATCTTATCTACAAAACCTAGCCCTAGGCCCTACAGCCACCTCTTTCAGGCAGCCTTCCACGAATTCTGGCCAGAGGCAGCATCTCCCCAGTCTATGCCCCAAAGCCCTTTAATCTCACCTGCATGTCCCTATGAGGGGTCAGGGCCTGTTCCCCCGCCCTTACCCACTGTGAAACCCCACAACAGCAGGGTCGGGCCTCTGTCCGCCCTGCAGCCCTGGGCACAGCCCCCAGAGGCTCAGCTGCCCCTGCCAGCCAGGCAGCCTGCACCAGCCTTGAACTGAACCAGAACCTTCCTAGTCCAGAACCTTCCACTGCTGCTTTCATGATTTGTTCCCCAGAACAAACAGGGGAATTTGGGTCCTTCTGAAGAAAGCTTTGAGTCTGCAGGAAAGCGAAGAGGACTCAGAACCCACCGGGGAGTTTCCCCAGTGGCCGGGACTGCAGCTGCTTCATCATTAATCAGGCTGCTCACTTGTTATTAATCAGCTGTCCCTTGCAGTTGTGTAGCACAGAAGAGCAATTGGTGGCCTCTGCGGCAAGTGGAGCCCCCACAAGAGGGCAGGCAGAAGCCACAGGGCAGAGTGCATGGAGGGCAGCTAGGGAGGGAGGGGTGGTCGGCGGAGGCGCCCCTTCCTGCCTCTTCCGAGGACCCAGGCCTGGTCCTGCACCTCTGGGCTCAGGCTCTGTCTCCAGGTCAGGGCTGCCCTGTGCCTGCACACCTTCCCCTGCCCAGCGCGGCCTCCTTTGCAGGGGGACTCTGCGGGGAGCTACTCTGAGGCTGCCCCTCCCTTTCTCTGGGATGTTGGCACCAAAGAGGTGCCCAGGCAGGAAGAGCAGCCTCCCCTCCCCCTCCTCTGCACGTGCAAATGGAAGACAGCCCTGGGCACAGGAGGGGTGGCTGGGGGCAAAGAACCCATCTGGACTGTGGCTTGAGGAGGGGGCAGGGTCAGGGTCTCTGGCAGCTGATGGGACCCCCAGAGAAGCAGAGGAATGTTGGTGCGAGGCCCACCAAGGGGGACCCCATCTTCCTGAGATCTACCGTTTTGGCAGAGCTCTGTGGGACAGACCAAACTTCCCTCTACAGGTGATGAGATTGAGGTCCAGAGAGGGTCTGTGAGCCGCCGGAGGTCATATAGAGGATGCTGCCCACAGAAAGATTCTGCCATGGGCAGGGAAGCCCCACTCCCAGGTGCGGAAGCAGCCACAGGCTCCCAGGCAGCCCTTGCTGAGGGGTGGGGAGAGGAGCGCCTGAGGCTCCTCCGAAGTCGAGGGTCTTTGTCTGGTTTCCTCTCATAGGATCCCTGCCCTTCTACCTAAGGACTGATGAGGTTAGCTCTGAGCGATGCTCCAGTAGTGTGGGGTTTCCACAGGTATCCCCAGAATCTAAAAACAAGAAACAAAAATCTCATGACAAATAGCGGCTGTTGCAGTTATCATGACAGTTAGTGAAAAACTTAGTAATGATTTAGTGATTAACACAGGGTGGACTGTGAGAGGGTGGAAGCCACCTGCGCCATGTTTTGGAGGGGCAGTGCTGTCATTTTGAGTTGGCCCTGGTCATGCAAGGACAGGATGAAGCCAGGCCAAGGTCCCCCATGTCACAATCAGAGTCCAGGTGCTGCCCTGCCTGGAGCTGCCCTTCCCTGGTGCTGCCCACCTGAAGGCCATGGGACTCTCATCCTACTGTAGGGACGCCCATGCTGTGGCTCCCGGGAGCCCCAACAGGGCGACCGGCAATTTCCTCGGGTGGCCAGGGGACTGACCCGCATGCAGTGATGCTGTGGCCTGGGGCTGAGACGCTAGAGTCACAGAGAAGCCAGTTCACCAACTTTATCAACCTCATTATTGCAATTCTTGTTTTATTCCTGCCCCCACTGGAAAGTGGACTTACGTTCTGTCATCTGCCATGCCATGAGCTGGGGTGCCTGGAAAGTCAGCTCAGGGCCTGGCTCAGGCTGGACCCTGACCAGGCGTCCAGTACTGACTCCGGGACACAGCTCTGCTAGAAGTGAGAAGCAGCATCTCCCACTGACCCCTTCGTTTTGTTCTGTATCTTAGTGTAAGGCATCCCATTTAGGGGAACGTGGTTTCCTGAGCTATTTGGACTGAATCGAAGCACCGTTGGGCTCTTGCCTCCTGTGGTCAGGGCCTCACCTGGGATGGGACACCAACCAAAGCTGCTCTGTGCCCTGGCTGGGCCTCAGCCTCTCGGAGGCAGATAAAGCATGGATCTCCCTGCAGAGTGATGCCCATGTGCCCATGCCCGGCAGCCAGGGTGGCCCTGGCAGCACCCTGAAGCTCACTCATGGTCCAGGAGCCCATGGGCCCATGCCCGGCAGCCAGGGTGGCCCTGGCAGCACCCTGAAGCTCACTCATGGTCCAGGAGAAGAGCTCTGCTTGGTTTCTGCCTGGTTGACTCCCCGACACTTCCGTCTGCCCCCTGCTCAAGCCACCATGCATGAAGGATGCTCTCCAGCTACAGAGAGATGAACCCAGCTGTGCGTGGAGGCTTTTCAATTCTAATAGAGGAACCAAGAAATGTCCCCTTTGAAAGGAGAAGTGTGTCACTGCCATGGGCTCTAGACACATGTACCCCACCTCTGTCTCCAGTTGAGTGCCCATTCTCTGGAAATCCACAAACATTCCAAGAGCTAGACTTCTCCTGAATCATCTCAAATTCTTCGAACTTCACTGGTCTAGGGAAGGATGTGAGGAGGTGACAGAGGGGCGGGGCAAGACCCCCAAAGAGGTTAAATAGGTCACTGCCACCCTCGACTCTCAGCAGGGTGTCTCCCTGAGCAGAGGGACCTGCACACAGAGACTCCCTCCTGGGCTCCTGGCACCATGGCCCCACTGAAGATGCTGGCCCTGGTCACCCTCCTCCTGGGGGCTTCTCTGCAGCACATCCACGCAGGTGAGAGCAGGGGACAGGTGGCCAGGGGCAGGCACCGGGAGGACAGGGGTTGGGGGCATGAAGACCACCACAGCAATACACACGTTTGTGTATTATTTACACCCCACCTACTCCCACAAAAGACGTGAGAAGCCCACAGCACTAGGATTTTGAGGGAAACAAGCAGAGAAAAATGTTGATGATGACGATGCCCCAGCTCTTGCGGGTGGGCTTGGTGAGGACCAAGGCGAGCACATCTTGGGCTGCAATGGCCGTGAGGTGGGGGCTGTGGCTGTAGTTGTGCAATGGAAAATGAACAATTCTCAAAATTATTTATTAGCTTCTGTTTTATTAACAGGTTTTATGCACAATGAGGGAATCAGCATAAAGATAGGAGAATTGTTTCCAAGAGCATGTAAAAAAGGATTCTTTTTTTTTTTTTTTTTTTTTTTTTTGAGATGGAGTCTTGCGCTGTCGCCCAGGCTGGAGTGCAATGGTGTGATCTTGGCTCACTGCAACCTCTGCCTCCCGGATTCAAGCGATTCTCCTGCCTCAGCCTCCCGAGTAGCTGGGAATATAGGTGCCCGGCCACCACGCCACCAATGGGTTTTCACCATGTTGGTCAGGCTGGTCTCGAACTCCTGACCTCAGGCCATCCACCCGCCTTGGCCTCCCAAAGTGCTGGGATTACAGGCATGAGCCACGGCGCCCAGACTGAAAAAAGAGATTCTTATATTAGGTTGGGAAAGGAAAAATGAAATAAGGTTGCCAGGTATAGACATACAGGGACGCGCACAGATGCACAGAGACACACACGTAGGCACTCACAGGACACACAGAATCCCCCACAGACACACAAAACATGCACACCCACAAACACACGGGACCCCACAACATACACAGAAGCCTCACACACACCTGTGTATGGTAACACACAGACACACACACATACACATAGGCAGTGATACACATGCAGTCATCACACACAGATGCACACATGGACACGCACATGCAGATCTTCCACGAACACCCCCCAGAGGTCCCCGCAACACACACGCAGACACTCACAGACACCCCTGCCCCGCTCCTCTCCCTGCAGCTCGAGGGACCAATGTGGGCCGGGAGTGCTGCCTGGAGTACTTCAAGGGAGCCATTCCCCTTAGAAAGCTGAAGACGTGGTACCAGACATCTGAGGACTGCTCCAGGGATGCCATCGTGTAAGTCCCCCTGGCTCCACCCCTGCTCCTCAGGGCCAAGCATGGGGACAAGTGCACCCTGGAGCTCCCAGGACGGCCAATGGGGAGCAGGGAAGAGACAGCGGGGCCTTCCTCCCCAACCCCTGCAGGCTCCCCACACTGTGGGACCCAAAAGGGCCGCAGGCCATGAGGTCCAACCTATTCCTTGATTTGTGGTGAAATTGAGGCCCCGGGAGCAATGAACACCCCCAGGTCACACAGCTGGTCAGGGGCAATGTGGTCACCTCCCCCAGCCTGGGCCTGAGCCCTGCCCGCAGTCTCCACGTCCCAGGCTCTAGACTGTCTGGGGGCATGGGCAGGCTGAGGGGTGGGCACAAGTTCCTGCAGCCCTGGCTCCCTGGGAGGGTCGAGATTACTCGGGACAGAGCCTGAAGTCCCAGATCTGCCACCAATGCCCTGTGTGACAGCAGCAACTTCCTGCCCCTCTTGGAGCCTTGGAATCCTGGTCAGCACAGGGCGGGCCGTCCCAGGGACTCTGGGGGCCCTTCCCCCCCTGCCACTCCTGGTAACGTCCTCCTTCTGTGTAGTTTTGTAACTGTGCAGGGCAGGGCCATCTGTTCGGACCCCAACAACAAGAGAGTGAAGAATGCAGTTAAATACCTGCAAAGCCTTGAGAGGTCTTGAAGCCTCCTCACCCCAGACTCCTGACTGTCTCCCGGGACTACCTGGGACCTCCACCGTTGGTGTTCACCGCCCCCACCCTGAGCGCCTGGGTCCAGGGGAGGCCTTCCAGGGACGAAGAAGAGCCACAGTGAGGGAGATCCCATCCCCTTGTCTGAACTGGAGCCATGGGCACAAAGGGCCCAGATTAAAGTCTTTATCCTCAGTCTGTGTCAGCGTGTCTGTCCCCACAGCGCAAGATGCGCTTCCACTCCGGCCTGTCACTCTGGGAGGGTTCTCAGAGAACCTCTGGTCCTGCCCTGTGCAGGTCGGAAAGGGAAACTGAGGCTGAGAAGGGCACGTGGCTTCCGCAGACCACGCACCAGTGAGGGGAGGCCCTGGTGAGAGGCCCGGGCAGGGGCGGGGTTGGCGGGGTCCTGGGAGGCGGCCGCTGGATTCTCTCCCTACCCACCCCAAGGTCTCCCGGTTTCCCCCCAGCCCAGCTCCTGTTCTTGCCCCACGTGGAGCTGAGGACAAACTTCCCCGAGGTGCTGGAGTCAATTTCACAGACTGGCCAGGACCCTGCCGCAGGCCACAGCTCTGCCCAGTGCTGGGGAGCCCCCTGGCCAAGGGTGGGGGAAGCTTGTAGCCCTGTCCTTGCCTTCCCCTGCACTCACTGCAGTCCAGCTGGCCCGGCTCCTCCTGGCCCTGGCTCCCTCTCCCCGCTCAAACTCCAGACCCCAGCTCCAGGGCGAGGGGGCTCTGTGGGTCCTGGGCCCTCTGCCTGCGGCTGACTTCCTAGCCCACTCCAGGCTCAGGCAGGCGGGCGCCACGCGGCCCTGTGGTTCCTCCTGACTGAAGTGTGATCCCCACCCGGCCCTGGCTGCGCCCAGCCTGCCGGAAGCCGGCCCAGCACAACCGCCCACCGACTCGCTCCCCCAGCTCTTAGGGACTGCCCTGAAGCCGACCCCTGCTCCGCGTGGTTCTCTCATTGTGTGTGTGTGTGTGTGTGTGTGTGTGTGTGTGTGCGTGCGCGTGTGTGGCAGTCCCAGCTCCTCCATTAGGTTGAGAGCTCCGTGAGCCACTCCGGGGACCCCACACCCCTGTGCTAAAAAAGATGGGGACTAGAGGCTCAGGACACCCCACCCCCAGACCCCTCTGCCCATGCCCAGCTAAGGGCTGAGCACAGAGGAGTCGGGGCCTAAGCCTTCTAGTTCTCTCTCACTCTCCCAACCAGCGATGGGGCCGTGGCTTCTCTCTGAACACAGTTTGGCGGCAGGGGCGCGGGTCCTTCTCTTCCGAGGACCTTGTGGCGGGCATTGTTTGGTGGGGCTGCGGTTAGAAGGGCAATTTCCAGGCCCGGCTGTTGCCTCCTGCTGCTCCCTTGTGGCCAGTCAGCTCATTGCAGGGCAGATGATAGAACCCAAGTTTACTTTCCAGTACGGGCACAGCGATAACGAGGTTGATAAAACCAGTGAACTGGCTTGCCTGTGACTCTAGGGTCTCTTCAGCCGCAAGTGGGCTCATCTCCTGTCCTGATGCCGAGGAGGATCACTTGAACAACTGCCTAAGACCCAGAGTCCTGGGGATGGCCCAGTCTGAGTTCTTCATGGAAAATTGTCCTCTGAATCCACCGGGAGGAGGAAGGATGATCTAAAAAGGGAGGGAGGCAAGGAGAAGCTCCTAAGACAGCAAAGGCCAGAGACAGCCGGGGTCTGGACCCCTGCACCCTGCAGGCGAGAGCTGGAAGGACTCTCAGAGTGCAATGGCTCCATCTCAGCTCACTGCAACCTCCGCCTCCCAGGTTCAAGCGATTCTCCTGCTTCAGCCTCCTAAGTAGCTGGGATTACAGGCGCCCGCCACCACACCCGGCTAATTTTTTTGTATTTTTAGTAGAGACGGGGTTTCACCATGTCGGTCAGGCTGGTCTTGAACTCTTGGCCTTATGTGATCCACTCGCCTTGGCCTCCCAAAGTGCTGAGATTACAGGCATGAGCCACCGCGCCTGGCCTCCAGCAAACTTCGTTTAAAAAAGCAAGACCTTTTTTGTTTTTTCCCTACTGAAATCCTACTCAGAAGCCCATATTGTAAGCTTAGGTAAGTAGAGCTGCCGTGGAGGCCTGTGAGGAGGTGGGGAGTTGCCAGAGGGTCCCTGAAAGTGAGATAGGGTGGGGCATTGCATAAAGGCAGGGAAGAGGTGGATCCAGGACTGGCAACAAAACGCAGGATTCAGAATCCAAGTATTCACGAGCAGCATCCGGTGCAAGCTGGGGGATGGTGAGATGCAAGAGATAGGACAACTGCCATGTGACCTTAGGGCATTTTAAGGAGGTGTGACCTGGAGACTGCTGTGATTGGAAAGACTGCTGGGAGGGAAAAAGAGGAATGGGCAGGTTCGGGGTGAAAAGTGAGGAGAAGCGCCAGACTTATGTTGTTTCTTTCACCTGGTAGGTGCCTCCCCTCCTCCCCCACCCCACCCCTGCTTTTTTTTTTTTTTTTTTTTTTTTTTTTTTTCAGATGGAGTCTGGCTCTGTGACCCAGGCTGGAGTGCAGTGGTGCGATCTGGCTCACTGCAACCTCTGTCTCCCGGGTTCAAGCGATTCTCATGCCTCAGCTTCCTGAGTAGCTGGGATTATAGGTGTGCACCACCACACCTGGCTGATTTTTGTATTTTTAGAAGAGATGGGGTTTTACCATGTTGGCCAGGCTGGTCTCGAACTCCCGAGCTCAAGTGATCCGCCCACCTCGGCCTCCCAAAGTGCTGGGATTACAGGCGTGAGCCACTATTCTGAAATCCAGTTTCTCTTCAACGCTCAACTCAGTGCTGCCTCTGCCACAGCCAGCCTACTCAACCTCAGCTGTGTGTCCTCCACCTGCACCCAACGCTCACCTTAGTCTAATCCTGACCACACTCTACCCCTTGTAATTGGAGCTGCTTGGGTGATTTACCCAATAAACTCACTGAGCAGGTATTTGGGTCAGGAAACAGTACCAGACTCATTTATGAGGAGGGAAAAAAGCTTTGTGCACAGTGTATATTTGATTTATACATTTTCATCAGTGCTGCTCAGGTGAATTCCACAAGGGGCACTAGTGGGGAAAGAGAAATTTCCTGGGGAGCCCTAATAACCCGGCTTGAAGCATATTGCATCTCCAAACGTGGAAATTAGAATTGGGTTGTTTTCCAGTGGCCCACCAGAGGGCACTCTGCTCTTAGGAGGAAGTTCTGAGGCTGATGCGCCAGGGGCCCTGACCCCACCAGCCAGACTCCGGCCCCATCGCTGTCCCCAGGGGCTGGGATCAGCCACATCTGGTTGTAGCTGCACTAGGCCTTGGGGCAGGGGTGTCTGTAGCTGGCCGGCTCTCCTCTTGTGGGAACAGAAGCAAAGAAACCGCCAATTACACTGTCTGGGGTTTGCTGGATGAAGAGGAAGAAGGAAGAAACCCTGCTGGGACTAGCAGGGCCACTAACTCCAGACGCAACCTGGGCAGTGCCAAGAGCTGTGGGCTGGGGTGTTTCACTGTGTTTTCTTAGAGACTGTATTTGGTCTATTTGGCATCCATTTATCACAGGGCCAAATCACAGGGCCAAAAGCATTTATACCTCCCCTGCAAGCTGGTTTTTGCAAGTGTTTGAAAGTAATAATAGTTACAAACCCTCCAACCAATCCCAATCACAGGCCCCCCAACCATCTCTATTTAACTCTCACACCAAGCCAGTATTTCCCCTGCCCTAAATCACCCAGAGCCAGGTAGAGACAACTAGGGACGGCCCCTAAGCCCAAGGCCCCCTGGAATTATTCCAACTAGCCAGACCCGGGCTGCTTCCCCTGGCCTGCCTTGCACTTCGGGTGGAAACCCCACAAAAGGCTGTGGCCTGTGCTGTTCTGATCCTTCCTTTCAGCCTCCTGACCAAACTTGGTGCTCCCCCTGTGGCCCCGTGTGTGGTCCTGCGTGTGTGCCATGCCCTGTTCTCCTGGGAGATGCAAGTGATGAATTCTTTCAGTGTCCTTGGTCGCTCTGTGTTGTCACTCAGTCACCTCCATCAATTCAAATCCTGGGGGTACATTTTAAATTTTTTAAATTGATGCATAGTAATTGTACATATTTATGGGATACATATGATACTGTGACACAAGCATACAATGCATAGTGATCAGATCAAGGTAATCAGGATATCCATCACCTCGAACATTTATCATTTCACTGTGTTGGGAACGTTTCAAATCTTCTCTTCTAGCTATTTTGAAATATACAATAGGCTGGGCATAGTGGCTCACACCTGTAATCCCAGCACTCTGGGAGGCCAAGGTGGGAGGATCACTTGAGCCCAGGAGTCTGAGACCAGTCTGGGCAACATAGTGAGACTCAGTCTTTACGAAATGCACAAATTAGCCAGGCATGGTAGCATGCGCCTGTGCTGCCAGCTACTCAGGAGGCTGAGGTGGGAGGATCACTTGAGCACAGCAGGTCAAGGCTGCAGTGAACTGTGATGGTGCCACTGCACTCCAGCCGGGGTTACAGAGGGAGACCCTGTCTCAAAAAGAAAAAAAAGGCTGGGCATGGTGGCTCACGCCTGTAATCCTAGCACTTTGGGAGGCCAAAGTAGGTAGATCACCTGAGGTCAGGAGTTCTAGACCAGCTTGGCCAACATGATGAAACCCCATCTTTACTAAAAATACAAAAAAATTAGCTGGATGTGGTGGCTGGCACCTGTAATCCTAGCTACTCGGGAGGCTGAGGCAGGAGAATCGCTTGAACCCGGGAGAGGTTGCAGTGAGCCAAGATTGCACCATTGCACTCCAGCCTGGGCGATAAGAGTGAAACTCCATCTCAAAGAAAGAAAGAAAGAAAGAAAAAGAAAGGAAGGAAGGAAGGAAGGAAGAAAAGAAAGAAAGAAAAAAGAAATACACAATAAATTGTTTACTATAGTCACCCTACTGTGCAATCGAACACTGGAAATTATTCCTTCTATCCAGCTGTTTGTTTGTACCCATTAACCAATCTCTCCCCATCACCCCTCTCCCCTAAATAGAACTACCATATGATCCAGCAATCCTACTACTGGGTATTTATCCAAAGGAAAGGAAATCAATATATCAAAGGGATACCTGCACCCCCATGTTTATTGCAGCACTATTCACAATAGCCAAAATATGAAATCAACCCGTGTCCATCAATGGAGTAATAAATAAATAAATTTGGTACATGTACACAACAGAGTACGATTCAGCCATAAAAAAAGAAGGAAATCCTGTCATTTGCAGCAAAATGGATGGACAGTCATTATGTTAAGTGAAATAAGCCAGGCACAGAAAGACAAATATCTCATGTTCTCACTCATATGTGGGAGCTAAAAAAAGTTTATCTTCGAAAGTACATTTTAACACAAAGGGTCAGGGACCTGTTTGGAGTCTCTGCTTTGCCACTGACTGGCCGTCGGACCTGGACACATGCGCCTCACCTGCCTGAGCCTCACCTGCCTGAGCCTATTTCTCCATGAAGCAATGGAACTGGACCTTCTCTCACCTGTTTGGGGATGTGCCAATATGGCTACTCCTCTACCTCTCACATCGCCCTTAGCGGACCACAGTCTTAGAAAACCTGCCGTTTCTGGTCGGACGCAGTGGCTCACAATCATGAGGTCAAGCGATCGAGACCAGTGTGACCAACATGGTGAAACCCCGTCTCTACTAAAAATACAAAAATTAGCCAGGCATGGTGGCGCGTGCCTGTAATCCCAGCTACTCGGGAGGCTGAGGCAGGAGAATCACTTGAACTCGGGAGGCAGAGGTTGCAGTGAGCCGAGATCACGCCATTGCACTCCAGCCTGGGTGACAGAGTGAGAGTGAGACTCTGTCTCAAAAAAAAAAAAAAGAAAAAGAAAAGAAAAGAAAGAAAAGAAAACCTGCCATTTCCTCATAATTGAACTGCCATCACCTGGATATTCCCTGTGCCCTTCTCCAAAGCCAGCATGGCAACCACGGGGGTGAAATACTCAGACGAGCAAAGGGATCAGGGCTTTAAGAAGCCAGCCTTCAGCCAAGCATGGTGGCTCACACCTGTAATCCCAGCACTTTGAGGGGCCGAGGCAGGCGGATCACTTGAGGTCAGGAGTTCAAGACCAGCCTGGCCAACAGGGTGAAACTCTGACAGTACTAAAAATACAAAAATTAGCTGGGCATGGTGGTGCATGCCTGTAATCCCAGCTACTTGGGAGGCCGAGGCAGGGGGATTGCTTGAACCTGGGAGGTAGAGGCTGCAGTGAGCCCAGATCAGTCCACTGCACTCCAGCCTGGGCAACAGAGTGAGACTCTGTCTCAAAACAAACCAACCAACCAACCCTGACCAGTACTCCTCAAAATGATCAAGCTCATCCAAAACAAGGAAAGTCTGAGAAACTGTCACAGCCAAAAATCAGCTTTCAAAGGACTTGTTAAGTCCTTGCACATACATGTTCATGGTGGGATATTTACTACAGCACAAAGCTGGAAACAGCCCAAGGCCTATCAACAGCTGAATGGATAAACAAAAGTGGTCTAACCATATAAGGAAGATTTTTCTGCATGGATACGCCCTACGATATGGGTGAAGCTCGAAACACTCTGTTAAGCTAAAGAAGCCAAACGCAGAAGGTCACACAGTGTATAATTTCATTCATATGAAATGTCAGAAGTAACTCCATGGAGTCAGAACGCCCACTGGTGGTGACCAGAGATGGTGGGAGAGGAAGACCGGAAGGGACTGCTTACTGGGGATGGGGTTTCCTTTCAGGGCAATGAAAACATTTTGGAACTAGATAGAGGTGGTGGTTGCACCACACTGTGAATGTACCAAATGCTGCTGAATTGTTTATTTTAAATCGTTCATTTTATGTTATGTGAATTTCATAAAAAAGACATATTCAATATTCACTTTTCTGTAGAGTAGCAGGCTTGGATGAGACATATATCAGCTCAGGACAAAGGAGTCCTCTGGGAGGACAGCGAAGGGATTTTGCCACTGCTGTATCACTTGTGTACGAAAAAAAGGAGTGATCAGAATCACACACAGCAAAGCTAGTTGTCTATTGGAAATTCTCTGTATTTGAAATCTTTCATGATTTAAGAGAAAAAATGTTTAAGTAATAATAGAAAATCAAAAAGGAAGGAAGGAAGGAGGAAAGGAAGGAAGGGAGGGAGGGAGGAAGGAAGGGAGGGAGGGAGGGAGGAAGGAGGAAAGGGAGGGAGGGAGGGGAAGGGATGGAGAGAGGAAGGAAGGAAGGGAAGGAAGGAAAAGGAAGAAAGGGGAAGGAAGGGAAGAGGAGAAGGAAGGAAGGATGGATGGTGGGAGGGAAGGGAGGGAGGGAGGGGGAGGAAGGGAGGGAGGGGAAGCAATGAAGGAGGGAGGGAGGGAAGGAGGGGAAGGAAGGAAGAGAGGGAAGGAGTGAGGGAGGGGAAGGGAGGGAGGGAAGGAGGGGAAGGAAGGAAGAGAGGGAAGGAGTGAGGGAGGGGAAGGAAGGGAGGAAAGAAGGAAGGAAAGAAAGGAGCATTCTAACCCAGCTGAGTCTGAACGCAGTCTCCAGATCAGCACAGAGGTTTGCAGAGGTGAAAGCCTCATGCTGGATGGTGGGCCACGGGTAACCAATGACCAGACCACCAGCTTGACCACCAGGAGTGACCACTGAAGGTGAGATCTGAAGTCACTGAGGGCTGAGTGGGGGCTTCTGTCCCTGCTTTCCCCGAGAGGGGTGAAGTAAGAGCCACCCAAGAGCTGCCCCATCCCCACCCCTACTTAGCACAAAGCTATTTTATACATTTGTGTAATTTGTAGCAAAAATTTTGGTCACAAACAGTATTCACCTGCTCTGTGACAACCTTCTCCCTCTGTTACTATTATTCTGAGGCAGCTTTATATATATAGATGCCGTACTAGTTCCACTTTAAAAATTTTGCATGAGATGATAACGGGGTCAAGTGTTCCACAGAGGTTCGTGTCGGGGAGAAGCAGGACTTTGTCCTGGGCTAGCAGTATTCTTCTTAAGACCCAGGGTTTCATGTGAGAGGTTTTCAGGTTTTTTCAATGAAGTTTCTTAGAAATACAAATCCACTGGTCGGGCGTGGTGGCTCACGCCTGTTAATCCCAGCACTTTGGGAGGCTGAGGCGAGTGGATCACCTGAGGTCAGGAGTTCAAGACCAGCCTGGCTAACATGGTGAAACCCCGTCTCTACTAAAAAATACAAAAAATTAGCCGGGCGCGGTGGCGGGCGCCTGTAGTCCCAGCTACTCGGGAGGCTGAGGCAGGAGAATGGCGTGAACCCGGGAAGCGGAGCTTGCAGTGAGCCGAGATTGCGCCACTGCAGTCCGCAGTCCGACCTGGGCGACAGAGCGAGACTCTGTCTCAAAAAAAAAAAAAAAAAAAAAAAAGAAGAAGAAATACAAATCCATCATGTATATAGCAGGTATACAAACACATAAAAATAAACACTTGTATACCCACCGTCCAGCCTAAAGAAATAGAACTTTCCTGCTGATGAAGTCCTGCCTCTTTCTCCCGTCTCCCTTTGGAGCCAACTGTGGTCCTGAATTATATCATTCCCCTTGAGCTCTTTATTAGTTTTGTCACACACATACATGTGTGTATACATCATGTATATGCACATATGTATGTGTATATCCTTAATGACAGGCTGATGCATCTGGCATGTTTTTGAACTTTATGTAAATGAAATATTTCTCACACACACACACACACACACACACTTCTGTGACTTGCTTTTGTGGCTTCTGTTGCTTCGTGATTCTTCCATGTTGAAGTGCACAGCTATAGCTCATCACTGCTGTGCAGTGTTCCACTGCTTGGACGCACAGCTCATTCATTCACGCTCTTGTTAATGGACATTTGGATTGTCTCTTAGAAGTACTGCTGCTTTGAATACTTGTCTCCTGGTGCATGGGCCAAAGAATTTCTCTAGGGCAGTGGTTCTCAATCCTGGCTGCACTCTACAATGACCTGGGAGAGCTTTGCAAAAATGCTGATGCCCTGGGCCCTACTCCAAGGGATTCTGACTGAATTGGGTTTTGGAGAGGAAATCCAGGAATAGGCTTTTGTTTTGTTTTGTTTTGGTTTATTTTTGGAAGCTATCCAGGTGATTCTAATATGCAGCCAGTGTTCAAAGTGACATGAGGGTGACATTGCCCAAAGTATCCCTACCAACAGGGAGTTCTCACCCGGCCACATTTTCACCAATACTTGGTAAGGTTTCTGTTTAGCCTTCTCCCTGCCACAAGGACAGGCAGCTGGGCTGTTCACAGTCTCTCTTCTCCAGTGCAGAGACCAGGGTGCTTCCAGCATGCCAGGCTCCGCTGTGGGGTTCTCCCTTCAGCCCCACTGCCTGCCTGTGCCCTTGGACCCCACTGTTACACACGAGGGCCCATTCTGCAGCTCAGGGGTATCTTCATCTGGAGCAGGTTTGCACCCTCATCTGCTCTCCCTTCTCTCCTGTCCACACTCTGGCTCCAAAGCCTCTGCTCTCATCTCCTTCCAAGTATTTTGTGGTTCTGTTTTGGCTGCCTCCTAACCCCAAGGAAGGTAATGGTTTGTCTCTGCTGTCCCCTCCATTTACTGATTTTGAATGATTTCGGAAGGGGGAAGTCCCAAATGTACACTGCCAAGTTCTAAGCTAGAGACTTTAGAAAACTAAAAAAGAAGAAATATTACACCCCCAGCCCCATCTCGGTCCACATTGGGCTGACTCAGAACATCCAAGGACATCAGGCCTCAGTACTTTTTTTTTTTTTTGAGATGGAGTTTCACTCTTGTCACCCAGGCTGGAGGGCAATGGCACCATCTTGCCTTACTGCAACCTCCGCCTCCTGGGTTCAAGCGATTCAACTGCCTCAGCCTCCAAAGTAGCTGGGATTACAGGCATGCACCACCACACCTGGCTAATTTTTGTATTTTTAGTAGAGGTGGGGTTTCACCATGTTGGCCAGGCTGGTCTCGAACTCCTGACTTCAAGTGATCCACCTGCCTCGGCCTTCCAAAGTGCTGGGATTACAGGTGTGAGCCACTGTGCCGGGCCAGGCCTCAGTACTTTATTTTTTTGAGACGGAGTCTCGCTGTGTCTCCCAGGCTGGAGTGCAGTGGTGTGATCTCGGCTCACTGCCAGCTCTGCCTCCCAGGTCCAAGCGATTCTCCTGCCTCAGCCTCCCGAGTAGCTGGGACTACAAGGCACCCACCACCACACCCGGCTAATTTTTTGTATTTTTAGTAGAGATGGGGTTTCACTGTGTTAGCCAGGAGGGTCTCAATCTCCTGACCTCATGATCTGCCCACCTCAGCCTCCCAAAGTGCTGGGATTACAGGCGTGAGCCACCACACCCGGCCAGGCCTCAGTACTTTTAAGAGGTGCTCAGGTGAATGATGGCAGCAGGTTACCCTCCCAGTCTCACCCTTTCCTCAGATGTAAGATGAGGTTGCATTCAGTGATTATAAGAGCCCATGTTGGCTCCAATACTGTGAGCTTGCTGAACGCTGAAACCTCTAGCCTGTCTGGCTGTTGCCTCACTGGGTGCAGGTGTAGGTGCAGGTGTGTCTGAGCCCCCGGCCCAGGTGTGTCCTGCTGATTGGCAAGGACTCTTCCCTCACTCTGGGCCCCAGACTCCGAGCTAGCTGGCTTGCCCCGGACCCTGTGGAGTGACACGGCAACTGCCGGCATAAAATCATTAACTATGCCAACTGCAGCAGACAGGAGATGGCAGTATCCTTTTTGCCAGCAACAGCTGGGACTCAGAGCAAGAATCGGCGAGGGCTTGTGGCATTTGCTAGGCCTGTCCAGGAAGCTCTGGCTCAGGATCTCTTGTCCTCAACATGGAGGTTGAGATTTTTGTCCTTCATATGGGCAAGTGCAGCAGAAGCAACCAACAGTGGCCCTGCAGCTTAATAATTATGTTACTATCGGACCAGGCAGTGGCTCACACCTATAATCCCAGCACTTTGGGAGGCCGAGGCAGGTGAATCACAAGGTCAGGAGTTTGAGACCAGCCTGGCTAACATGGTAAAACCCCGTCTCTATTAAAAATACAAAAAATTAGCTGGGCGTGGTGGTACATGCCTGTAGTCCCAGCTACTCGGGAGGCTGAGGCAGGAGAATCGCTTGAACCTGGGAGGCAGAGCTTGCAGTGAACCGAGATCACACCACTGCACTCCAGCCTGGGTGAGAGAGCGAGACTCCATCTCAAAATAATAATAATAAATAATAATTTTGTTACTGTCAAACCATTCTGGGGCTGAATTAGTTTCCTACTGCTGTGTAACCAACGACCTCACATTTAGCTGCTTAAAACACCCATTTCTTATCACAAGTTCTGTGGGCCAGGAGTCCTGGCACAGAAGACCGGGGCCTCTACTCAGGATCTTACAAGGTGCCGGCTAGGCTGCATTCTCAACTGGAACTTGGGGTCCTCTCCAAGCTAACCTGGTTGTTGGCAGAATGCGGTTCCTTGCAGCTGTGGACTAAGGTCCCCTTTTTCTCGACTGTCTGCCAGCATGTGAGGAGCCTGCACTCACAGTTCCTTGCCAATGGCCCTCTCCCTACTTGGCAACTGATATGGTTAGGCTTCGTGTCCCCACCCAAATCTCATCTTGAATTGTAATCCCCATAATCCCCACGTGTCAAGCGAGAGGGGTGGAGGTAACTGAATCATGAGGGCGGTTTCCCCCATGCTGTTCTGATGATAGTGAGTTCTCACAAGATCTGATGGTTTTATAAGGGGCTCTTCCTCCTTTGCTCAGCATGTCTCCTCCCTGCCACCTTGTGAAGGAGGTGTCTTGCTTCCCCTTCGCCTTCCGCCATGATTGTAAGTTGCCTGAGGCCTCCCCAGCCATGCAGAACTGTGAGTCAATTAAACCTCTTCCCTTTAAAAATTACCCAGTCTCGGGCAGTTCTTTATAGTAGTATGAAAACAGACTAATACAGCACTTACTTCTTCATGGCTAGCAAGAGAAATTCTTCTCTAGTTCTTTTAAAGGATCAACTGATTGGGTCAAGCCTACTCAGGATAATCTCCCTTTTAATTAACTTCAAGTCCATTAGGGACTTTAATTACATCTGCAAAATCCCTTCACTTTTGCCACAGAAGGTAACCTAATCACAGTAGGGATTATCCCATCACATTCACAGGTCCTGCTGAAACTCAAGGGGGTTATTACACAAGGGCATGAGTCACTAGGGGTCATCTTAGACCTGTGTATAAAAGGGGCTTTGGAGCCAAACTTCAATTAGCCAAACAAACAACTAAAATCCACCAGCAGGGACTAGGATAAGCAAAGCAAACTTGGAGAATCAAA
Organism: Homo sapiens; assembly: GCF_000001405.40. Classification (NCBI taxonomy): domain Eukaryota; kingdom Metazoa; phylum Chordata; class Mammalia; order Primates; family Hominidae; genus Homo; species Homo sapiens. The sequence goes on from NC_000016.10 coordinate 57,428,169, forward strand.
TCAAGTTTCAAGGACAGATATCAATGAAAACTTTTATTTACTGGTAAAATATAAAAATCCAGGTCTCTTAAATCCACACAATCTCTCCAAATATTTGGCAAGATTGATTCCAAGTCCATATGGGTGGATAACAAGAACAAAGGGGTCTCTGCTCAGAGAGACGTATTGTCGTTCAGAGTTCTGCCCTGCTTCCCTCTAAATGCTCACCAACCTGGACTCTTCTAAAGTGGGCAGACAAGCCCTATTCTAAGCGTAGGAATAGCCCCATTTGTGCGTGACACTAAGTTCCTCCAATGGTCCAAACTGAGCGTGGATGACTATCCAACATCACACACAAATGCACATCCCCTCTCTTTACAAGACATGCAGAATCTCAAGATATGTCAAGATATGCAGCAAGTTTAATACCTGAAGGTTAACATAAATGACAACAGGACACAGATGCAATGCTACAGTCAAATGTGGTTGGGGATGGAAGGGGGCAGAGGGACACTGGATATCATCACAGCAACCAGTGAGTGAGTCCTCTGGTGCCCTGAGGAGGTTGTGAGCCACTTGACTCGTGTCACAAAGAATGGAGTAAACTAACAACTCTGAAAGACAAGAGGGTGGCAGCATTGCTGAGATGAGACTCAAGGCAGGGGTCTGCAGCTCTGTCACAGAGTGTTAATGCTCAACGATGCCTGGGCTCAAGAGCGTTCTGGTCAGCATTTTAACATCAGAAGAAGGGCTTCTTCAGGACACACTCCCTTCTCTTAACATGAGGTGAAGAAACCCATCCCATTCTGAAACCAGGTCCCATAATACCTTGGTCTTTTGATACACAGCAGCACTACACACCACTGTGCCCCCCAGCCAGCTTCACTCTGTCTGCTAAGCACCCACTCTGCAAACAGATCTCAGAGTGAACAAATCCAGAGGAGGTGGGAGGAGCCACCATGGTGGGATGTGAGGGACAGGAGTTGGCTGGAGGAGCAGATGGGTCCCATGTCAGGAACCTCCTAGGCATCATGAAGATTGCTATCACTCAGAAGCACCTTTTCCCCAGGTTTGAAGGCTGGCATCCCAAGGTAGGGGCAGCTGGCACAGCGGAAGGCATCGCCCAGGTAGCACTGGAGAGAGAGAATGGGGAAGCCAAGGGTCAGCTTATCCCAGGCATACCAGCCAGAAGAAAGAAATGCCTAATTTCATAATGTGGCCACAGTGGCCTGAAGGAAATGGCTATGTTTGCAGGTCCAATTGAGACCAAAATACTAAGAGTTTTCAAGATTTCTGGTTTCGTGAAAAACTATAGTCATGAAAAGTTCCCTAGGAGGCCATAGTTCTTTTTTTTTTGTTTTTGAGATGGAGTCTCCCTCTGTCACCCAGGCTGGAGTGCAGTGGCGCGATCTCAGCTCACTGCAAGCTTCGCCTCCTGGGTTCCCGCCATTCTCCTGCCTCAGCCTCCCAAGTAGCTGGGACTACAGGCGCCCGCTACCATGCCCGGCAAATTTTTTTGTATTTTTAGTAGAGACGGGGTTTCACCATGTTAGCCAGGATGGTCTCGATCTCCTGACCTCGTGATCCGCCCTCCTTGGCCTCCCAAAGTGCTGGGATTACAGGCGTGAGCCACCGCACCCGGCCTTTTTTTTTTTTTGAGATGGAGTCTCCCTCTGTCACCCAGGCTGGAGTGCAGTGGTGCGATCTCAGCTCACTCCACCTCCCAGGTTCAAGTGATTCTCCCGCCTCAGCCTCTGGCATAGCTGGAATTACACACGTGAGCCACTGCGCCCGGCCATAGTTCTATATTCTATGCAGTTCAAAACACAACCAACTTTAGCTAACTGTCTAACCATCAGGTCCCACTCTGAAGTACAAAGAAATGGGCCAAAAATAAAAAGCAACAAGACCCTCCCTGACCAGCACAAGCACGCTAACCCACTCTCACTCTCAGGAGACAGCCTCTCTCCCCATTACTACCTACGTTCGTGTGCTCACGCATTCGTCTGTTACTAAAATATTTGAGGTGGAGCTTGTCTGTGTTTAGTTTAGAAGAAGGTCTAATCCCCCTGGGGGTTTGTGAATGCTGAGGAATGATCCTGATATTTACGTTTCCACAAGCTGACTTGGGTTGGGAGCTCATCTGTTCCCTTGACTTCTCTTTTTCCAGTTCTTCGGCAAGGCCACAGGTGCTGCGGGAAAATCAGTAACTAATGAACGAGAATTGTCACCACCCAGAAATCCCAAATCCTAACAGTGCCAAAATGTGCTTTAAGCCTTTTCTCTTCACACCAGTGTCATAACTCAGAAGCCTATAGGCCAGGCAGACAGCAGCAATATGAGAGGCTGCTGAGGGAGACAGAAGTGGGAGGAGGATGAGGGAAGTACCGTGTGTGCTCTGTCTACAGAGGGCAGCCACTACTCAAGCTTCAGCTGGTTATCATGCTGGGGAAAGTGGACCCAGATTGCCATATTTTCCAAATTCAAGAACAGAAGGGAAAAAAATCTGTGTTTTCACTTGAAATTTCCTGATTTGTAAATGCTGGCAGCTTTTACATTTAAAAAACACTGATGATTAACGCTGATGATGAACATCACTGATTAACTTTCTACAATCCTTCCCATCCATTTATAAAAACAAATGTGAAGACACCAAGGTCTCGCTCTGATGCCCATGCTGGAGTGCAGTGGCACAATAGTGGCTTACTGGTAGGGTTTTGAGGGAGAGTGAAATTAGATACATGGCACAATTACGGCTCACTGCAGCCTCGACCTCCCAGGCTCAAGTGATCCTCCTGCCTTTGCCTCCCAAGTAGCTGGGACCACAGGTACATACCACCATGCCTGGCTAATTTTTTTTTTTTTTTAATTATTTGCAGAGATGGTCTCCCTGTGTTGCCCAGCCTGGAAAATGTATGTTCTAAAAATAGTACAGCACCGCGATGTCTTCAGCATGAAGCCACTGGAGGCAGCATGGCAGGCTCCAGTCACCCCAGCACTCACCAGTTCTTACAGGCCTTCCTCTTTTTCCCTTCCCCACAAGAAGCAGCCCGCAGGGAAGCTGGATCTGGCTTCTTCAAATCTTCTGGATCCAGCAGCTCATCTGAGTCAATGAGATCCTGGAGAGTGTTCAAAGCAATGAGTGATACAGTCGTGGTCTCTGCTAATGAAAAGCTAAAGTGACTGCAGGCTTCGAGAGGAAACTTGGAGTCCAGGGTAAAGAAGGTGTCCACCCTGTCCTCCTTTTGGTTGATCATCATGTTCAACCTGACCACATGCTCAAGAGGCCAACGGTGAGTTAAACTACATCCACAGAAGATGCACTAGGATGCAAAGGAATTAGAAACAAATTTACATGAGAAAAAGCTGTATGACTGGCCAGCAATGTGTAGAGAATATACACATGTTGGGGGTTGGGGGCAGGAGTGGGGAGAAGGGAGGGAACAGGCAGAACAGAGAAAGAGAGAAGTGTTTATGAAGAGTCACGTGAAAAAGGGAATAAAATATCTTTTACATAATCCCAGATAAAAATCAAATAATTATATATACCTTTATGTAATTCTTTGTAAATGTGTAGACACTTAGTCTGTAAACCCTATGAGAGCATGAACCTCACTTATTTTGCTCACTACTCTAACTTCAATAGTAGAGGTGTAGAAATGAAGAACTTTATTACAGACATGGCCAAAGATAGAAAATAGTGCTTTTTAAAGCATGGAACAGTCAGCAACTTGCCCAAAGGTGCCAATAAAACTATTTAAGCTGACAAAATCTTTTCAGGTTTACACATGCCCACAAGAGTTTTCAACATATCGTATGAAGTGAGAACAAGAAATTATGTGGGGAAAAAGAGATGCTAAAAAATTTAAAATGCCACCAACATGGCCAAGCGCAGTGGCTCACACCTGTAATCCCAGCACTTTGGGAGGCCGAGGCGGGCAGATCACTTGAGGTCAGGAGTTTTGCGACCAGTCTGGCCAACATGGTGAAACCCCGTCTCTGCTAAAAACGCAAAAATTGGCCAGGTGTGGTGGCACATGCCTGTAATCATAGCTACTTGGGAGGCTGAAACATGAGAATCGCTTGAACCCGGGAGCAGAGATTGCAGTAAGCCGAGATTGTGCCATTGCACTCCAGCTTGGGCAAGAGAGCGAGACTGTCTCCAAAAAAAAAGCCACCAACATGGAGTTTCCTTCTAAATCAAAGATGTGACAGGCATAGTCACAAATCTGGGCTTTAAATACGTTCACACCTACAAGTCCAGAAAGGTCACTATAGCTGTTCACACCCAAACTGGGGCCTGAAAGAAAGCAATCAAGTGACAATGCTGCCAGCTCACCATGCTGTCGTCCTCCATATCGTTGGCTGAGAGGGTCCACAGCTTGGCAGCAGCAGGGTCCACAGCAGGTTTCACTGAGTCCAAGCAATAAAAGAAAAAACTCCATAAACACAGTCAGAAACTATTAATTACAAACATACATAAATGCTTCCTGCTGTGTAGAAGAGAACACACTGGCCTGGGAGGCAGAAGATGTGGGTTCACAGTCCAGCTCTACCCCTCTGAGAGGTCTGACCTTGGGCCAACCACTTGCTGATAGTTACAGAAGTCACCATTTGCTAAGCTCTTGCTTTGCACCAGGCACCATATTAAGCACTTATATACATTATCTAACTTAATTCTGCTGACAACCTTATGAGGTAACTATCTGTCATCCTACTTTTACCGCTGAGGAAACAGGTTTAGACACTTAGGCTGGTTCCACAGGCTGCAAAGCCTGTCTGATGCTTTTAACCTCCATTCCATATTGCTTCCTCCTCGATACCTTAGTTTCCATTCTATAACATGAAGTTAAATTGTACTTCCTATGTTACTGCAGGTGTTTTGAGGATTAAATGAGAAATGTGTCAAAACCTTCAAAAATAGCAGAGCTTTAGCCTCATGTAAACCTGCTACATACAAGAAAATAGGCTCTAGAGCTGCTGGTGGCAAGGTAACACCATCAGTGGCAGACAAACCTCACACTTCCTGGTTCTCTGTCTAGTCAGGAGAATGCAAGGAAGAGGCAGAGAGCTGAGGCTCGGATGCAGTGTGGGCAAATCCTCGCAGGCCCTTGGGGTAAGAGTACCCTCTAGTGATCATTGTCACAGCTGGATGCTCATACCTTCCACAAGGCCAACTGTTCTAAGCTATTCCTACCCATTCTGGAACCATGAATCGAAAGGTTAGATTCCAAAGGATTTCTTGAAGATTTAGGTTAGACAGTCAAAACCGTACAAGTGGGAATGTACCAGTAAATATCTGTTAATGTCTGCATACCTCACAGCTGGGTCAATTCAGGCATTTAAAAATAGGGATAGGAAGGATGAGGATGGAGCTGTGTGTGTGTGTGTGTGTGCGTGCGCGTGCGTGCACGCGTGTGCTTGTACACAATTTTCTAGTCAGAAGAAATATAGTTTTATAAGTGTCTTAGCATCCTCAAAGTAAGAACAGCTGATTTTCCTGGCATGGGGAAAAAAGCACATGAGAACAGGAACAGGGCACTCTCATACACCATTACCACTACACTGTGAGGTCTTCTGAGGAGAAACGTTAATTCTGGGACCTGGAAGGACCTCATTAATTAAACTGTGTGACTCAGTCCTGTAAAATTAGGAGGCCTCGGTATCTTCTGGTGCAGAAGAAGGAGCTGAACTAGATAATACCTATGTATTATTTCAGTTTTGGATCCTAATATGCCCATGATAATAGTACATTAAGTATTCTTCTTTGTGGAAATGGCAGAAATCAAAGGACTAATCCTCTAAAAATATCACCATCTCATTTATTGCTGGCTCAATTTCTAACATGTCCCTCTAAGCCCATTCAAACAGAAGAATGTCCCTAGGCCAGCCTTACCTGAAGGAGAAGACTTCTTGGTGATGGAAAGCTTAAGCTGCCTAGAAGAACCCACTTCAAAGTTTGGTTTTTTGCCTGTGATCTGAACAAACAGCAGGTTGTCACTTTCATGACCAAGGTGTTCTCGAACAGACTGTACTTCCTCAGGGGTTAGGGGCTCCCGCTGCAGCTAGAATTCAAGACATCAAAAGGATTAGTTCACCCTCCTCTGTAAAATGGTTTACTATGTCTACCTACACAGGAGTCAAAGACTCATTTCTGTGCATTAAGGATGTAACAGTGGATGGTAACAGATAACACTTTATGCCTCACATTCAGTTTCTCACTGATCAGAACCCTAGAGTATAACCTTTGTCTGCATGTTTACTTGGAGCCTACCCCTTGGAAAATGTAAAAGTACTTAAAAAACATTAGGGATGAGGCATATACTAGTTATTTGGGATGTAATACAATTATGAAAATGAACCAGATGTGGTCCTACTGTGTAACAGGAAAGAATGCCCACAATGAAGACAGCAGAAATTTATATCCCAAAAGAAAAAGGGGGAGGAAAATCCTTTCTATGTTCCTTGGGATAAAGTAGCAGAGAGTAAAGGTAGAAAAAAAGGGTCAGGGTGCCACCTCTATGTCCAATAATTATAGACTGGTTACATAAATCACAGTCCATCTATTGTATGGAATACTATTACATCATTAATATGAATGAAGGGAAATACACTGAAGTAGGTAAGTGTCTATGATATCTAAGGGTGGGAAAAAAGGTGATTGAACAATGTATACTTATGATCTTATTTACATTTTTAAAAAAGTATGTGCATGTAGATGCTTGTAAATACATAGGAAAAGGTCTGAACGGACATACAAAAAGGCATTGGTGGCTTCCTCTGGGGAGGGAAGTGTGAGCAAGAAGTGGGATGTCACTTTATATTCTGTATGCTTTGGTGTAAAGTGAATTTTTATGAGGAGTCTGATATAGTTTGGATATGTGTCCCCTCTAAATCTCATGTTGAACTGTAATCCCCAATGTTGGAGGTGGGGCCTGGTGAGAGGTGACTGGATCATGGGGGCAGATTTCTCATGAATGGTTTAGCACCATCTGAATTCTCATGAGATGTGGTGGTTGTAAAGTATGGCACCTTCCCCACCCCGACTCTTCCTCTCTTTCTTGATCCTGCTTTTGCCATGTGATGTGCCTGCTCCTGCTTCACCTTCTGCCACGAGTAAAAGTTCATTGAGGCCTCCCTAGAAGCCAAGCAGTTGCAGGCCCGTGCTTCCTGTACAGTCTGCAGAACAGTGAGCCAATTAAACCTCTTGTCTTTATAAATTATTCAGTCTTAGGTATTCCTTTATAGGAACAGAAGAATGGCCTAATACACATTCCTTATTTTAAAATCAAGCACAGAAAACCTTAAGCTAAAAGGAAAAATAAGAAAGGGTTGGCATAAAGAATCTAAGGCCTGGCATAAAGAATCTAAGGCCTGGCTCACGCCTGTAATACCAGCACTTTGGAAGGCCAAGGTGGGTAGATCACCTGAGGTCAGGAGTTAGAGAACGGCCTGGCCAACATAGCGAAACCCCATCTGTACTAAAAATACAAAAAATTAGCCAGGTGTGGTGGCGCACGCCTGTAATCCCAGCTACTCGGGAGGCTCAGGCAGGAGAATTGCTTGAACCCAGGAGGCGGATGATGCAGTAAGCAGAGATCGTGTCACTGCACTCCAGCCTGGGCAACAGAGCGAGACTGTCTCCAAAAACAAGAAAAAAAATTAAAAAACAAAGAATTTAAGGCCCTACATTATGTAAGAAATAACAGGCACAACAGCTATCATGCTGTAACATTTACCTCTCCCACATCCAAGAAAATTTTAAGATCAAAGAGTGTAGAAATATAAATACTTCTGCTTAATTTAAACATTTCCACTGAATTGTCAGAAAAGGAACTTTGCCCTCTAACCTATTCCAGCCTCCCACCAAAAATGTGAGGCTGAACTAGATGGCAGTGTTCACCCAGGCCTAGGATTCGGGTCTACTGAGAGGTGGGTGTTGGAAGCAGCAGAGCTGCTGCTCATGCCCCTCAGCTGTCACCACCACTAAACTAGTACCAAGGAGACAAGAACAAGCCCCAGCCCACATGGGCCAAGCTGAGTCTCTTTGAAGTTGGTTATTCTCAAAAGTTTTTTTTTGTTTTGTTTTGTTTTTTTTGAGACAGAGTCTCGCTCTGTCGCCCAGGCTGGAGGGCAGTGGCGTGATCTCGGCTCACTGCAAGCTCCGCCTCTCAGGTTGACGCCATTCTCCTGCCTCAGCCTCCTGAGTGGCTGGGACTACAGGCGTCTGCCACCAGGCCCGACTAATTTTTTTGTATTTTTAGTAGAGACGGGGTTTCACTGTGTTAGCCAGGATGGTCTCGATCTCCTGAGCTCGTGATCCACCCACCTCGGCCTCCCAAAGTGCTGGGATTACAGACGTGAGCCACCACACCCGGCCGATTCTCCCAAGTTTTGTCCTTTGAAGCATCATGTATCTTACATGCACAGCATTTCTTGTTTCCTAGTTCTAAGCAATACTGATTACCTCACCTGCAGGGCAGCAAAGAAAGTTGTCTACAAACGTACCTCTTTCACTTCCACAAGACCAGAAAGAGTCAGGGCTGAACACAGCTTAGATGCTGTCTTCACTTTGCTATTGTTATCTGCCAAAAGGAAAATCCCAATTAATAGCTTTATAGTTCAAAGTAGGAAAAATAATAAAGGCTCAATCCTATATGGGTTCGCAGGCATTCAAACAATAATAACCAGGTGGGCGTGGTGGCTCATGTCTGTAATCCCAGCACTTTGGGAGGCTGAGGTGGACAGATCACTTGGGGCCAGGAGTTCAAGACCAATCTGGGGCCAACATAGCAAAATCCCGTCTCTACTAAAAATACACACAAAAAAAATAGCCAGGCGTGGTGGCACACGCCTGTAATCCCACCTACTTGGGAAGCTAAGGCACGAGAATCGCTTGAACCTGGGAGGCGGAGGTTGCAGTGAGCCGAGATTGCACCACTGCACTCTTGCCTGCACAACAGAGTGAGACTTGATCTCAAAGAAAAAACAAAAAAAAAATAATAACCTATTCTGTTTAATGTACAGATGGTCCTTGACTTAATGATGGTTCTACCTATAATTTTTCAACTTTTATGATAGTATGAAAGTAATACTCATTCAGTAGAAACTGTATACTTCAGTTTTCAGTAAATTACATGAGATACTAAGCACTTTATTATAAACAGGCTTTGTGTTAGATGATTCTGCCCAACTGTAGGCTAACGCAAGTGTCCTAAGCGTGTTTAAGGTAGGCTAGGCTAACCTAAGCAATTGTGTTTAGTAGGTTAGATGAATTACATGCATTTTCATCTTAATAGTATTTATCAGGATGTAACTCCATTGTAAGATGAGGACAATTGTATATATATTTTAGTGATATTATTTTATTATTATTATTATTATTATTATTTTTGAGACAGGGTCTCACTTTGTCACCCAGGCTGGAGTGCGGTGGCATGATCTCAGCTCATTGCAGCCTCGACCTCCCAGGTTCAAGCAATCTTCCTGCCTCAGCCCCCACCAAGTAGCTGGGGTTATAGGTGTGCACTACCACACTGGGCTAATTTTTGTATTTTTTGTAGAGACGGGGTTTCGCCATGTTGCCCAGGCTGGTCTCGAACTCCTGGACTCAAGCAACCTGCCTGCCCCAGCCTCTCAAACTGCCGGGATTACAGGTGTGAGCCACTGTGCCTGGCCATAGCGATACTATTTTAATTTGACAAATCCTTTTTGTTGTTCGAAGTGTTTTTACCTAAGCTCTTAAATGTTATAATTCCATTATTATTGTTTTTTTATCACTCTCTGCTTCTTGAAACCCCTTCCAGAGGTTGTGAGATAATGACTATGAAAAGAGGCTTATGAACTGCAAAGTGCACAGAAACACAAGTATTCCTTCTGAATAGTTCCTTTTTTATCTCTGTATAGTTCTAAGACACTACATTTAGTCATGTAAGGTTTAAATTCCCAGCAAAGAATGCTGATTTATACTACACATAACACAAAGTTCTATTTCCAAATAAACAATGAACACCTTTATACATTTCAAAATACTTTCATTTCTATTATTCTATTTGATGAAATGGTTATGTTTTGACTGAAAGTCTAGTGAAAAATATTAAAAATCCAGACTTGAATCACTCTGACAGCTATACCACCGATCAAAAAAGTTTTTACTTCATGAACACTGTCATTAGTTTCACATGAATCAATAATTACCACATCATTCCCAGGGTTCGGCCACTATTTTTAAACTTTTAATTTTGAAATAACTATAGATTCACAGGAAGTTGGAAAAAACAAAAAAAAGTTCTGTATATTAAGGAGGTCTTCACTTCGTCCCTCCCCACAGTTAACATCTTACCCAATTATAGCATGATATGAAGACCGGGAAATTGATATTGATGGTCCACATAACTTTTTCAGATTTCATTTCTTTTATATGTACTCGTTTGGCAGAAGGGGGCTATATAGTTCTATGTAATTTTATTATATGTGTAGATTTGTGTAACCACCACGACATTCAGAACACAGAATTGTTCTATCACCACAGGAACCCTCATACTACCCCTTTATAGCTCCACCAACCCTTTCCTCCCACTTCTAACCTCTGGCAAACTCTGATCTCCACCGCCACAATTTTGTTATTTCGAGCATATGAATGGATTTGTACAGTACAGAGCCTTTTGAGATTGGCTTTTTTCACTCAGCTACTTCCCTTGATATCCATCCAAGCTGATGTACATATAGTTAGCTAGTTCATTTTTATTGCTGCATCACTTTCCATATTATGAACATATCAAAGTTTATTCACCTGCAAAAGGACCCATTTTTAGATGGCAGTTTCCTTCTATTTTATTACATAATGAGTCAGCCAAAGATTACAATTTCTCCAGATATGTTGCTTCAGATTTTAACAATAATTTATCCCCAAGGAAAAGGTTTTGCTACAGGAATACTGATCTCCCAATGATACCTCCTGCTCACGGAGATGCAGCACACATACTCTAAGACTCAACCCTGTCAAACATGTTTTCCAAGTGAAGATCTCCTTACCTACAGCTGTCTCTACTGGCTCCTTCAGAAAAAGACATCCACCAGGCCGAAGGATCCGGGCGATTTCAGCCAAAATCTCAGCACTGTGCAGAGTGGTGCTTCCTGGGACTAAACCTGACAAAATAATGTCAAAGCTGGATTCTTTGTGGGCAGCTGAAAAGAAGAGGACTCTAATTAGCAATCTCCTGAGCCTGGGATAATCTCCTGGTCCCTTCCAACCCCCAACAAAAGCTACAGACCTCACCCTGAGAGAATGGACACCACTCGATATCCATCCAAGAAGCTGGATGAATAGTAAGTGTTTTAAAAAAACATGGAATAGCTACCAAGAAAGAACATACTTATGGAAATCATCAACTACACTCCTAAGCTCTGCTGCAGGAAGTGAGGGACCCCAAACGGAGGGACCGGCTGAAGCCATGGCAAAAGTACACAAATTGTGAAGATTTCATGAACATTTATTAGTTCCCCAAATTAATACTTTTATAATTTCTTACGCCTGTCTTTACTGCAATCTCTGAATATAAATTGTGAAGATTTCATGGACATTTATCACTTCCTCAGTCAATACTCTTGTGATTTCCTATGCCTGTCTTTACTTTAATCTCTTAATCCCGTCATCTTCATAAGCTGAGGATGTATGTTGCCTCAGAACCCTGTGATGATTGCGTTAACTGCACAAATTGTTCATAAAGCATGTGCATTTAAACAATACGACATCTGCGCACCTTGAAAAAAGAACAGGATAACAGCGATGTTCAGGGAACAAGGGAGATAACCATCAGGTCTGACTGCCTGAGAGCCAGGCGGAACAGAGCCATATTTCTCTTCTTACAAAAGTGAATAGGAGAAATATCACTGAATTCTTTTTCTCAGCAAGGAACAGCCCTGAGAAAGAGAATGCGTTCCTAGGGGGAGGTCTCTAAAATGGCCACTCTGGGATGTCTGTCTTATATGGTTGCAGATAAGGGATGAAATAAGCCCTGGTCTCCCGTAGCACTCCCAGGCCTGTTAGGACGAGGAAATTCCCACCCAGTAAATTTTAGTCAGACCAGCTGTCTGCTTTCAAACCCTGTCTCCTGATAAGATGTTATCTATGACAATGCGTGCCCGAAACTTTATTAGCAATTTTAATTTCGCCCCAGTCCTGTGATCTCGCTCTGCCCCCGTTTGCCTTATTTTATTGCCTTGTGAAGCATGTGATCTCTGTGACCCACACCCTATTCGTACACTCCCTCCCCTTTGAAAATCACTAATAAAAACTTGCTGGTTTTGCGGCTTGAGGGGCATCACGGAACCCGCCGACATGTGATGTCTCCCCCGGACACCCAGCTTTAAAATTTCTCTCTTTTGTACTCTTTCCCTTTATTTCTCAGACCAGCCGACACTTAGGGAAAATAGAAAAGAACCTACGTTGAATTATTGGGGGTGGTTCCTCCGATATATCTCAACTGAAAAACAACAGGGTGACCAGCCACCACTATCACATGCCACCCTAAATGAAAACTCAGATATCAAGGAACCACAGAAATGCAACACTCCCATGGAAACCCCTCCAGCCTCATAAAGACAACGTGGGTGGGTACTTACATTGCAACAGCTGCTTGATGTTTTCCACAGACACGCGGCCCTCATTGCCGGTTAACGCTTGAAGCTTATCCACCAGACCTTTCAGAGCCTCCACTGGGGATGACTTATCCCAGACCACTGCCACAAACTGGCCAGCAGAGATCCCAAAATCTGCCATTCTTGCAGTGCAGTACTGACAGACCTAAAAACTGCTGGCCAAAAGGGAATCAAGACTGGGCAGAGACAAAGTGCAATTTAATCTGTGAGATATCATAAAATATGATTAGAATCCCAACCTAACTTGTAACCGCCCACTAGGGAATGCTGACAACATTAGAAACTCTACTGTATATGCTAAAGAGTCTGAATACATGAACCCCATTATCTCAAGTCTTCATAAGCCCAACATTCCCAAAGAAGGCAGATAGCTTCCTTGGTGAGAATCCTGACTTGGAAGAGTCAAGAAAGGGGATTAGAGGCAAGTAAGAAGGTTGGAGGCAGAAAGATGATTTCCTCTTTGACCTAAGATAATTCAGCATGAACGGAATGGAAAACACACAGGACATCAATTAGGCAAAGTGTGACTTGGCAAGGAAGGCAAATAAATTGACAGAAATAACCCAACCACAGATTCAATGTTTTTAAAAAGAAACAACACATTTAAATTTGCAAACTGAATACTGGTTATTTTCCCTTTCATCAAAATATGAAAATTTAATTCCACTGAATCTGCAGTGATCAAGAATACTTACTATGTCTGTACCATTTAATATTAGCTACATTGTTCAAAGCATCTTCTAAACATTATCTCAACTGAATCTCAGAACAGCCTTAAACTAGATATTATTACCATTTTACAGTCTGGAAACTGAGGCAATTTACGTTGCCCAAGTCACACAGCTAGTGAGTGCTACATGGATAAAGTGAGAGCTGGGATTTGAACCCAAATTCATCTGACTGTAAATCCCATGCTTTTAACCTATGGAAATTTCCCTCCAGGGATCAACTTCCTCTTCCACTTGATACTTAGGTGAGTATATAATATGCTCACAAAGAAATTAGGTCAAGAGATAGTACTCTACTCAGTTTCTCCTTTCTTTCTTAAACATTAATGACACCAGTTTCCAATTTAAAATAGCTCAAATAAATGAAACAAACAATTTGTGGTAGAGGAGTCAAAATGGATTAGTTTTATGTTGAACACTTCAGACTTCTGCAGAGGTGGCCAACTCAGTGGCAATCATGCCACCACAGATACAGACTGAATTCAAGCGAAGTCACTACACTCTTGTTTCTTTTAAAATGTTGACTTCGGCTGGGCACAGTGGCTCACACCTGTAATTTCAGCACTTTAGGAAGCCGAGCCAGGCGAATTGCCTGAGCCCAGGAGTTTGAGACCAGCCTGGCCAACATGGTGAAACCCCATCTCTACTAAAAATACAAAAATTAGCTGGGTGTGGTGGTGCATGCCTGTAATCCCAGCTACTCACGAGGCTGAGGAAGGAGAATCGCTTGAACCTGGGAGATGGAGGTTGCAGTGAGCCAAGATCGTGCCGCTGCACTCCAGCCTGGTGACAGAGCGAGACTCCGTCTCAAAATAAATAAATAAATAAAAAATAAAAAATTATAGCTGGGCGTGGTGGCTCATGCCTATTATCCCAGCACCTTGGGAAGGCGAGGCAGGTGGATCCCTTGAGTCCAGGAGTTCAAGACCAGCCTGGGCGACGTGGTGAAACCCCATCTCTACTAAAAATACAAAAATTAGCTGGGCGTGGTGACAGAATCTATGGTAGTCTTATGTAGTAATCTTATGTAGTCCCAGCTACTGGGGTGGAGGAGAGGGCCTGAGGTGGTAGGACTGCTTGAGCCCAGGAGGTTGAGGCTGCAGTGAGCCAAGATTGTGCCACTACATTCCAGACCCTGTCTCAAAAAAACCAAAGTTCACTTCAAGTAACTCTCCTCTTTGCCTACAAAACATACTCAGGATGTTAAATATTTAACACTCAAGCATTAAATACTATAGCACTTTGATTTGTCACTCTTTTCCTAAAGGAGTTACTAAAGGTTTTATTTGCTAGACTGATGTCAATTGGCCTTCTGGATCCACGGCCTCCATAATCTGGCTCTACCTGTATCTCCCACCATTCCAAAGTGATCCCTCCTTATTCTATGAAAACCCTTTGCATTTTCCCCTCATCATGCCTTTTATCTAGCTCCTTCCATATGATCCAACTGCAAGCGCCCCTAAAAGGATGCTAAGTGTTATCAGACAAGTAGGATTCTTTAGTCATTTAACTCTGTTTTCCTTAATGACAGAGGGCAAGTAAAAATGGAAAAAAAAAAAGAAAAAAAAATAATTAAAAAGACAATAATTCTGGTTTTGTTTTTTTTTTTTTTTTGCGGGGGTGGTGGGGAGGACAGAGTTTCACTCTTGTTGTCCAGGCTGGAGTGTAATCTTGGCTCACCACAACCTCTGCCTCCCGGGTTCAAGCGATTCTCACGCCTCAGTTTCCTGAGTAGCTGGGATTACAGGCGTGCACCACCATGCCCGTCTACTTTTGTATTTTTTTAGTAGACGGGGTTTCTCCATGTTGGTCAGGCTGGTCTTGAACTCCCAGCCTCAGGTGATCCACCCGCCTCAGCCTCCCAAAGTGATGAGATTACAGGTGTGAGCCACGGCATCCAGCTAATTCTGTGGTGTTTTTGTTTGTTTGTTCTGTTTTTTGAGACAGAGTCTCACTCCGTCACCCAGGCTGGAATGCAGTGGCACAATCTCAACTCAGTGCAACCTCCGCCTTCAGCGTTCAAGCAATTCTCATGCCTCAGCCTCCCAAGTAGCTGGAATTACAGGTGGACGCCACCACACCTGGCTAATTTCTGTATTTTTAGTAGCAACAGAGTTGTTGGCCAGGCTATTCTCAAACTCCTGACCTCAAGTGATCTGCCCACCTCGGCCTCCCAAAGTGCTGGGATTACAGACATGAGCCACCGTGCCTGGCCAATTTTGGTTTTTAAATCCCTAAACAGCACACAATCAAGAACTGAAACTTTTAACTGGCACATGATGTCGAGGAAGAACCCTTGCAAACTTCAAGGTGTGCAATATGGGATCAATCTCCCATTTAAGAACCAGCCAGGCAAGATGGGAGTATGGATTGCTGGGCATTAAGTTATAAGAAAAAAAAAATGACCTGTTTCTAGAATGATGTTGGAATAGGTTCTTCCTTGGGACAATAGAAAGGGATGAAAAAGACCCCACCTACTAGACTACCACAACTTTGCACTGTACTTACAGAAAAACCCTCATAAAGGAAACGAAGGGCAAAAGCTTACTTATTAGCTAGAGAAAACAAGCCAAATGTCTAGACCTTTTCAGCAACATTTACGGAGGCTTTTATAGGGCACAGGTTTTGAGTGCAGATGACCTAGGGTTCTATTTACCACTGGATCTTATGGGCACATGACCATGGATAAGTTACTAGACTCTTTGAATTTGTTTTCTCATCAGTAAAGTAGGGATAAAAACCTCATATTTTGCGAGGCTGCTGTAAGAAGCAAATGAGAAGATAAAAATAAGCAAGGCACTCGGCAGGCTCTGGCACACAGAGCTCTGTAAAGTAATGTTCTAGAACTCTGGGCTTCCACTTCTCTGTGGCTAGTTTACCTGCCTTTGCTTCAAGCAGTCCTATAAAACCCTGCTTCTCCTTAGCCATGCCTGATAGGAGGACACTCCAGGGAGTGATGGGAACCTGCTTTTTCATTGTTAGAATTAGTGTAAGAGCTGCGCTTTATGATCTTTGGACAGTACTCCAGTGGGACTGTGTCAGTAAATTAGAAGAATGTAAAATGCTTTGCGTTCCGTATCTCCCAAAACTAATCTTATGGCAAGAGGAGCTTATGAACTACATTCATTAAACATCAACCCTCAAAAAACAGGCATAGCCACTACTTTCAGTCAGCATTTTTCAAATAAAATAGGAGATAATATTCTTTTAAATATCTAAAGCCAAAGTGTGATACTTTTCATCATCAGAATTTTATGTTGCTGTTGTGAATTTGTCTTTTAAAACAAAAAAACCCGTAAGGAAAAAGTGTCCAGTATCTAAGACAACATGCTTAGAAGCTGTGAGTCAGGACCCAGTTTCATAATAAGAGGTAGCATCATTGTCACGTCACTGAGCTTGTTGGGTACCTCTCCAACTCTGACTGAGGCACACACATGTGCATGGCCCTTCTAAAATGTTACTGGCAGGCAGTAAAAGCGGATGTCTGAGAACAGACTGTTTTTTAGGTGCCCAGTAAGCATCAAATCTTGAGGCATTTGGTCTCTCTTCTGGTGAAAGGGGACAAAAGCAAAAAATAACACTGAAGTTTGGGCTTCAGTTCAAAAAATTCTTTAACTCGGGTGCATAAAAGAGTTCCAAGAATACTGACAGTTATCAGAAAGGAAAATCCTAATTAAAATTAACTAACTGGGCTGGGTGCAGTGACTCACACCTGTAATCCCACACTTTGGGAGGCTGAAGCAAGTGGATCACCTGAGGTCAGGAGTTCAAGACCAGCCTGGCCAACATGGAGAAAACCCGTCTCTACTAAAAATACAAAGATTAGCTGGGCATGGTGGCGTGCACCTGTAATCCCAGCTACTTGGTAGACTGAGGTAGGCAGAATTGCTTGAACTCAGGAGGCGGACGTTGTAGTGGACCAAGATCTTGCCACTGCACTCCAGCCAGGGAGACAGAGTGAGACTCCATCTCAAAATAAAAAAAAATTAAATTAAAAACATAAAATTAACTAACTGAAGCTCTTGTGCACATACATGTCACTGCCTGGCCTCTGGGTGACCAGTACCAAGTGGGCCTAACCAGCCTGCTGTGCAATCCAAGTCAGCCATTGCCCCTCTCTGGGCCTCAGTTTCCCTGCCAGCTTTAGCAGAATGGTAGGAAGGCACAATTACAACCTGCAAATGAGACCTAAGAAACCTACTATGTGCCTGTCCCTACACGGGAGACAGACAAGAAGACACTTGTTCCCTGCCCTCAAGAGAACGCTCTGTCTAGACACTTAGACTAAGACCTTAGAGGTTTTTTTTTTTTTTTTTTTTTTTTTTTTTTTGGCAGAGTCTTGCTCTGTTGCCCAGGCTGGAGTGCAATGGCACAATCTTGGCTCACTGCAACCTCCGACTCCGGGGTTCAAGCGATTCTCCCGCCTCAGCCTCCCAAATAGCTGGGATTACAGGCACCCACCACCACACCCAGCTAATTTTTGTATTCTTTGTAGAGATGCGGTTTCGCCATGTTGCCCAGGCTGGTCTCGAACTCCTGAGCTCAAGTGATCCACACGCCGCAGCCTCCCAAAGTGCTGGGATTACAGGCATGAGCCTGGCCCAGAATTTTTTTTAAAAAGTGAGAATCAACAATGAAACAGGAACGTCTCCAGGCATTTGGCGTGTGTCAGGAATTAGGGTTTCAGAAAGGATACCCAAATGTTAGTTTCCACAGGAAAGGCTCATTCAAAGATGGATGGATAGAACTCAGAAACAAATCCTTATGGAGAGGAGTGTTTTACCTAAAACCAGAAATATGGATCTAAAATTTTAACCTTTGGGGTAAGTTTTGGCTTAGGAGGTCTTCCCCGCACCCGTGCAGGGGGGAGCCGGATATTCTGAAAAGACTAGATTTGACAAGGGGTGTGCAAAGCACAACTTTAACAGACACAATGATGGGGTCTGACTGCAAACACAAAATCGACAGAATCACATGCTCTTGTCGTCAGTTACTCTTAGCCCAAAAACCGTTTACTTCTTCCTACTAAGCCTTCTCTGATGACACCCCCGTGAAGTGCTCTGTTAGTGGCTAGACCGTGACCTCCTTGAGCCATCCAGAGCTTGGCACTCAGTAATGTCAGAATGAAGGGCACCAGCCTTTCCCGAACTTGCAGATCCTACAAATCACCCGAGGGAGTGGTTAAAATGAGATTCCTGGACCACACCCAGACCCACTCAATCAATCCTTCTGGACAAAGGCCTAGCTGTCTGTTCTAGTAACAAGCATCCTTCCGATCTGGATACTTAATTATATCAACTCAACACGCTGGGGGTTCGGACAAGTTGCAGGTTCGAAATTACAATCGTGAGCTCAGGTACCCCCCGACTCCAAGGCTTTCGTGCTTTGCTGCCAGGAACCCCCAGGGACCAAAACGTCACGGGGACTGAGGCCCAAGGTCACAACGATTGGCTACTGGTAGGACCGGGTCTCAGAACCAGGTCTCCCCGATCCCAAGCTCGGAGCCGTTTCTCCTCAGCGTGGTGTCCCCGGGGCCTCAGAGTAGGGCCGGCTGCGCAAGGGACGAGGCAGCCGGGGAACGGCAGAAATTCCCAGTCAGGACCCCAGGGAGGTTAGGGCCGGCCCTGGCCCCTCACACCGACTTCTCAGGAATAAACCAGCCGGGGCTTTCAGCGGGGCGGCCGTGGCTGCGTTCCCATCGAGGAACGGGGTGGGAAGAGAAAATGAGAGGATGTGGGAACGAGGGTGGGCCGGGAGGGGACAGTTGAGGGAGCTCTGGCGCTCAGCTGGCCCCCACCACTCTCACCTGCCGCCTGGGCTCGCTCCCGGCTTCTCTCCAGCCGTCGACTCCACGCCTTGCGCCTCTCGCGAGAGGAGGAGGCTCCACGGAGCGACGACTTCCGCCCTCCTTAGGGCCGTGGTCCCGTAGCTACCGGTCGCGTCGCCGTGGGCGACGTGCCCGCTTCCAAAATGGCGGCGGCGGCGGTATCTGGTGCGCTTGGCCGGGCGGGCTGGAGGCTCCTGCAGCTGCGATGCCTGCCCGGTGAGGGGGCTGCCAAGCCGGGGAGAGGCGGGGAGCGCGGAGGGGGCGCGAGGCCGGCTTCAGCTGGGTTCGACGGTGGGGGGAAGAGGCCGTTGGGGCGGCCCACGAGCAAGGTGAGGTGAAGGGCATCGGCGCGGGCTCGGGCGAGCCGCCTGGCTAGCTTCGGCCCTGCTCCGCTGTCTGTGAGGGGCAGATGCAGCGGGGCAGGGCCTGTCACCCCCATTTCATGGAGTTGGCAGAGCCTCAGAGAGGGCTCGGGGTACGAAAGTCACGCAGCCTGAGCCTGTTGGTTACAGAACTGGCAGTCGCAGACCCATTCTCAAGTCCATTGCCAAGTCCACTGGAAGGACAGGTGGACACGGCCACAGAGAGCCTAGTCCATTGTTTCCCGAAAGCCAGCCGTTTCCTCACCACTTCACGAATTCTGTGATACTCTCTTACCACCTTTGCCACTATGTACTCAGTATTTTTATTTTTAAATAGGAGTTCTTAAAGAGGAAACTTTATATCATTGTCATAAATGGAAAACTAATATCGCCTTCCTTAATTAGAACGTATGCATTAACACTTTAGCATACATACATAACTGATGAAACGTTCACCTGTATTTCACCTAAAATCTTCTCATGACCCTCAGTGGTACTACAGTCATACTTTGCATCTGCTCCTTCCTTTTCAAAGTTTTGCGGATATTTGTGCCGTATCTTTCAGTACATGTATTAAAATATTGATATTTTGGCACATACTATTCTGTTTCTTTTTTTTCTTTTTTTTTTTTTTCTGAGACAGGGTCTGGCTCCTCAGCCTCCCAAGGAGCTGGGACTACAAGTGCGTGCCACCCTACTTGGCTTAATTTTGTTGTTGAGACAGAGTCTCACTCTGTCACCCAGGCTGGAGTGCAGTGGTACAATCTCGGCTCACTGCAGCCTCTACCTCCTGGGTTCAAGTGATTCTCCTGCCTCAGCCTTCCTAGTAGCTGGGGTTGTGCCACCATGCCCAGCTAATTTTTTATTTTTAGTAGACGGGGTTTCACCATGTTGGCCAGGCTAGTCCAAAACTCCTGACCTCAAGTTATCTGCCTGCCTCAGCCTCCCAAAGTGTTGGGATTACAGGTATGAGCCACCGCCTAGCCCCCTTTTGTTGTATTTATACAAAATTCCAAACTAAAGATGTGTAGTAAAAGTAATGTCTATGACCCCGCAAATCCACCAAGAGAAATGAAGGTATGTGTCTACAAAAAAGTTAGTACAAGTATATTCATAGCAATTTTATTCATAGTAGCCAAACACAGAAACAGTCCAGTTGTCTAGCAACAGAATAGTATTTTTTTTATGGAATACTATTCTGCAATAAAAACTAAAAATCAGTCAAAGAGAAAGCTGGACACTAAAGTGATAAGGACCATTTTTAATCAGTAATAACTATTGCAATAGGGAAAAGAGTCTAGCATGAACGGAGCCCAACCTTGAGTTTAGAGCATGCAGAAGTCACTGGGTGTTTCAAAGAAAAAATGAGGGAGGAGGGAGGAAGGCAGGTGGGGACTCAGTAGAGTCAGGATAGTGAATAATTATAAATAAGATTGGTCTGCTAGCTGGCAGTTAACAAAGTTAGGATTCTGTTTTCCCACAGGGAGACAAGCCCTATCCTTCTTAAGTGTTAGCCTGAACAAACAGTAAAATTTTTTTTGACAGCCTTGAGTTTTCTCAGGCAGGCACTTTAAAGGGGGGTAGGGTTATCTTAAGGGATGTGGCCCTGAGTGATGCTTATGTTAGTGTGTGTTCAAGTCTTTATAGGCCAAGGTTGAGGCCTAGATAAGAAGAGGGCTCAGAGGAGCCTGGTTAGAGCCTGATCAAGGAGAGAATCTTTGCCAGATATACTGATAGGCATAAAAATATGGATCAATCTCAAAAATATACTAAGTGGTCCAGGTGTGGTGGCTCACACCTGTAATCCCAGCACTTTGGGAAGCTGAGGTGGGAGGGTTGCTTGAGCCGAGGAGTTCAAGACCATCTTGGGCAACATAGCAAGACTCTGTCTCTATTTAAACTTAAAATAAATAAATATATATATATACACACACATATATAGTCCTAAGTGAAAGAAGCTTTACTGAAACATGTACATATAGATGAAATCTTAGGACAGGCAAAACTAAGACAAGCAAAAACTAACCTAGAGTGAAAAATTCAGAACAGTATGAATGGGGAATGACTGAAAAGGCATAAGGGAACTTTCTGGGGTGACAGTAATGTTCTCTGTTTAGATTGGGTTTAGGTTGTGCAAGTGTATACATTTGTCAAAACTCATAGAATGGTACACTTAAGATTTATGCATTTCATTGTGTGTAAATGGCATCTGAATAACAAAACAGTGAACGTAGAAGTCTTTGATGCTAAAATGTTTAGAGGTGAATAATACTGATATCTGCAACAAATGCACTGAAAATCAAGATGGATGAATGAAGAACATGACAGATGTGTTGAACCTAGTGGCAGATATACAGGTGTTCATTCCATAATTCTTTCAATTTGCGTGTTTGAAAATTTTTATAATAGGCTGGGCATGATGGCTCACGCCTGTAATCCTAGCACTTTGGGAGGCCAAGACGGGCGATCACTTGAGGTCAGGAGTTTGAGACCAGCCTGGCCAACATGGCGAAACTCCGTCTCTACTAAAAATACAAAAGTGAGCCTGAGAGTGGTGGCGGGTGCCTGTGATCCCAGCTACTCGGGAGGCTGAGGCACGAGAATCACTTGAGCCTGGGAGGCAGAGGTTGCAGTGAGCCGAGATAATCTCACTGCACTCCAGCTTGGCCGACAGAGTGAGACTCTGACAAAAAAAAAAAAAAAAAAGAAAATTTTTAGAATAAAAAATGTTGGGAAATAAAAAATACTATGAGTTTATGCTTAGGAAACATACTTCTCATCTTTCTTAAAGTAAATGGAGATGTTGCAGATATTGCAGATGAGAAAGCAGATAGAGATTAGTGACTTGTCCAAAGATACCATATAAACACTGGGGGAGTAGGGCTGAGACATTAAATTACTATTCCAGAGCTCTTGCCATAATATATATAAATCTGTAACATTTGCAAGCCACTTTTACTTTTTGTTTGGGCCACACAGTGCTCTCATTGAGCAAGTAGAGATTATTACTCTAAATTTGCAGATTTAAAAATCTGCACATTGGGGTGAAATTGTTTGCCAGTTACCCAGGTAACAAGTGGTAGAAACAGGTCAAGATGCTAGGTAGATCATTTTTCCTGGCTTACCACTTTTGCTACCACTTCGTGTCCCAAAGTTCCCAGTTTACCCAATATTTTTGTGTGGGACCCAACACTTGGATAAGTGGTTCTACAGGAGTCTCTGGCCTGCTTTTCCTCCTCCTTATCTGTGTTACCACTCTGGGTCTGAAAGGGTCTTCTCTGTTGAATGTCCCTGACTGACCAGTTTCTGTTTCAGTGGCCCGTTGCCGACAAGCCCTGGTGCCGCGTGCCTTCCATGCTTCAGCTGTGGGGCTAAGGTCTTCAGATGAGCAGAAGCAGCAGCCTCCCAACTCATTTTCTCAGCAGCATTCTGAGACACAGGGGGCAGAAAAACCTGATCCAGAGTCTTCTCATTCACCCCCCAGGTAGGCACCAATCCACCTATTTCTGGCCACTTCATATGCTTCATTATGTCTGTTCCTCCTTCACTTCCTCTCTCCTCTCCATCCCCTTTTGTACCTTCCTTCATTTCCAAGGCCATCTTTGTTTTTTAGAATTTTTTATTTTTTGTAGTGATGGCTTCTCGCTACGTTGACCAGACTGGTCTCAAACTCCTAGATTTCAAGCTGTCCTCCGCCTAGATCTCCCAAAGTGTTGGGATTACAGGTGTGAGCCACTGCACCCAGCCACAAGGCTGTCTTAGGAAAGAACCTATTGTTTTTATAAAATTGGTGCCTGTTTGTTCTAAAACACCTAAACAGTATAGAGAAGTTCACAAAAATAAAGCAGTTTTATCCAAAATTACAGAGATAACCCTGCTAACATTTTTGTGAATATCCTTTTAGATGTTTCTCTAAGCTTATTTCATATGTAAATTTTTGTATAGAATAGATATAATGTGTATAAACTCTACATGCTGTTCTAGAACCTGTTTTTTCACTCAACAGTACATTTGTAATGTCTTTTCATAGCTTAATAGTTGTATAACATTCCAGCAAATAGCTGTGCCAAAATTTATTTAACCTGTCTTTTATTGATGGATATTTAGATTTCCTTCACTAGTATAAGAAATAATATGATAAAGTGTGTGAATCTCTCCTTAGAAGTGGGAGCACTGAGTCAAAGGATATGTACATTTAAAGATTTTTTACTTATGTGGGCCAGTTGCCCTCCAGAAAGGTAATACTAATTTACATTTCCATTAGTGTTTTTTTTTCCTAATCCTGCCATTGAAAAGTTTCTCTATATCTGAAATTAGCGTGTTCCTTTTCATTTTTCTGATTTCCTAACTAAAGTACTTTTCATTTCAATTCAAGAAATATTTTTTGAGGCCCTACTATCATGCCAGGCCCTGTGAGTAATATAGCATTACTCCTGCCCTCAGGGAGGTAGTCTGGTGTAAGTTTAGATGAAGAAACCCTCTGAGCACAGTGTGCTAAGGGCTGAAAACAGGGAACTCCAGGGTGCAGCAATGCCTTCATACCACATGGCCTCATTTGCTGGATTCCTCTCCGTGCCTATGGGGAGGGGAAGGATGATCTAGTTTTTACTCTGTTGGCATTAAAACGTTGATACTGGCTGGGCGCGGTGGCTCGCGCCTATAATCCCAGCGCTTTGGGAGGCCGAGACAGGCGGCTCACTTGAGGTCAGGAGTTCGAGACCAGCCTGGCCAACATGGTGAAACCCTGTCTCTACTAAAAATACAAAAATTAGCCGGACATGGTGGCACACGCCTGTAGTCTCATCGACTTAGGAGGCTGAGGCAGGAGACTTGCTTGAACCCGGGAGGTGGAGGTTGTAGTGAGCTGAGATCACGCCACTGGACTCCAGCCTGGGCGACAGAGGGAGACTCTGTCTCAAAAACAAAAAACAAACAAGAAAACCACATTGATAGTGACACAAGAGTAAATGTCTTCCCAGCATGTGCTTAGAGGAGATCCAGAGCCCCTAGTTTCTGGTCATGCCCATTGTACATGCCAGGAGATGAAGTATGCTGGGCTGTGTCCTCTTGTCTCAGGTATACAGACCAGGGCGGCGAGGAGGAGGAGGACTATGAAAGTGAGGAGCAGTTGCAGCACCGCATCCTGACGGCAGCCCTTGAGTTTGTGCCCGCCCACGGGTGGACAGCAGAGGCGATTGCAGAAGGAGCCCAGGTGTGTATAGGTGAGGGTGGGGCCACCTAACCAAGATGAGCCAGGATGGAGTCACACCAGGCAGAGCGGGGGGCCTCATGCCTTCTTCCAGTCTAGCTCAGAGCCCCTCACAGCTGCAAGATTGACTGGTTTTTTTCCCCCAATAGGGTGGAACTGGCTTTATTTTGTAGTTATAAAGAACATACCATGGAGTTGGTTCTTGGGAGTTGTGTTCTAAAGGCAATCTATTAGGCAAGAATTGTCTGTGATCAAAACTCCCATGTTTCATTGACTCTAAGATGCCATTGGTTGTAAGAAGCATCATTTTTAAATGCATCAGTAAAAAAGAAAACATACTGCCCTTCGAACTATGACAAAGCACTTCTGTGATTCACACTGATTTTTTAAAATGAAAAATATATCTGCATCTTAGAATTAATGACATATGGTGTTTGAAAACCCCCAAGAAGGCACCACTTTGGAGACCAACACATCTTATTTTCCCAGAAACTCTAATAGCATTTTCTGCATTAGTACAGACTGCTGCTTTAGATTAGGCAGCAGGCTCATGTTCAGGCCATGTTGTAGAGAATCCTCCAGCATAGCAAGATACCATCCTCCAAGAGACTGAGGGGATGACAGAGTTGCATCTTCCATCCCAGGCTTGCTGCAGGGCATCTACCCATGGACAATGGGCAAGGTTGCTGCTTTACTGAAATTTAACTGTTATTTCCTTGTCTTCTCTCACTCCCAAGTGCACATTTGGTAACAGAAGTCTCATTAGTGAAATGTGGGTGCTCTGACTCCACTGTAGGCTCATTGTGAAAACTGAACAATACAAACAAATATAAAAAAGAATGTAGAAAACACCTATAATCACACCAAAGATCATACTATCAACATTTATGCCTAGATCTTTCCAATTAAAACCCTTTATATGATTCATTCTTTAAATGTTTATTGAGCAAATAATGTGCCCTAGGCACTGTGCTAGTCCAAGAGACATGACAGGGGTCAAAGTGGTCAAGATGGATCTGCTTCCTGCCCTTGTTGAGCTTCCAGTCTAGCAACATTAATAAAATATATACAAATGTTTACTTAGAAGATGTGGTAAGTGCTATCAAGGAAAGGTGCTGTTGGGCTGTATAATGGAGGGACCCGATCATTAGATCAGGTCACAGCTGCGAGATTGACTGGTTTTTTTCCCTCAATAGGGTGGAAATGGCTTTATTTTGTAGATATAAAAGTAATGAACCATGGAATTGGTTCTTGAGAGTTGTGTTCTAAAGGCAACCTATTGGCAAGAATTGTCTGTGATCAAAACTACCATATTTCATTGACTCTAAGATGCCATTGGTTGTAAGAAGCACCATTTTTAAGTACATCAGTAAAAAAAGAAAACATGTTGCCTGTTAAACTATGACAAATAGTCTAATTTGTCCTATTAAAGGGTTGGAGGGCTGGGCACAGTCGCGCATGCCTATAATCCCAGCACTTTGGGAGGCCAAGGCAGAGGGATTGCTTGAGCCCAGCAGTTTGGGACCAGTCTGGGCAACCTAGGGAGAGACCCCATCTCTACAAAAAATACAAAAATTAGCCAGGCATGGTGGTGCTTGCCTGTGGTCCCAGCTACCTGGGAGGCTGGGGTGGGAGGATCTCTTGAGCCTGGTAGGTCAAGGCTGCAGTGAGCCATAATGATGCCATTGCACTCCAGCCTGGGCAACAGAGTGAGACCTTGTCTGAAACCATATATGAGGTGGGTAACAGGGTGGTCAGGAAAGGCTTTTGAGCTGAGAATTGAAGAATGAATAGGCTTTACCTGACTTTGTGGGTAGGAGATGGACAAGTCCAAATACAGAAACTGCACAGGCAAGGTGGAAAGAAAAAGAAGGATGGTACGTTAGAAGAACCACAGAGAACCACCATGCAGAGAGTGCAGGAAGAGAGATTTGAGATGAGCAAGGCTGGAAAGGTCAGTCGAGGTCAAATCAGGCAAGGTCCTAAAGGTCATGATGAGGAGTCAAGCTTTTCTTCTAAGAACAATTGAAGATATTGGATTAAATTTGGCATTTCAAAATGCTCATTTTGGCTGCCAGATGAAAAGTGGATTGGAGGCAGAGAGAGACTCATTGGGGGCTGCTGCCAGACATACAGGAGAGATGAGGTGGTCTGGCTTAGAGTAATGGCAGTGGGTAAGTTCAGGAATAGCTTGGACATGGGAGAGAGTGACAGGATGGCACCAGAGTTGCAAGTTTGCATGTGTGGGTACCCAATGGTGGTGTTTTCTAAGGTGAAGGCCATTGGAAGAGGACCAGCTTTGGGGAAGGGTACAGTCTTGATCCTTGTTGAGTATGAGGAGTTTTTGAGTCAACCAGTGGAGGCATCAAGCATACAGGTCAGGAACTGGAGGAAACAGCTGGACTAGAGATACACATTTGGGCATATATATATATATATACAGTATATATATGCACGCTGATTTTATATATATATATATATATAAAATAATTATGGAAGTCAGTGAGATTGTCCAGGGCAAGAATATAATGTCATATGAGAGGGGAGTCCAGACTCTCAAGGAACGCGGACATTTAAGGGGAGAGTAGAATAGGATGGGCCGTCAAAGTCTAAGTCAGAGCATCCTGATGTTGGAGGCAAAGCAGGAGAGTGTGGATTAAGCAGCTAGACATTGGTTACTGGGGCAACAACCGTTTGGGTGGAGAACTGGATCAGAAATCAACTGGAGTGGATCGAGGTGTGCATAGAAGGCGAGGAAGTGGCGAGGCGTTTGGCTGCGAGGGGTAGAACTAGGGTGCACCAAGCAGGAGAAACAGATGGAAGTTTGGACATGATTGAACACAAATGGGAAGAGTACAGAAACAAGAGTGGACCAGGCTCATATGTGTAATCCCAGCACTTGGGGAGGCTGAGGCGGGAGGATTGCTTGACACTAGGAGTTTGAGGCCAACCTGGGCAATATGGCGAGACCCCATCTCTACAAAAACATTTAAAAATTAGCCAGATGCGGTGGCGCATACCTGTGGTCCCAGGCTAAGATGGGACGATTGCTTGAGCCCAGGAGGTCAAGGCCTCAGTCATGCCACTGCTTGAGTGACAGAGCAAGACACTGTCTCAAAAAAAAAGTAAAAAGAAAAAAGAAAGAAACAAGAGTGAGGGTGAATTTACAAGAGAAAATAGTCAAAATCAAGAGGATGAGGTTCCTTGAAGGCAAGAATTGTGGGATCTGGACAACAGTTGGAAGGACTGGCCTTAGATGTGTTAGGTGCAAAGTTGGAGAAAGCAGCTGCAGGCTTAGTTTCTAAAAAAGAAAGAAGACCTGTTGATATGTTCATCCCTGAGCTAGTCTCTGTGAACTTGTTATTCAAGCCTAGATCCCACTCTTGCACACACACCAAGGGGCTTTGCAGGGTGGAGGGACCGGTGGTGGTCAGTTTCACCAAAATCACATGGACCCAGAGTGAAGAAATCAAGCTGCTGTCACTAGGAAGAGGCTCTAGTGATGAACAGGCAACAAATGTACCCTACACTTGGGCACCGCTTTTCTGTTTTCTGTCTCCCCTTTTGTAGTCTCTGGGTCTCTCCAGTGCAGCAGCCAGCATGTTCGGGAAGGATGGCAGTGAGCTAATACTGCATTTTGTGACCCAGTGCAATACCCGGCTCACACGTGTGCTAGAAGAGGAGCAGAAGCTGGTACAGTTGGGCCAGGCGGAGTAAGTCCCATGGCATTACTACTCAGGGTGGCAGCTAAGGATCAGGGAACTTGGGCCCTACCAGCTATGCCCAGGAGGCCAATCCAAGCAGAACCCAAAGAGAGCAGCATTGGGCAGCCCTGCTGCTGTGATGGGACTGAAACCTGGCAGCCTGTCTCTGACGGCTTTAGTCAGGCCAGCGTCAGGAGCTGGTGGGACCCTCCTCCCTAGGGCTGAGTAAACCGTGGAGCACTGAGCCCCTGCCTTTCACTCAGAGACACACTGTTTTCTTTTCCCTCTTCCAGGAAGAGGAAGACAGACCAGTTCCTGAGGGATGCAGTGGAAACCAGACTGAGAATGCTGATCCCATACATTGAGCACTGGCCCCGGGTACCAAGTCTATATCCAGGCCCCAGAGCAACAATAATCCTAATATTTATCATTCTCAGCACCTTTCACTCAGATGACTTTGTACACTGTTCAGAACTTAGCTTCTCAATCTCTATAAACCCGACAATACTTAGTACACTTGGTAAAGCTGGGTTTCAAACTTGGACATACCAAAGAGAGTGACTGAGCCATCTGTGTCTCAGTTCTTGGAAATGTGAGTGGTCCGGGTACTGGATCCCATCCTGGGTGGGGTTCTCCTAGTGGTCTGAGTGTGCCACCAGGTCTGCAGGGAGGAGGAATCCATGCAGGAGGTTAGAAGAGTCAGAAGATTTTATTGGCTGTCTTCACTTGAATAACAGCCCTGTGGCATTTTAGATCTCGAGCACTGGGATTTGTCAATTGTCAATGTGATGCTTGGGGACTGGCATATTCGTTGCAAGGGGTTTTTTCACCTTTTCTGAAGCTTCCTTTTTCCTCTGTTTTAAAGCATATCACAGTATGGGCCATTCTCTGAGTGAAGAAAGTACAGAGTGAAAGTACACCCGAAGTGAGAGGGACTCAGACATCTTGTGTCCTTTGCTCAGCTGGAAGACTACTAAGCACGTAGTTTCAGTCATTCAGTTGATAGACATTTGAACACTTATGGTGGTGCCTAACCCCAGGCCGAGTGTGACTCATTCCACCTTGCAGTTAAAGCAGTGGAAGTGCACGTATGAGGCCCTCAACTGCCTTCCTGATTCAGCATAGTGTTTTCTTCTGGGCTGCTTCACTAAGAGAAAACCTTACAGCCAATCCAGGACCTCTCTGATCACCTCCCCAGTGGATGTAGCATTGGTAAAGTGGAAGGACCTTGTTCTGTTTGTCAGTAGGAGCTGATGTGTGTGAACGGACTCCTATCTCTGCTTCTTCCTTTGTGTGACAGACTGGGGTATCTTTGCCCATCCTTGCTTAGACCAGTCTAGACCCTCTGGCCCTCTGCATTCCCAGTTCCAAATGCTAGGGATGGAGAATGTGCTTGGGCTTGCATAAGACGGGGCTATGCCCCTGGCTCTCCTCAGCTGTAGTCAGCATTGCTAGCTGCCCACAACTCACGCCAGTGGGTGAAGATGCTGGTCTCAGAGAACCAGAGCTTGGCAGGCCCCCTCATACACCTCTTGGAGAGGTAGATGCTGGTCAACTATGCACCATTACCTGTGAGCAGAGCTTACTCCTCTGCCATTCTCTCTCCAGGCCCTCAGCATCCTCATGCTCCCTCACAACATCCCGTCCAGCCTGAGCCTGCTCACCAGCATGGTGGATGACATGTGGCATTACGCTGGGGACCAGTCCACTGATGTGAGTGCTTTCTGCAGGCCCACAGGAGGCTGGGAAAGGCTTGTGTTAAGCATTTCTTCAAGAAGCTTGTGAAATTGCTTTGATCATAAGCCCCTGCAGGGGGGCTGCAGTGTCATTCCCATCTAAGGTATGAGGAAGGTCCGTCAAGAAGCCAAAGTGGGATCTAGGTCATCTTCATTCAGGGACCAGCATTCTAGCCACAAACCAGTTATTATTTCTTCCAGCTTGTGGTGACACCAGGTGTCAGAGATCCTTTAGCATTGGCGAAAGCTAATTGGGCTGCCATTTTATTATCATTTCCCTCTCTCCTAAGATGTAGATTCTGCAGCAAAATTCCTCTTTTGAAAAAAAGAAATGCCATGGAGGCACCCATTGCTTTAAAAAGAAATTCCCTTCCCCAGCCCATCTTGGCCTGCTTTGCTAAGTGATCAATAAGGCTCTTTAAACAGCACCAGGAAAGAATCCGACTTGTTAATGCTATCATATTTCTGGTAGGAAATTTTAAAAAATACACCTTCATAAAAGAAAATGTGATGATACTTTGTGGAATCCTGGATGAGGAGGCACAGAAATACTCCCACCATAGTTATAACAAAGTGTTTTAATAAACTTCCTCCATGTGGGAATATAATGCCAACAGAGACGGTAGGAAAATGAAATTAGAAAGCAAAGAAATTAAAGGAATAAAACACCAAGCAGCTGAGCTGGTCCTCTGAAGAGTAGTTTGCTAGAACAATCAGAAGTTGCTGAGGGACTTGAACTCTCAGCTTTGCCCAGGTATTGTAATCTGTCCATGAGCCTCTCTCAGCCCTCACTTTATTGATGAACACACCAAGGTTCGGTCATAGCTGGCTGATTACAGCGTCTTCTGGGACTCAGATGTCTTAAGATGTAGGCTTTCTACTAGCAGTTCCAAAATGGATTGGATGTAGCCAAATCATCTGGGATACTTATTAAGTTTCCTGATTCCTGGCACTTTATTTAGATCCATTGACTCTACTCTTAAGAGGTTGGGCCCAGGAGCTTGCATTTTTAATCAAGTAGGTAATTCTGATGCTCAGTCAAGTTTGAGATGGTAGTGTTGTCCAGAGGGCCAGATGTATCTGTGACAGTCAAGAAGTAGTCAAGAGGGAACCCAGGAGTTCCCATGGCCTTGGGTAGGAACTGCCTCAGACTTGCACCAGCCCACAGCGGTAGTGTGGGTTTCTTTACAGTTTAACTGGTACACCCGCCGAGCCATGCTGGCTGCCATCTACAACACAACAGAGCTGGTGATGATGCAGGACTCCTCTCCAGACTTTGAGGACACTTGGCGCTTCCTGGAAAACCGGGTTAATGATGCAATGAACATGGGCCACACTGCCAAGCAGGTAGGTGGGGACTAGCCATTGGGGAACCCTCTTTAGAAGGCATACCTATTCTCCTCAGGTCACAGCTGGTCTTGCTCCCTTTTGGCCTCAGCTGACAGTCCTGAGGGCCTTCCCAAGGGCCTGGCTGGTTCTTCCTCAGGCCAGCCCTTCCCTAAGAGCCACACTTTGCTCATTTGCATTTGTGATTGTGTTGTCCAAAGCTCTCCTTCCAGTAACGTGGCCCCCTTGTCTTCACCTTTTGGGGCTCATAGGCCTCCTGATTTGTCCTGCCTGTCTCAAGTTTAACTTTGTGTTGGTGGCCTAAGGGAACCTGACACTGACTCCTTCTAGGTAAAGTCCACAGGAGAGGCACTGGTGCAAGGACTCATGGGTGCAGCAGTGACGGTGAGTACTGCCCAGCACATCCCTGCCCCTCCTCTCTCCCATTCCGGCTCTGTGATACATGTGTTACTGACTTCACATCATTTTGTAGCCCTAACCTGGAAACAATAATCTAATAATAAGGCTGACAATGGTTCAGCCCTAGTGTCTTGATTCCAAAAACCTCACTTCTTTATTTTTTCCTGTCATCAGGAGATATCACTGACTCCTGGGACCCTGGTATATCAAGTCTCTGTATCATAGCCACACCTGCCACCTTGCAAACCTGGATCTTGGCCAGGTGCAGTGGCTCATGCATATCATCTCAGCGATTTGGGAAGATCGCTTGAGCCCAGGAGTTTGAGGACAGTCTGGCCAACATAGCAAAACCCTGTCTCTATGCAAAAAAGAAAAAAAAAAAGAGAAAAAGAAAAGCTAGGTCTTTTCTATTAGAGTCTAGAGGCAAGGTAAGCCCTCACTATTCTCTTTATTTCCATTCCCGTGTCAGCTCAAGAACTTGACAGGTCTAAACCAGCGTCGGTGAGAGGAAGGGGTATAAGCTACAATGCCTAGAAGAGAATGAGCGGACAGATTGAAAGAGCTTTGAAAAGTATAAGGTGCCATCCACATAACCTGGTGTTCACGAGAACACACTAAAGGACTCCTGAGTCACTACCACAGCCACCTGGAAACCACAAGGCATTTGATGCTACCGTTCTGGTCAGGGATTGGGCTGCTTCTTCAGTTCCTAATACCAGACCAAGCCTCCTGATGCCTTTCTGCACTGCAACTGTGTGATTGAAAAATGAGATGTTCATCCAAGCAGTCAAGCCACAGAAACCCAGCATGTCCCTGTCACAATCTCATGGGCACCTTGATCATGTCTTAACCTTCCCTTAACCTTGGGGCTCCCAAGCCAGAGTCAAGGTCTGACGCCACCTCAAGGTGACAGCTCATCTCCAGCACAGCACAGGCGTGTGCACACAGAGGTGTTCCTTGCAGCCCCCTCCCTCTCAGGTGTCCTGAGATGCTGTTCCTGGGAGCCCCCTCAGAAAACTGCCTCACCTGAGACAAGTGCCTGCTGGACAGAGGTGTGATTCCAGGCCTGGTGTCACATGACACCAGCATGCATTGCAGGATTATTAGTGTATTTTGAGTCTGTAAAAATAATAAATATGTTTGAAGTAGTTTCCCATTGTGTAGTTAGTTTCCTTATCAATCATGATAGGTATCCAGGACCCCAGAGGGAGACAGGTTAAGTTATGGCAGCCAGGAGACCTGTGTTCTGGCGCTGCCACTGCCTAATACATAGTGGTAATTATAGTACCTCTGCGTCTCTGGGCTCAAGTCTTCCCATCAGTAAAATACGGGTAACAGAAGCCTTCCCACAGACCATCAGCTCCCTTGGCTGCTCTTGTCTGACGATTTTAGTGGTACATTCTTTAGCCCCAGTAATTTTCTCAGCCTCTACACTGGCTGGGTTCCCTTTGCACGTCTGGTTAGCTCTGTTTTCTGCTTTGCTCTCTTCTGCCTGTCAGCTGAATATTAATGGGGGAAAGTCAGCAACTAATTGAATTTCAGATCTCTTGTGGGTCTTCCACTGGATCTTTTTTGCACCTCTCAATTCCTTGTATCTCTTGACATCCTGTGAAGTTTTCGCAGTAGCTGTTCCAGTTTTCATTGCATTCTCCTTTTTCCTTCATAGCATCCATCTTACACTCAGCAGACAACCATAATTCTTAATTTACCAAGATGACACAGGTTATGGAGCAGGGTTCCATCAGTGCCCACCCTCTGTTTCAGGAAGAGGTGTCACTCTTTGCAAAGGCAAACTCCTCTTTATCTGGTTACTCTTCTCCCAACTCTTAAATGTATTTCCTGCCACGTTCTATTTTAGAGCTTTTCTCTGTTGGAGCAGCAGCCACTTTTTTTGAGGCCCATTTAAACCTCTCTCCAGTCTGTTTAGGGGACTTCAGTAGTTCTTTGTTGAGCATGCACCCCACATGGTGCCCACTGCCAGGCACTGGGGATGCAGAGACAAAGAGTTCCCACTCACCCACCACAGCTACACAGACTGTAGAGGAAGCATTAGGTTAAAGAACATTGTATCTTTTCCTGAAGTTTTCAGAAGTGCATGGTCCATACTTGAGACTGCAAGGGAAAGGGTATTTACTTATAATTCAGGTATACTTTGCTAAAATATACATTCATATTAAAATATACTTTTGTTTTTCTATAGATGTACAAGTTCTTTTTAAGTGCTTCATAGTATTCCATGTGTGTATACTCCACCAGGTCTCTTATCAATGGACAGTACAAACAGTACTACCACGAACGTCCCTGCACTCGTATCTTTGTTTACAACTGCAAGTGTTTCTGCAGTATGAATTCTTAGAAGTGTTACTGTTAAGTGAAGGACGTATGCGTGTTTTGCCAAACTACCCTCCGAGATAGCTGAATCTGGTACATTTTAAAGCAGGAGGCCGCAGAAGACGCTCGGCAGTTCTGGCCTCCGAGCAGCAGGCGGCGCTGTGAGTCGTCTTTGCGGAAGCCGCGGAGGCCTCGCTGACTGACTTCCGGTGTTGGCGGTGGCGCCGCGCAGTCACCGCGGAGCAGACGCGGAGGCTGGTGGCCCCTGGGCGAGATGCCGTACGCCAACCAGCCTACCGTGCGGATCACGGAGCTCACTGACGAGAATGTCAAGTTCATCATCGAGAACACCGACCTGGCGTAAGGCTACCGAGGGAAGAGGCTGGCGGCTCTGGGGCGCCGGGAGGCCCAAGCCGGGGCCCCGGGGCAGGGGGCGGGGGTGTAGTGGGGTGGGGTGGGGGCGATGTCCTTCCAGAGCTGCCCCCCTGCACCAGGGCTTTAGCTTTGGGAGCCTGCGGCGCGGGCCCAGCCTGTCGAGGCTGCAGCGCCTTCACGCCCCTTGGCTTTTGATCTTTCAGGGTGGCCAATTCGATTCGGAGGGTCTTCATCGCTGAGGTTCCCATAATAGGTAAGCGACTCCCCTTCCTCGTTCCCGCGCCCACGGGTTCCTGCCCCGCTCTCCACCCACACACTCTTTGGGGCTCCTTCCAGTCCTTGGTTCGGGCTGAGGGTGGTAGTGCTGAGAAAAGTGCATTGCTGGAGACTTGACCATACCCTGTGCCCTTGGCTCAGTGGCCGCCTCCCTGGCGCCCACGGGCCACTTAGGTCCACCCTTGTCCTGGGTATGCATTGCTGAGAAGCATGGGTTTAGCAGTGTGCAGACTTGGGTTCAAATACTGTTTTCACTACTATTGTTACAAAAGTTTTTAAAATGTTTTCAACTTTTATTTTGGAGTCAAGGGGTACATTGGTGCAGGTTTGTTGCCTGGGTATAGTGCGTGATGCTGAGATTTGGGGTATAAATGATCCTTTCACCCAGGTAGTGAGCATAGTACGCAATAGGTAGTTTTTCACCCCTAGCCCCACTGCCTCCCTTCCAGCTCTAGTAGTCACCAGTGTGTTTATTGTCATCTTTATGTCCGTGCGTACCCAGTTTTAGCTCCCATGCGGTGTTTGGTTTTCTGTTCCTGTGTTAATTCTCTTAGGATAATGGCTTCCAGGCCGCGCTCGCGCCTGTAATTCCAGCACTTTGGGAGGCCAAGACTGAGGAACACCTGAGGCCAGGAGTTTGAGACCAGCCTGGCCAACATGGGGAAAGCCCGCCTCTACTAAAAATGCAAAAATTAGCCAGGTGTGGTGGCTCCCACCTGTAATCCCAGCTACTGGGGAGGCTGAGGCAGAATTGATTGAACCCAGAAGGTGGAGGTTGCAGTGAGCCGAGATCATGCCACTGCACTCTGGCCTGGGCAATAGAGTGAGACTCCTTCTCAAACAAAAGAAAATAAAAAAGAAGATAGTGGCTTCCAGCCACGTCCATGTTGCTGCAGAGGACATGATTTCGTTCGTTCTTATGGCTGCATCACTTACTGCTTTTGTGAAACTTGGGCAAGTTATTAAACTTCTGTGTGCTGCAGTTTCCTCATCTGTAACATTCGGCCACTAATGATCCTTATCAGGGTAATGTTAAGGATTAAGTGAGGTAATCCATATAAGTGCTTTGTGTTTAGTGAGTGCTCAGTGCTGGTAGATGGCTTTTTTATTAATCTATTCCTTCAACAGCATTTATGGAGCATGAAAGTGGCAGGCATGGTGGTAAGCTCTGGGAATGCAAAGCTGTAGAGAACAGGGTTTTTGCCCTCATGGAGTCCACAGTGAGGTTGTAGGGGAGAGATGAATCCACAGACAACACTAAAGCAAGGTAGATTTTGATCAGTAGTTCAGGAGAAGCATAGCTGTGGTGCACTTGGCTCTTAGAGGAGGGAAGATCAATTTCTGGTCTGGTTCCAGCCACTCTGCTCCAGGTGCTTAATGCATTGATTATACTTGTATGAAATACTTCAAGCATTTCTGAGAGTCAGCTCAGAGAGTTTGGATTAGGCAAAATAAATATAAGTCATAGCTGTGGCATCAAATATTCAGACTTTTAAGGAAATAAGCAGGCCAAATGATTAGGCAAGAGAACATTGTAGTTTATCCACTACCACCACCACCCCACCCCCCCGCCCCCCAGTCACTTCTTAAATTCAGCTTGGAGTGCTGGACCTCCCCCTGCCTAAGCACTTCATGCCTCTGGACCTCAGTTTCATCAGGAGTCAGGTGAGGGAGTTGTACTTCATGATGCAGCCCTGCCATTCTGAGTCTAAATGCCTCTTTCCCAACAAATTCAGTTCTACAAATAATATTGAGCACCCATGCTAGGAATACAAAGACATCCCAGGACCTGCGTGAAGGAATTTCTGAAGCTTGAGGTATAGACATAACATACACAAATATGACACAAGGCACACTATGACAAGTGTCTTGAGGGAAGTCTGAACAGAGTTTTGTGAGAGAGGAGTTGAAAGGGAGGGAATGTCACATCTGTAGCATAGAGAGCAGGCAAGGCTTAGTTTTCAGGAGGCACAGAGGATCTTAACCTGTACAGCAAGGAGGGGAAGGGTGTGCTGGAGGGAAGGGCTGGGGGATTAAAGAGGCAGAAAAGCTTGGGTCAGGGTTCTCTCAGTTGGCTTGGACTGGGGAAGCAATGGGAAGCATAGCAGGACAGAGCAGGTGGAGGCCTGGCAGGGGGAGGTCCTCTTCCGACCGCTGTTCCTAGTGTCTGTGTCCCTCGTTTGGCAGTTGGGCTCCAGTGCCATTTGATTCCTGGATTTAGTTGGTTCCATGCAAATGTTTATGAATGAATAAATGTGTGTTTAAGTCAAGCATGTGTGATCGATAATACAGTCTTTACCCTCCTACGAGCTCATTGCTGCTAGGGATTGGGTTCTATATTTAGTATACTTTGCGCATTAAAAGAATTCAGTAAACATTTGTTGATTGAGTGTTTAAAAAGTGCTAAGTTGGGCAGTCCAGTCATTATATCCTAAAATGAGGTATGGCCCCATAAGTCTGTGTTGCTTCTGTGAGGGTTTCCCTGACTTTGAAGTGCTCAAATAGTTCATGTTCTTGGATTTAGTGGTGGCACAGGTAGCAGATTTAAGTGCTTCTCATGCAAATACTCAGCTCAAATAAACATGTTTCCACTTCTATGATATTCTATAAGTCAGTGTTTTCTGTGAAGCAGGGAGCCCCCTGCATTAAATTCACCTGGGCAGGGAGGTGAGGTGTGGTGTGTGTGGGTCTTATTAAAATGCAAGTACCTGGGCCCCACTCTAATGCTGTGGAATCAGCCCAGCAATCTGCAGTTTAGTGTCAGGTGATTCCTAAATCTTGAGAACCACTGCATTAAGTCTGTAGGTAAATTTGATGGCTAAACTCCATGTCTGCTTCTTTCATTTTTTAGCCATTGACTGGGTTCAGATTGATGCCAATTCCTCAGTTCTTCATGATGAATTCATTGCTCACAGGCTTGGTGAGTACTCCTTTTACTAGGAGGTTAAAGGGAGGGTATTGTGCCTAGTGTCAGGAGGGGGCCTCCTTCCAGCCTCACCCCCAGAAGGCTTCTGGGTTCTCATTTTGGCTTGGCTGTTTGGTTTTCTTTAAAGTGCTTTTCTGTTTTTTACAGGATTAATTCCCCTCATTAGTGATGACATTGTGGACAAGCTGCAGTACTCTCGGGTATGTTGTGTGATTGGGTGGAATGTGAGGTTTGGTGGGGAGGCTTTGGTTCTCAAAGGGATTTTTCCTGACATTTGGCATCCAGCTTGAATACTGTTGTAGTTCTGGAACAACAACGTGGAGATGTTGTCTAGAGCCTGGGCAGGCCTTGGTCCTGCGTTCTGATGGGGCTTCAGATTGATTAGCACGCAGAACATCAGGGAGTGTTGTTAGGCAGCTCCACCACAGTGCCCATTTATACTTAGAGTGGAGGTTCTTCCTTCCAAAGCATCTCTTCCCAGTAGCAGGGGCCTTAGGATGCTACAGGAGTCAACAGAAGGTTGGGGTAGGCAAGGAGCAGAGGGAATGGGAGCTGTCTCACAAGAGCAGCTCCTGGGGGACTAGTCCTGGTGTCTGCAGATTCATGCTGTCCCCTCCCTCGCAGGTGATGCTGCTTAAACATGGCCACACTCTTAGTGTCTCACCCCCTTCCTCCTGGTCGTGTTTGCTCCCTGATGGCATGTTAACAGGCCTTCAGAGTTTGGAGAGAGTAGGATAGGAGTCGGTTACCTTCATCCTTTCACTAGGCTGCATTACACAGCAGCTTAAGGCTACTCCCTCTTGATGGCTTTGGGTGATCCAGAATCAGTCCATTTTCTAATATTCTCAAGGGCCATGTCATTTTTGTGATGGCTAATTTGATATATCTTATAAATATGTGTGTATTTTTAAAAAAGAAATATTCAGCTGGATGCAGTGGCTCACACCTGTAATCCCAGCACTTTGGGAGGCCGAGGCGGGTTTATCACGAGGTCAGGAGATCGAGACCATCCTGGCTGACACGGTGAAACCCTGTCTCTACTAAAAATACAAAATATTAGCCGAGCGTGGTCCCGCTCCCAAGTAGTCCCAGCTACTCGGGAGGCTGAGGCAGGAGAATGGCATGAACCCGGGAGGCGG
Source organism: Homo sapiens (assembly GCF_000001405.40). NCBI lineage: Eukaryota > Metazoa > Chordata > Mammalia > Primates > Hominidae > Homo > Homo sapiens. Next base: position 57,467,167 of record NC_000016.10, read on the forward strand.
AGCTTGCAGTGAGCCGAGATTGCGCCACTGCACTCCAGCCTGGGTGACAAAGTGAGACTCCGTCTCAAAAAAAAGAAATATTCAAGCACAGAAAAGCATGGAGCTAGTGTAATAAATACTCATGCTTCTACCTAATACTACGTTGTCACATTTTAACATTTTGCCCTATTTGTTTCAGATCTCCAGATTTTTGTTTTTTAATAAATAAAACATAGATATTGGTGGGGACCGTTGTACAACCAATTAAGAGCAATTTGGCGATATCTTACATAAAGATACGCATGCTCTATCACCTAGCAGTTCCTTTCATTAAAATTTTTTCTAGTATTTATTGCACAAAGATGGCATGGTCTGTCTCTCTCTCTCTCTGGCTTTTTCTGAAAATCTGTAGAAAAGTTGAAAAACTAAAATAATACCCTTTACTTTTCACCTATAGTTACCAATTAATATTTTACATTTGCTTTATTTTTCATATGCAAATTGTTATTTTTGCTGAACTGTGTGAAAGTTGCAGACATCCTAACACTTCCAAGTACTTCAGCATGCATTTCCTAATAAGAATAGTTTCCTACATAACTACACTTTCATTGTGCCTAAGAAAGTTAGCATTAATCTGTAATATCAATATTCAGATTTTCCTAGTTTTTCCCCAAATATCCTTTATTGTTTTTCTGTTTGTTTGTGGGTCAGTCTTGATCCAGTGAAGATTCATTTGGTCCTCATAGCACTTTAGTCTCTTTTCATCTCAAACAGACTCCTCTCCTTTCAGTACATTTTTTTTAGGTTAAATACCTTTTCATATTTTTATCTTCCATTACATTTTGATTCTCCCATTTCATATTTCTTTATTTTTCTATTTTTTCAGACAGGTCTCGCTCTGTCACCCAGGCTAGAGTGCAGTGGCATGATCTTGGCTCACTGCGACCTCAGCCTCTGGGCTCAAATGATTCTCCTGCTTCAGCCTCCCAAGTAGCTGGGACTACAGGTGCTGTGCACCACCACACCCAAAAAATACAATTTTTTTGTATTTTTTGTAGAGACAGTCTTGCCATATTGCCCAGGCTAGTCTCGAACTCTTGGGCTCAAGCGATCCTCCCACCTCAGCCTCCCAAAGTGCTGGGATTATAGGCATGAGCCACTGTGCCCAGCCCCATTTCATATTTCTAAAAGTGATTCTGTCTCAAGGGTCTGGGTTGCCTTCCTACCTCACCTGTGTGTGACTGCAGACGACCTAGGTGGGACCTCTAGCTGCTGCTTCTTCCTCAGCATGCAAACATCAAAAGAGTGTTGGGTTTTCCTCACTGGTGTGAGGGAGAGAACAGCTTGCTTGATTGCATCCTAGTAACTGTCTTCTTGCCTGAAGTGAAACTGCAATTAATAGTCCCTAACATGGGAATGAGTCAGTTGTTTTAAGAATGGCAAAATGTTAATAATTATGGAAGGTGGTTGATGGTTATGGGATGGCAGTTTCTTACGTGCTTCTCTATTTGTGTATATGTATGAAATTTTCCATAATAGAAAGGATTTTTTAGAAAAGGTTAGTGTAGAACTTGAAAGGTACTTTTTTCTGTTCCTTGGTGGTTTTATTTTAAATGATGGTTACATTCCCAAGCTGGTCCTCTTAGTTCTTGGGAAGCTGAACTATAGAGTGTGAAAGCATTCTCCTGTGCCTCATAGCCTTGGTTCTCTGAGGAAGAGTAGTTCAAGGGCCAGAGGGAGATGTTAGCAATATGTCCCCAGAGGTGGCCTGGCAGCTGGTGGGAGTGGGAAAGAAATGTGCGTGCCAGTGTATGTATAAGTTGTCTCTAAACTTGGGCAGTCCATGAGAATGGTATACCAGATTGTCACAGCCCACAAGAACCTGGATACTGATGAACCCCTTTTTACAGGTGAAGAAACTTAAGGAACTGGGCATTAGATGCAGGAAGCCAAGACAAGGAGCCAAGGCAGGAGTTGCCATCTCCCTTTGACTCATTCCTGCTTCCCTTCCTGCCTTAGGACTGCACATGTGAGGAGTTCTGCCCCGAGTGCTCGGTGGAGTTCACCCTCGATGTGCGGTGCAATGAAGACCAGACGCGACATGTCACGTCTCGAGACCTCATCTCCAACAGCCCCCGGGTCATTCCGGTCAGTGCGGGAGAGCATCCTCTTTTCCCTGGGATCTTTTCTCTTCTCTGGCTGGCTCCAAGTGGGCCAGACTGGGGTTGATCCTTAGAAAATGTTGGCTTTCCCTGTTACCCTCTGCCTTAATCTGATCCCTAGAAGTGCTAATTCTGGATTCCTCTTGGGCATCGTTAGCATCGTTGGTGCTGCGCACCCTCTATCACCCAGGGACTCTTTTAAAGGCCATGGAATTGTTTTGCCTGAGGCTACCACCACACCCTGAAGTGGGGGTTGGAGTCCTGGGGGCATCTGTGCCACCACCTCGTCAGGTGTTCGTTCCCTGGTTGACAGATTGCAGTCTAGAGGTGCTGGGATATGGATGCCAGAGGAGGTGACTGGGGAGGTGAGCAGCTAATGAATGCCTGGTGGACTCCCTACAGGTGACATCCCGGAACCGAGATAATGACCCCAATGACTACGTGGAGCAGGATGGTAAGTCTTCCTGACCTGTCACCGTGTGGGCCAGCGGGAAGGAGGGACCAGACACAGCCTCTCGTGCTGCCTGGTCTCCTCGAAAATTGGCTTTAGACCGTTTTTCCAGATGTGTGTGGTCTTGCAGTGGCACTCCAAGTCAGAATTTGGAGAAGCATGTCTCTCCTGGCCCTTGACTGACTTGTGCCTCTCCCTGCAGACATCCTCATCGTCAAGTTGAGAAAGGGCCAGGAGCTGAGACTTCGAGCCTATGCCAAAAAGGGCTTTGGCAAGGAGCATGCCAAGTGGAACCCTACTGCAGGGGTGGCTTTTGAATACGATCCAGACAATGCCCTGAGGCACACAGTGTACCCCAAGCCCGAGGAATGGTATGTTCCCCTTAGGAGTGATGGCAGGCATTTGGGGTGGGTGTGGCATAGAAATGGCTGTTGTTGACTGAGATGTGGCAGGCTCTCTAGGAACTTGGGTGCCCCAAAAGGAGCAGTGGCAACCTTGTGCTGACCTGTGTTTGACCTCAGGCCAAAGAGTGAGTACTCGGAGCTGGATGAGGATGAGTCGCAGGCTCCCTATGACCCCAACGGCAAGCCAGAAAGGTAAGAGCCTGGTTGGACATGGGAAGGTGAAGTGTGGAAGAAGGGATGGTTTTGGTTCAGGCCGTGAGTTAGGCATTCCCTCTCCCCCACCTCGCAGTTCTCATAAGCTGAGGAGGGGCTGCTGACTGCTAAACTAGACCTGTGGTATGTGCACATCCCAGGGGCAGGTCGTCAGCCCCTTTTGGTCACTGACAAAGAGGACCCTCCATTTATCCAGGTGGTTCCTGTTCTGATTTTCAGCCCCCAAAGAAGAGATTCTTCAGGTCAACGCTAGGGGCAGAGATTTGGACCCAAGTTCCACAGGGTGACTGTGAAAGGTCTATCACTGGTCACTGCTCACTTGGTTTTCCACTCTCTCCTCAGGGGGCATGCATACATACAGAACTTTAGGATTTTCACAGGTACCTTATGAGGTAGTTGTAGCCTCCTTGAGGTTGTGCAAAGTGTGTTGAAACTACCCTATGTAAGAGGTTTTACATGAAAGGAAGTTAGCCCTGGCCCAAGGTCAAGTTCCATGTGGGAACAGAGCCAAGACCCGGAAGGAGGAAGGGTTGTCCATGGCCAGAGCTCGGGTCGGCCAGCCTGCCTCGCAGTGCACTCACTGGACTCTTGCCTCCTAGGTTTTACTACAATGTGGAGTCCTGTGGCTCTCTGCGTCCTGAAACCATTGTCCTGTCAGCCCTCTCAGGATTGAAGAAGAAACTGAGTGATTTACAAACTCAATTAAGCCACGAGATCCAGAGTGATGTGCTAACCATAAATTAACTGCAGCTTGCCTGCTTCAGCAAAAACGGAGATTCAGGCCAGCAGCTGGATATGGGGGTCTCTCTTCAGACTCTTCTCGTTTCTGAGAATCTAGTCTACTGTTGGTTGAGCTTCTTGGCAGGACATCAGTACCAACTAGAAGTGGGTCATAGATAGATTACCAGGGATGCAGTGGTGTTTAGGCAGGATAGGTCTTTACTGGCCCTGACTGCTGTTAATAATTGGCAGCAGTGCTCCCCAGATCCCAGAAGGTCCCTGCTGGAGTGTTTCCAGTGCACCTGTAGGGAACCAACTAGACTTCTCTCCTGGTTAGTCCAGCTCTTTACTCTAAACCCTTTCTGTCCAAAATGAGTCATTTTCAGTTGTACCTTAGATGTCTGGTGTTGAGGATCAAGTGCCATAGCCTTTATTCAGGGGGCCTATAAACCCTTCCAGTTCTTGCCCCAGGGCTGGCCTGCTAGCGCTTCAAATTCCCAGGTGTCCCTAATTTGAGAAGTAACCTTTTGGAATAGCATTAGACCCTGGCTGTCCCCTCCCCACCAAATAAACATGATATTTCATTCTCTGTCCAGCAGTCATGAACCCCTTCACCTCCAATGACCTGATCATTTAGTTTGGTGGGGGTGGGGGTGGGGGTGGGGGTGGAAGCAGCCGCAGGAGCAAGGGCCCCTCCCACATACACAGGAGGAGTATTTCATTTCTCCTTAATGAAGGCTCTGGCCCTAACCCCTCAGCACTGTCTCCAGATAGGAACATGCACAAAGCAGTTAATTAGGCAGCCTGGAGAAAACCAGAGATCCAGTACAGAAAGGAAAGGATATTTATTGATTAACAGAAGTTGTCTTTTTAAAAGTGTTTATTTTTGGCAATAAAGAGCACAACATAATCTCCTTCATGCGTCATCGTGCCACTTAGCTGAGCCAGCCAGCTCTGCCTCCCTCCCCAAAGACCTTTGGACCCCAGTTCCCCTCTACAGGCTAGCTCATCCCTCTGGGTGGTCATTCCCCGGGTCACGTTGAGAGCGAGGCTGACTGCACCACCTCCCTAGCTCAAGGGCTCCTTTGGGAGGGGCCGCGTGCTTTATCATCCTCCTGCCACAACTCAAATAGTGGTTATTTACAAGAAGGTCTGTTCCCACAAATCAGGACCCTAAAGTATTAAAAAACAAAACCCAAAAAACAACAAAAAACCCCACACAACCAAAAGTTTGACGTGAATAGAAAGATAGCCCTTCTGCATGGTAGTCAACAAATACCAGCACTAGAAAATCAATTGCTTTAATTGCATTGCAGCAGGGAGCCTCAGCACCATGTGGGGAGGAGGAAATGGGAAGGTCTTGGTTTCAGAGTGCTTTTGGCTGGCCAGAGGGTGGCCAAACAGGGCAAGGGGGCTCCCTCTGCTTGGGCATTGTCCACCCCTGGTCAGTGAGAGGGGGGCAGCAGGGGTGCTCCCCACGGCAGTCCTGCTGCGGCCTTCCCTCCTGGCCTATTCCTGGGGCAGGAACAAGCTCCAGCCTTCCTCCACATGGCTGAGGTAATCAGCACCCCTACCCCAGGGGCATCTTCCCAGCCTACAAAGCAGGAAGGAGCCTGTGCAGAAGTTACATTTTAAAACCAGATTTTCACCTGAGGCGTCAACCAGATGTCACCTCTGCTTAAAACTCCAACTGCAAGGCTGGCAAGCAGCACAGAGGAAGTGCAGATCCTTCCTGTGTCACTCCAGGCCCAGAGGAACTGAGAAGCCACCTGCTGTTCCGGCCCTTGGGCTGTCTGGGAAAAGCCAGCAGTCAGAGTGCCAGCCTCAAGCTCTGATTATCCCCCTCCTGTGGCCCTGGTAGTTCAAGCAGGTCCTGGCAGCAGGAGGGCTGTGCCATGGAGGATGGACACGACTGCACTCATACTCAAAAACAGCCTTGACCGTGGCCTGGTCATGGGATTAAAAAATTTGTGTGTATTGGTGGGGAAGGATGGGGTGAGGGTGAGGGGATCTCATTGATACAGAGTATGTCATAAGCCATATATATTAAAATCATTAACAGTATATAGTCCCACGGTAGCTCCAACCCCTCACACATGCTCAGGTGGTGTGGCCAGCCCTTTGCCTCAGTCCAGCCTCATCCTTGGGGGCAAGGAGGGGGCAGCTTGCTCCCTTTCTCCAGGCTCTTGGCCGACAGCCCCCTGAGGCTGTCCACGGTACACTGCAGCCAGCCCCGCAGCAGGCAGCCCCCAGCAGTCATCGGTGCTCGCCAGCACTGTGGTCACTGGGATGGGGTCTTGGCCTCACTGCTGTCCCCCTGGCTGGGCTTTGGCTTTAGCAGGATGAATCTGTTGAGGAGGTCTGTTTCCGAGCTGGCCTGGGCTGCCCCATACCCCTCACCTGTGGGCACAGAAGCAGGCTCAGAACTCAGAGCTAGGTCAAAAGACCCCTGCCCAATAGGCCTCATCCTCCACAAAGCCTCCTGGCAGGTGGGTGTGGGGCATGGAAGCGACTCACCAGCATAGCTGGAGGCTTCGGCGATGTTCTGGGAACCAGTGATGTGGTGCCAGTAGGCACTGCGCGGCAGCATGGTCGTGGGTGTGCAGGGATACGAGTAATGTTCCGTGCCCTTGTTCAGCAGCTGTGGGGCAAAGGAAGGGGTCACTCCCATTAGTGGCTTACAGTATCCCTGAGCAGCCACCCCAAGACCCTACCTGCCTCCACTGTGTACCCCAGGCACTTGGCCCTGCCTGCCCGCCCGTTCCCCCCTCCCCCCGTACCCTGGACTGATGCCCGCTGCCTCACCCTCACGTTCTTCTCCATTTCCAGCAGGACCCGCTTGTGCTGCTCTGCGATGGCCAGGGTGGCACTGTGGACGCGCTGGTAAATCTGCTCCCCCTCTTGTGTCTGGAAGGTATAGAGTCCTTCCCCAGCATCACACATCCTGGGGACACAGCACAGAGGGCAAGATGGTGGGGACCCACCACAGACATGCATGTGATTAGTTAGGCTCTCTTGCAACTGCAAGTTGTGGTTGCATTCCAGGCCGGGAGGACAGGTAGGGCTGTGGTCTGGGGGTCCGACCACACGGTGCAAATGTGCTGAGCATATTCTATACCAGCTGGTGCTTGAAATGCATTATAAGAATTAACCCATTCAGTTTTCTCTACCACCTCCCTCTGGTCTCTGTACCATTAATGGTTTCCTCATTGTTATGCATTTTCCCAAACCATTTTATAGATGAGGAAACTGAGGCATACAGAAGCTAAGTAACTCAACCAAGGTTCTGCAGAGGATTATATGGAATTTCAGTCTAGGCAGACTGACTCCAGAGTTCAAGTGAGGGGATACCCAGTCTTCACTATAATTCTAGGAGGTTAGGTACTTTATTATCCCCGAAACCCAGACTCAGATCCACAGTCACAGAAGTAGTAAGTGCCTGAACCTGCATTTGACTTAAGCCAAAGTAGTATATGATTTTTGGTAAATAGCTTCACTTGACCTGCATGCTGTGGGCAAGTTACTCCTCTAAGCCTCCATTTCATTTCTTCGTCTGTAAAATGGGAACATTACATTCCCCCTTGGGATTGCTAGGCCAATAAGTAAACCAAGCTCCTAGCACAGTGCCCAACACAGAGTGAATGGCAGCCACCATCACACCATAGTAGGACAGGGCTGGGAGGCGAGAGGGTCCTACCGGCCAGCCTCGAAGGTAAAGCGTGTGGCATCCCGGCCATAGCGGCGCAGTGAGCAGAGGGGCCACGAGACGAGCTTCACACGGGGGTTGTGGATGTCCCAGAGGTAGATGTTCTCGTGGGTGATCTGCAGCTTGCACTCGCCATACACGTCCAGGTTGGGGCAGGGCAGCAGGAAGACATTGAAGCGATCTGGAGTGGGGGAGGGTGGACAAGTGGGACCAGAGTTGCCCCAGATGGGGACTTCCTCCCTCCCTTCCTCTCTTCCTCCTCCCCCTCCCCACCCCCAGGGCCAGGGCCCGGCCTCACCTGTCTGTTCACACTGCACCCCTGGGGCCAGGAGGTCAGGTTCTCCCAGACTGATGTCGTTGAGGCGGGACCCCAGACACTCCACAGATAGTGTCTTGTACCACTCCTCTGCCTCTAGCTCTGAAGAAAATGCTACTTCATCATGCAGCTCCAGAGCCCGGTAGCCCACCCCGTCTGCCCAGCCTGACTTATGCCACCATGCACAGCAGGGAGGGTAAGGACAGTGGGTTCTGCCTGCCTGTCTTGCCTCAACCCTGAGGGCCTGCTCCCTGAAAGCACCCCCAACCCCACACACACCACACCACCATCTCCACCCAGGGTTAGCCCTGCTCTGCCCGCTCCTAGCTGGACCTCTGACCAAGACCACCCCAGGGGAGGCAGATGGAGGCCCATACTCGCGCCTCACCTGAGTCGCAGGTGAAGGTACGTGCCGAGTCATCAGTGAATATGATGGCCACCGCCTGCCGCTTGGTCTCCTTGGGGAGCCGCGTAACACACTTGACGTTGCTGATCTCAGTCACCTGGGACAGCATCCACAAGGGACTTAGCCAGGCCAGTGCATCTCTCTCTCTCTCTCTCTCTCTCTCTCTCTCTCTCCCTCCCTCCCTCTCTCCCCCCTCCTCCTTCTCTCTCCTCCTCTCCCTCTCTCCCCCTTTCTCCCCTCTCTCCCTCTCTCCCCTCTCTCCCTCTCTCTCTCTCCATCCCCCACAGCCCTGCCACTTGGGGGAGCTAGGGCCCAGGCCTCCTAACCTTGGGGCAGCCCCGGAGGCACACCGACTTCTCATCTGGATACTTCTCCAGCCGCTGGGGCCCCTTGCTGGAGGATTTCCGGAACACCAGCCAGCACCTCCGGTAGATCTGTGGAGCGAGATGACAGGGCTCAGGCCTCCCTGGACCACTCCCACCCCACCAGCATGGCCCTGCAGCCACCCCTGCCTGCCACAGGGGGCGGTGCCGCACAGCCTTCCCTGGAGCCCCAGCCTGGGGACACCGGGGGTGGGAGTCACCAGCAGTGTCACCTCCCTGGGAGAGAAGCCTCCTCCCCAAATTGAAAAGTCATTGACTTCTTGGCTGGCTCCAAAACGCTGTTCCACAAAGGGTGCTCTCCTGACCTGCCATGTACTGTGTGCACCGCTGAGTTTAGTGTGAGTAGCCAACGTTCCTGAGTGCTTCCTGCTCACACCTGTTATTAGCACTGTGCACAGTCTCAGGGCCACTCCTGAGATCAGTTCTGTTATCATCCCCATTTTATAGATGGGGAAAGGGAGGCATCAAAACACTAAGGAATGGTGATGCTGGTATTTGCAGCAGGCTGTCTAGATCCAGGGCAGACCCTCACAGCCCACTGCAGGATCTGGCCAGGGCTCAGGCAGTGCCAGCCACAACAGAGGGGTCTCCTGGGGATAGGGATTAGACCCTTCCCCCTGCCCACCTGTACATCCCCGTGCCCCTAGTTCTCTGAGTCAGGTGAGGGTCTTTACAAAGGTAACCCCCACTCTTGTCTCCTGGGGCTTTCACTCACCCTCTCTTTTCATTCTCTTACCAACCCTGAAATGTAAGGGGCCCTGCTCCAGCTGGGAACCCAAAGCTGTTTGAGGTAAAGGGGTGGAGCTAGGAATCTGAGGCTCCTCCCACAGCATGGTGCCTTCCCTCCTGGCCCTGGCCACTGCTGATGCCCCTGTACCTTAAACTACCTACATTCTCTGTAGCTTCAGGGACTCCCCCAAGGGGGTGGGGAGCAGAGGGGAGTGACCACTCTAGGATTGAAGGGACAGACTGGCCTATCATTCATGGGTGGTGGAGAGGGAGTTGGCCCCAGCCACCAGCCAGAGCTGCCCTTGCATGACCCCTCCCTCCTGCCTAGACTTTTTTCTGCCCAAAGTCTGTGGCTGGGGTTTACCTACTCCTTCCAGCGGGCATTCCAAAAGCCCGACAGAGCCTGTTCCCCAGGCATCTCTGGTGTTCCTCTTACTGGAAACAGTAGGGAGACTGAGTGGTGGCCGAGAGCACAGCAGAGGAGGCCAGGGGGCCTCTAGGCCCCACCCCTCCTCGGCCCTACTGTGCCATGCGTACACTAGGTCCTTGGCAGGCAGGGTCCCAGGGTGCAGTGGCCCTAGGCAGCCCCCATTTCAAGATACCACTCAGAGCCAGGCCATTTCTGGCTCCTATCTGGGACCCTAGGAGGCATGTCTGCTCCTGCACCCCTGACCCTGGCTTGGCCCCTGTCCTACCCACCTAAACCACAGCAGCCCTCAGCTCTCAGCTGCAGCGCTCCCTTAAGACAGACACTGAATTTTATCCACAGAATCCTCACTCATATCCTGGTAGCCTCATTAACAGCCATGCTAAACAAGTGAATGACCATATGAAGGAACCGTGAATGAATGGATGGATGAATGGATGGATGCTGCCGACCCAGATACACCCTGCCAGGGTGGGCTCCATGCAGCCCGCAGCATCAGGGGCAGAAGGCCTGGGGGCCTGAGCATGCCGGTTGCCTGGTTACAGGATACACATTCACAGCCCCAGGGAGCCACGCGCTCAAGAGCCCTCCTTCCCACTTCGCACAGGGCTTTGATCAGTGCTTCAGAAACACTCTGCCACAGCTCTGCCGCGGGAGAAAGGCCCTGGCAGGTAGGAGAGCCGGCTCCTGATCTCTTTCAGCCCCTCCCCCCTCACCTCTGTGGGCTGAGATGAGAATGGCTGCTGGGGAGGGACCACAGCCTCTCACACCAGGGGAAGTGAGGCTCCTGGCTTCAGAGGGAAGAGAATTCCCTGCATGGATAGGGCCTGGCTATGCCCCACCTCCCCATCCAGGCTGTGCCCACCTGTCAGCCACTCAGTCTCCCTCTGGAACAGGTTTGATACTGAGCCCAAGTGGCTGCCCTTGTGGCTGGTGCCTTCCTGGCACACTCTGCCCTGGGCAAGGCCTCAGCCCAGCTGGCCCCTGGGGACCTGCTAAGTCTGGGGCCATAGGAATGAGAAGTGATGTTAGAAGCGAAGCCTCTGCTTCCTTGGCCTCCCTACCTCAGCCTCAGCTTCTCTCTTTGTTCTGTGCTCCAAGTCAGTGGGCTGATCCCCCTTTCAGAGGAAGAGCAAAGTAGCCGATGGCTGCCAGGGCCCAGTCTCAACTAGGTTGAGCCCCAGGGCAGGGAGGCACAGGAGGGGAAGTGGGGCCAGAACCACCTTCTCCAAGACCAGCCCTGCTCTGTCTGGTACCCAGGTAGGGAAGCTGGGTGGCAGATCCCTCTCCCACTCCGCATGCCCCCCAACCCCACTCAGGCTGAGCCAGGGATCCTTGAGCAGCCTGAGCCGACCCGCCCCCTTCAAGGCAATGGGAGAGAGAAGGGAGAAGGGGACAGGAGTCCTGGGTCAAACACAAGACTTGGGTGACCTCAGTCACCAGGGCTGTCCTTCCTACAGGGGAAGGGGCAACTGCCAGACCTGTCTTTGGCAGGGGGGCCTGGCAGAGGAATAGAGGCAGCTCTCAGACAGCCTCGCCGAGATCATGAAGTTGATCCCCTCTGCTCCTGTCTTCTAGGGGGTCTTCACCAGTTGGGGGTCTACAGAGGGTAGGACAGGATGCATGCCCAGTAAGACCTCTTCTCTGTAGCCCCTCCAAGCCCCCAGTTCAGGGCCAAGCACCAAGCAAGCACAGAGTCACCCACCAACAACTTGGAGGGAAGCAGCCTGTCCCAGAGCACTGGACCATTCTGCCCAAAGTTCTCATTTGGAAACCACATAAATATCAGCTTCAGTGCCTCACACCACCCCGTCTCGCCCAGCCAACCACTCCCCTTTTCAAACACTTCTTTAACATTAAACTCGACAACCAAAAATTTACTAAATATCTGCACACGGAAAGCAGTCAGAAGCAAGGGGAGAGGATGACCTAAAAGAAAAGAGGCCAGGAGAGGTGAGGGGAGGCCGGGGGTGGGGGGCAAACGGAAGGGAGAGGAGGCCAGGGGAAGTGAGACGCTGCTTCTCAGCTCAGACACAGCCCGGCCTTGCCAGCCGCCCCTGCTGCTGCTGTGGTGACAACTTCAACAATAGCAGGGGAGCCGCCTGCCCATCGGTGGCCACCATTGCTGCCACTACCACCACCACTGGCCCAGCTGTTGGGATGCCAGCCAGCCCTCTGGGGCGGGGGCTGCAGCAGGCAGAACCCAGCCCAGGCACATGCCAGGCAGCACGCTGGCGAGGAGCCCCGAGACCACAGATGCACGATGCCCGGCAGCCGGAGGGCAGCCGCGTGCCCCACGCGCCATGCCTCCAAGCCTGGGACCGAGTCCTCGGGCCCCCATCCCTTGGCAGGGCCCCTCCGCAGCTCAGGGTCACTCACCCCGAGCTTCCTGCTCTTCATCTTCACGTAGCCTTGCTTGACGATGTCACTGAAATTGGTCGCCATGGTTTTCCCACCTTTTAGGGGCGCGGGGCCTGGCAGAGGCGAGGGGAAGGATGCCCAGGTGCCTGGGTCTCCGGCTCCTCCAATCACCTGTTCCAGACACTCTGTCGGGGCTGCCGCGAGGGGCTGCTCCTCACCTCACCCGCCTCAGCATTGTTCTAGCAGCTCCTTCGCCCCGCGCCTGCTGGAAATAAAAATGACAGGGAGATTAGAGACAGTGACATCTTTCTCTTCCTCTCGCTGTCTCGCTCTCTTTTTTCCTTCCTCTTCCCACACTCCTCCTCTCTCCCTCTTCCCTCCCTCCTTCCTCCCGCCCTTCTTCCTTCCCTTCCCTCCCCACCCCAGGACGACAGAACCATTCAGGAAAACCGAGGTGGAGGCGGCAGTGAGGAAAATGGTCCAGCCCAGTCCCCTCCCTCACGGCTGGGGCTGGCAGTTAACCCCTTCCTGGGAGGACTGGCTCTGGCTCCTACTGTGGAGGTGGGGACCCAGGAAGGGAAGTGGCAGGGAGCTGCTGTCCCTCAGCACTTTGGGATCGTGGCCCCATCAACTGTGATAACTCTGGTGCAAATTTAGGTCAACTTGCCAAGAGCAAAAGCCCCTTCCTGGGTACAAGAGCTCCCAGGGGTAGCAGGGAAGCGCTTCCCAGAGATGGAGGAGGAGGGTCGCAGGAGATGACCCCTGCGTGTCTGAGTGAACCCCATGCTCTGCAATGTTAAAGACAATTTGCCTGGTCAGCTCAGCAGCCCCCACAAACCCCTCTACCCTCCTGCCCCACCCGGTCCTCTACCTGTTTCTCTCCAGCCCCAGGCTAAGAATCACTACCTCGAGCTCACGCAGGGCCTGTTCCCAGGCCCTGCAACTCTTCCGCACGCAGCTCTGGGTGCTGCTTCCTGGGTGGGAGGGCAGAGTCCAGTGGGGCGGGCCTCCAGATAAGCCTGAGGAATGTGCTGGGCCGGCTGGAGGTAGCCACTGTGGGAGCAGACGCCTTGCCCTGGCCCTGGGGTTGGGAACGCTGGCCAGTCCGTGAGGGTGGGGCCCGGGCCCCAACAGGCCACTGGGTCTGGCCAAGCCAAGCAGGCCCTCCATGTCCTGAGCATGGGCAGGAGTTAATTATAGGAGTACCAGTCAGGGCCCTGGGGCAACAAGACATGCAGGAGACAATGTGGGATACCAAGGGGAGGTAGATATGGAGCAGGAAGTGGGAGTACCAGCAGAGCCACCCCAAATCAGGCAGATCTACAGACAACAAAGACTCAGACTCAGGGGGAGGCTCAGTGTTGACCCAGTCTAACCCCTTCATTTTATAGATGGAGAAAGAAAAGTTGCCCAGAGAGGGTAAGCTACATGACTAAGGTCACACAGCAGGCCTGGGGCAGAGCCAGGGATGAAGGAGAAGGTCCAGGGTGGTGATGGAGACCAGTCTGTGGGGGGAACATCCTGCTGCCGTCTCTGGCTGCCTGCCACCACCTAAGCCTTCCCTGCCATCCATCCTCGGGGGCAGGGTTATGCCAGCAATGTGGCCCCTGTGTCTTCAGGATCAGCGGGTGGGAACGGAGCAGCATTTCTGGGGTCAGCTGGGTATCTGTGCTGCCAGAACGGGGCCCTGGGACAGGCATGCTGCTGGTTGTGCCAGCAGCTTGGCATTAATTAATGTCCTGGAGGCCTGTCTGTTGAGTGCCTAACAAGGAACAGATGGGACTACCCCAGTGGGCACACGCACAGATGGGACTACCCCAGTGGGCACACGCAAACAAGGGAGGGGCAGAGACGGTAATGCGCCCCTATCCCACTTGCACCCTGATAGCCCCTCAATTCCACTCCTGCCCATTCACTGCCTCTATCCCAGCTCCCTGGGGTCCAAGAACCTCCCACAGTTAGGCAGTCTACATTCCTCCTATAAGGTCTGGTCTGGGGTCCCCTCACTGGCAACTGATCCCCAACAGCTCTGCTACACCTGGGCTCTGGCAGCCAGAGATGGGTCAATTTTCTCAGCTCTGTCTTCACCGCCTGCCTCTGGGGCTGCCTTCTCCTCAGAGCAAGGACCAGCTCAGGAGTTCCTCTCCAAGATGATTAGCAGGCTGACCACTGGCTGTGGGTCTACAGTGTGGAAGCCCCCAGTCAGAACACGCCTACAGGAAGCCACTGGACCCCCAGGTTCATCCAACATAGCTCAGACATAGCACAGCCCGGAGTGTGAATCCAGCTGGCTGTGTGGTCCTGGGCAAGCCGCTTAAGACCCTGTGCCTTAATTTCCCCATTGGAAAAAAATGAGAATAAATCTACCTACTTTAAATGAGGAAATGAATTCATGAGGCACCTGCTTGCCCACTTGGGACACAGAGCTTCTACCCTTTTTCTTTTTCTTTTTCTTTTTTGAGACGGAGTCTCCCTCTGTCGCCCAGGCTGGAGTGCAGCGGCGCGATCTCGGCTCACTGCAACCTCTGCCTCCTGGGTTCACGCCATTCTCCTGCCTCGGCTTCCCGAGTAGCTGGAACTACAGGCTCCCACCACCATGCTCGGCTAATTTTCGGTATTTTTAGTAGAGACGGGGTTTCACCGTGTTAGCCAGGATGGTCTCGATCTCCTGACCTCATGATCCGCCCGCCTCGGCCTCCCAAAGTGCTGGGATTACAGGCGTGAGCCACTGCGCCCGGCCTTCTTTTTCTTCTTTTGAGACAGTGTCCTGCTCTGTCACCCAGGCTGGAGTGCAGGGGTGCCATCACGGCTTACGGCAGCCTCAACCACCCAGGCTCAAGTGATCCACCCACCTCAGCCTCCTGAATAGCTGGGACCGCAGGTACATACCACCATGCCCAGCTAATTTTTAAAAACTTGTTTGTAGAGATGGGGCTTTTGTTTTTTTTTTTTTTTTTTTTTGAGACGGAGTCTCACTCTATTGCCCAGGCTGGAGTGCAGTGGCCCAATCTCGGCTCATTGCAAGCTCCGCCTCCCGGGTTCACGCCATTCTCCTTCCTCAGCCTCCCGAGTAGCTGGGACTACAGGAGCCCACCACCATACCCGGCTAATTGTTTCATATTTTTAGTAAAGACGGGGTTTCACCGTGTTAGCCAGGATGGTCTCGATCTCCTGACCTTGTGATCCACCCGCCTCGGCCTTCCAACGTTCTGGGATTACAGGCGTGAGCCACTGCGCCCGGCCCCTAGAGATGGGTTTTCACCATGTTGCCCAGGCTGGTCTTGAACTCCTGGGGTCAAGTGATCCACAAGGCTCGGCCTCCCTGAGTGCTGAGATTACAGGTGTGAGCAACTGCGCCTGGCCAGAGCTTCTGCCTTGAAAACTCCAAGGGCTGTGTGTATGTATATATATATAGTTTTCTTCAAGAGTTGCTGCCCAGACAGGGCGGTGAAACCACCAGAAGCCAGCCTGCTCCTTCCCAGTGTTGCCCCACCAGGGACTGTGGCCCCAAGCTCGCAGGAGTGCTCCTGCTGCGTCTGTCCATAGGCCCCACCCCGTCCCATACCCCAGGTCCCCAGCGGGAAGAGTGACCTTCACGGGGAAGGCTGGGTGCCAAAGTCCTGCCAGCTCACTCCGGCCCTGAGTCACAGGGACCCCTGGCCACACTTAGTCCCTAATGATGTTTGCAAGAGCAAGACCTAACCTAGGACCCAAAATGGTGGGCAAAGAGGGGTTCGGAAGGGGAGGGAAAGGTCAGGGCCAATAGGTGGACCCACAAATTTGACAGGCAGTGGGGTCAAGTGGTGAGGGGGGGGCCCAGAACCAACCCACCATCCTCCAGAAGGAATGCACTGTGTTAAGCAAGCGAGGCGGCCCCCAAGCTGAGCCTGTGAAGGCCCAATAGGACAGCAAGAAGTGGAGAGCAGACCAGGCACAGTGGCTCACACCTGTAATCCCAACACTTTGGGAGGCCAAAGTGGGAGGATCACTTGGGGCCAGGAGTTCAAGACCAGATCCGGCAACATAGAGAGACCCCGTCTCTACAAAAAATGAAAAAATAAGCTGGGCATGTGGCACGTGCCTGTAGTCACAGCTACTGGGGAGGCCGAGGTGGGAGGATCACTTGAGCTCAGGAATTCCAGGTAGCAGTGAGCTATGATCAAGCCACTGCACTCCAGCCTGGGTGATAGAGTGAGACTGTTTCTAAAAAATTTCAAAAAAATCAATTAAAAAAATACAAAAATTGGAGGGCAGCTGAGGCTAGGCAGGCCAGGAATTGGGTTGAAGTAGCCCCTGCCCTGTTTGTCCCTCAGGCCCTTGTCCCCAACAGGCCTGCAGCAGGAAGAATGCTTGCTACTTTGAGAGGACCTGAGGTCTTGGGTCCTTCCCCAGCACTGTGAGCTCCGAGCTCCCAGCTAAGCACGGTGTCCAGCAGTCGCTCTCAGGGTTCCAGTGAGGGAGGAGGGGAGCAAGGGCCCCCCGCATCCCACCTCCCAGCCTGGTACCAATACTGCTGCTTACCCAGGGACAGTACCTGCCTGGTGCCAGGCCACCACAGGTTTCCGCGCAGGGAGAGCCAGCTCCAAAATGCTCCTCTCCCCAGGAAGGGCTGGTGTCCTGGGGTGGCGGGGAGTAGGGAGACTCCCAGGGCCCTCACTGCCCACCTGCCCCACAGGGCAGCCATGCTGAGCACTCCCTCTCGCACATGGATTCTGCCTGGAGGCTTTGGCTCCAGAACAAACGCGCTGAGGCTGGCAACCAATGACTGAGCGAGCGGCTGCCTGCCTGGCTGGGCCTCCCCACCCCTGACAGATCGGATCTTATCAGGGCTGCAGGAACAGCCCTACCTGGACACCATCTCAGTGTCGTCTGGCTGTCTCGATCCAACGGCGAAGATTGGATCTGTGGGATTCTCTCCAGCACCAGAGCCATTTCCCATCACCTGCTGCTCTGCCCCCACCCCACCCCAAGATTGTTGTCAGAGGCCGGCTGGGAGTGCTCCCAACAGATCCCCATAGGGGCCACCGGCCAAAACATGGTGAGTCCCATCAAGGTGGATGGCAAAGACAGACCAAATACCCATCTAGGCAGACAGGGACGGCAGAAGGAGGGGACATCTGAACAGCCATGGTCCCCCAGACCCTTAAGCCAGGAGAGTAATGCTGTGGCCCCGTACCACTCTGGTTCTCCTGGGTCCCCTGCCCACCCCTCAACATGCCAAAACCCCTCCCTCGAGGGACCACTGCACTAGCTGTTTCCCACCTACAACATTGTTCCCTCACATGCTCATGGTTCATTCCATTGCTTCATCCACCTCCTCCAGGAGGCCTTCCCTGACTACCCTCACCAAAGGACCCCCACTAGTCAGCCTCTCTCACAACATCAGATGCGGCTGTCTTCATCGCACATCACCATGGGATTTTCTTGTTCTTACATCTGTCCATTTGTTTCTGGCCACAGAGAGACATCTGGAATGTCAGCTCCCTGGTGGCTCGGCCTCGTCTGTCTAGTTAACAGCTCTATCCCAGCTCCCAGAATGGTGCCCGGTGGGAAGGAGATGCTCAATATTTGGGGGCTGAACACGTAATTCTCTCCAGGACTTGTCCTCCTCCCCATCCTTTCTTCCACCACCACCAGCCTCCATCTGGCTGGACCTGGCTCAGCTTCCAGAGGTGCGTGAGCCACAGTGGGCTCCCAGCTCCTGGGTCTCAGCGCTGACTGGCATGGCCAGCAGGCTGTTGTTACTGGAGAACCAGCTGTGCCCAAGACCCGCAGTTTGGTTCAGAGCTGCCTCAGGGAAGAGCATGCTGCTGACATCGAGGCCAGGCCTAGTTGGGCGGCCCCACCTTGGCCAGGGTTGTGGGGTGAGGTCATGCCCAGCCCTGCTGCCCTGCCCAGGAGGGAAGTGCTGGGAGTAACCAGTACCAGCACAGCAAGGCAAGCAACTGGGGAGAGGAGGCACAGCTCCTGGGATCAGAGTTGGGGGTGGGGGCAGGAAGAGCCTGTACCAGCGCCACATCCCTCTGAAAGGGTCCAGGAAAGAACCTGCCCTAAGCAAGCCCACCTCACACTGCCCAAGTGGAGTCTCCTAGAGATACTGCCAGGCCCCTCGCTGCCCTGGCCATCAGACCCCTCCAACCCACACCCTCCATCCAAGCGGAAGCGCCCCAGCAACTGACGTGTCCCCATGGCTTGGGGCAGGCAGGCTGCACAGAGCCCCTGCTCTGCCACATCACCCAGGTGCCCAGCCTCGGCTCATGCCCCTTTTCAGTAATAGAAAGCATGTAACTGGATCTAGGGCCTTGCGGGCCCTGGGGGAGAAGGTGGACAGGACCTTGGGGGCCAATGGAGAAAGGTTCAAGGACAGGAGGCAGCTGGCCATGAGTTTGGGCTGTGGGGAGAAACCCCATAGGCAGGAGGGGGTCGGCAGTGGGGGCCAGCTGGGGTACAGAAAATCATCTCTTGGAATTTGGAGGAGGTGAGCGAACAGGAGGCCCCGGGGAGGAGCAGGAAGGCAGAGAGAAGGTTGGGAGCTGCCAGGGGCTGGGTTATGCCCCTTCCGGGGGGGCAGGCCCGGGAGCGCAGGGCCTGGGTTGCTCGGATGAGGTTTGTGTGGGTGCGGGTGAGGTCAGCTCGCGACCTGGGCTCCCCCGGAGAGGAAAGCTGCGGGTGGAGAGAGCGCAGGGAGTTTCAGGGCCCAGGCACTGGCTTTTGGGGGGCGGGTCTCTAAGCTCCCCACCCGAGAGTAGGAAGGTCCCATGGGACGGAGCGTCCTCAGGTTCAGGAAGTGACTGAGGGTCCTCAGGGGTGGGAGTCGCCGAGACTCTTGCAGGCTCTGGGCGGCCTATGTCCCCCTCCCTGCCTCACGCCCCCCAATTTACCTGGGCGCCGAGGCCCGGGCCAGGAGCGCCTGCTCAGCGGCGCCGCGGAGCAGGCTCATGCCCGCGTCACGGCGCGGCTGGCGGGGGCGGCAGGGCGGCGGCGGCGCCGGGCTCCAGGCGGGGACGGCGAGGGAGGCGCGGCCGCAGGGCTAGGGATCGGGCTCCGGCTGGGGCTCCGGCTGGGACTCCGCTCCGCTCCCCCCTCCGCCAGGTCTCGCCGCTGCGCCCCGCCCCCTGCCCCGCCCTGGCGGCCGGCCCCCGCCGTATTCCTCCGAGCCGCGGGACGCGCGATTCTGCCCTGGCGCCCTGGCACCCCCGCACCCGCTTCAGGTCGCCCCCGGTACCCCCAGCTCATTCCCACCGCCCCTCCCTGGGCCCCAAAGCCCACATGGCCTCTCAGCCCCTGAAAGCTGAACTCCACATCAGCTCCCAGCCCCCACATCTCAACCCCTTCACTTCTTCAGGAATCACATACACACCCATACGCCACATCAGCTCCCAGCCCCCATATCTCAATTCCTTCACTTCTTCAGGAATCACATACACACCCATTGCTCCCCTAACCCCATCATGACTCTCTGGGCCCTCACAGCCCAGCTCTCCCAGCCCCACAGTGACCTCCTCTGCTACCCCTCCTCAAGTAGCCGCACCAGCACCTCTGTCTTCCCTGGTCTCCTCTCCACCCTCAAAACATCCAGTTCTCCCATTCTAGGTCCCCCTGAGACTTTGCCCTCAAGCTCAAACTTCATTCCCCTTCATTGCTGCCCCCACCCAGCCCCCAACCCCCTCACCTCTGCCCTTCGGGCCTGTGCAGTGGTTGACTCACTGATCTGTCGGAATCCCCAGTCACAGGCCTCAGCTGTGCCAGGCAGGGACAAGAGAAGTTGCCCAGTGCCTCCTCTGGGGAGGAGCTGTCCCCCCTCTGGTTTTCACGTCTGTACCTTTTTACACCAGGGCTTCTCAAAGTGTAGTCCCTGGACCAGAAGCTTCCCATCACCTTGAAACTTGTTAGAAATGCAAATTCCCTGCCCTACTCAGACCTATGAAATCAGAATTTTTGGGGGTTTCCAGCAGAAATGTGTGTTTTAACAGGCCAGGTGATTCTGATGCACACGAATGTGTGAGAACCACTGCTTTAGACCATATATACAAAACAAAACAATAGGCCACCTGAACAGCCAAAATCCTGAGAAATGAAAATACCTCCACATCCAGCTACTGTCCAGGTGTCTCAGAGGAATAGGCCTAAAGCAGTGAGGGACCAAGGATCCCAACACCCACCCATGGAATGCATGCCCCTGCCCCGGAGACGCCTGGGCCTCAGCCTTGCCCAGGGAGCTTAAAAGGAGGCTGCCTCTGGATGTCTGAAAATTTCCCTGATGGTCATTGTGGTGTCTGTGATCAGCCTGAGCTAACCAGCCCCAGGCCCATGGCCAAGCTAGCCTGGGCCTCAACCTCCTGACCTCCCTATGCGTCTTTCAAACTTGACCTCACCTGCTTTGCTTCAAACCACAGCCCCTAAAGCTCCCAGCACTTGATTCATCATAGCAAACTGTTTTTCAACACCAGAAACCTCTAGGGGAGCTTTGGCCAACAACAACAACACAAATGAATTTTCACAATAAAAAGCCTTCTTTTTTTGTTACTGAGGCTGGAGTGCAGTGGTGTGATCTCAGCTCACTGCAACCTCTGCCTCGGGGCTTAAGTGATCCTCCCTGCTCAGGCTCCTCAGTAGCTGGGTCTACAGGTGTGCACCACCACGCCTAGCTAATTTTTTGGATTTTTTTGTAGAGACAGGGTTTCACCATGCTGCCCAGGCTGGTCACAAACTCCTGAGCTCAAGCAATCCACCTGCTTCGGCCTCCCAAGGTGCTGGGATTACAGGCATGAGCCACTGCACCCCATGTGATGATTTGCTTTTTTACTGTTGAATTTCGAGAGTTGTATATTCTACCTACTAGTCCTTTGTTGAATATGTGGTTTGCAAATATTTTCTCCCAGTTTTTGGCTTGTCTTTTCATCCACTTAACAGAGTCTTTCACAAAACAAAAGTTTTAAATTTCGATAAAGTCTGAATTATCCATGTTTCCTTTTATGGATCACACTTTTGTTGCCTAATCTAAAAACTCTTTGAATTTTCTCCTGTGTTTTATTCTGAAAGTTCCATAATTTTATTTTACATTTAAGTCTGTGATCCATTTTGAGTTGAATTTTATAGGAAGTGTGAGATTTGATAGAGGTTTTGATGTCTTTTTTTGGTTTAGGTTTGATTTCATTTTTTTTTTTTTTTGCCTGTGGATGTCTGATTGTTCTAGCTCTATTTGGTGAAAAGACTCTCATTGAATTGCTTTTGCAACTTCGTAAAAAATCAGTTGGACATATTTCTGGATTCTCTGTTCTATTTCACTGATCTGCATGTCTATCTCTCTGTTAATAACAGTCTTGATTACTATGCCTATATAGTAAGTCTTAAGGCCAGGAGCAGTGGCTCATGCCTATAATGCCAGTACTTTGGGAGGCCAAGGCGGATGGATTACTGGAGGTCAGGAGTTCAAGACCAGCCTGGCCAACATGGTGAAACCCCATCTCTACTAAAAATACAAAATTAGCTGGGTGTGGTGGCGTGTGCTCGGGAGGCTGAGGCAGGAGAATCGCTTGAACCTGGGAGGCAGAGGTTGCAGTGAGCCAAGATCGCGCCATTGCACTCCAGCCTGGGCAAAAAGAGTGGAACTCTGTCTCAAAAAAAAAAGTCTTAAAATCAGGTAGACCAGTGGTCCCCAACTTTTTGGCACCACAGACAGTTTCATAGAAGATAATTTTTCCATGGATGTTGTGGGAGTGTTTTCAGCATGATTCAAGCACAATACCTTTATTGTGCACTTTATTTCTATTATGATTACATTGTAATATATAATTAAATAATTACACAACTCACCATAATGTAGAATCAGCGGGAGCCCTGAGCTTGTTTTCCTGCAATTAGACAGTCCCATCTGGGGGTGATGGGAGACAGTGACAGATCATCAGGCATTAGATTCTCATAAAGAGCCTATGACCTAGATCCCTCGCATGCACAGTTCACAATAGGGTTTTGTTCCTATGAGAATCTAATGCTGCTGCTGGTCTGACAGGAGGCGGAGCTCAGGTGGTAATGTGAACAATGAGGAGCGGCTGTAAATACAGATGAAGCTTCATTCATAGCTGCTCACCTCCTGCTGTGCAGCCAGGTTCCTAACAGACCACAACCAGTACCGGTCTGTGGCCCAGGGATTGGGGACCTCTGAGGTAGATTGTTATTAATTCCTCCCAAGTTATTGGTTTGTTTGTTTGCCACAAGGTTTCACTCTGTCCCCCAAGCTGGTGTGCAGTGGCATGATCATAGCTCACTGCAGCCTTGAGTGCCTGGGCTCAAGGAATCTTCCACCCTCAACCTCCTGAGTAGCTGAGACCACCATGCCCAAGTAATTTTTTAAATTATTGTGTAGAGATGGAGTTCTTACTATGTTGCCCAGGTTGGTCTCAATCTCCTGGCCTTAAGTGATCCTACCAGCTTGGCCTCCCAAGTGTTGGGATTACAGGCATGAGCCAATGCGCCCAGCCCCAACTTACTCTTTTTCAAAATTGTTTCAGCTGTCCTGGTAATATTCTCTATCTTTCTATGTAAATTTTAGAATAATGTTATCTATATCTACAGAATATCTTGCTGGGATTCTGATAGAAATTACATTAAACCTGTATATCAATTGGGGAGCATTGACATTTTTACTATGCTGAGTCTTCCAATTCAAGAACACAGTATGTCTCTCCATTTATTTATTTATTTCTAATGTCTTTCATCAGCATTATGGAGTTTTCAGCATACAGGTCCTATACACATTTTGTTAGCTTTCCACCTAATTATTTTATTTACTTATTTTTGGTGATTTTAAATGGTATTGCATTTTTAATTTTGCTGCCCATGAATGAGTTCATTGCTGGTATATGGAAATAATTTTTGTATAATTATATTTTGCAACCTTGCTGAACATATTAGTTCTAGGAGGTTTTTGTCTTTTTTTTTTTGGTAGATTCTTTGAGATTTTCTACATAGATAATCATGTCATCTGCATGTAGAAAAGGTTTTTTTCCTCTTTTTCTACCTATTTGTTAGTGGTTTATCACATTGGCTAAAATGTTCAGCACTATGTTGTAGTATGAGCTGACATCCTTACCCTGTTGCTGATCTTCGGGGAGAGCATTCAATTTTTCATCATTAAGGACCAACGTTAGCTGTAGGTTTTTTGTAGATGCTCTTTATCAAATTGTGGAAGTCCTCCTCTCTTATTTTTTGAGAGCTTTTTACCATTAATGAACGTTTAATTTAGTCAAATGCTTTTCTATACTAATATATGATTTTTCATCTTTAGCCTGTTTTTTTGTTTGTTTGTTTGTTAGTTTTTTTCCTTGAGACAGAGTCTTGCTCTCTTGCCCAGGCTGGAGTGCAATGGCACCATCTCTGCTCACTGCAACCTCCGCCTCCCAGGTTCGAGCGATTCTCCTGCCTCAGCCTCCTAAGTAGCTGGGATTACAGGTGCCTGCCACCACACCCGGCTAATTTTTGTATTTTTAGTAGAGACAGGGTTTCACCATGTTAGCCAGGCTGGTCTTGAACTCCTGACCTCAGGTGATCCACCCACCTCGGCCTCCCAAAATGCTGGGATTACAGGTGTGAGCCACTGCGCTGCACCTGGCCAGTTTTCTTGTCTTTCTTTTTGTGCTACCTTTATCTGGTTTTAGTATCAGGGTACTGATTTTATAGAATGAATTGAACAGAATTCACTCCTATTTTCTGAAAACAATTTTGTAGAATTAGTATTATTTTTTTAAATGTTTGGTATAATTCTTCAACAAAAACATCTGAGTCTGGAGTTTTAAAATTATAACAATAATAATTTTTTTAAATAAAATGAGATGGGGGCTCTCGTGATGTTGCCCAGGCTGATCTCAAACTCCTAGGCTCGAGTGAACCTGCTGCCTTGGCTTCCCAAAGATATTTCTTTTTTGGGAGTTTTAAAATTTAAAATCTAATTTCCTTAATTGTTACAAGACTACTCAAATGAACTATTTCATGTTAAATGAATTGTAACAGTTTGTGTCTTTGGGGGAAGTAGTTATTTCATCTAAGTTGTCAACTTTACAATAATAATAAACATTACCTTATTATTATTATTATTGATGTCTTCAGGTTTTATAGCAATATTCCTTATTTCACTTCTGATGTAGGTATTTGTGTCTTCTCTGACATTTTTACTCTGTCAGTCTTGCTGGAGGTTTGTCAATTTTATTGATCTGTTCAAAAAAACCAAATCTTTGTTCCACTAATTCTCTCTCTCTCCCTCTCTCTCTCTTTCTCTCTCTCTCATTTTAGATTTCATTGATTTCTGCTCTTATCTTTATTATTCCCTTACTTCTGCTGGTTTTGAATTTATTTTGCTGTTTTTTTCTAGGTCTTTAAGGTGTCAGTCTATCAAGTTTAGATGATATAGAGTTCAGATGACAGATATAAGACTTTTCCTCTTTTCTAAGGTGAAATAAATGTCCATATTAGTGCTGCTTTAGGTGTATTCCACAAATTTTGATATGTTTTACTTTCGCTGTCATTCAGTTCAATGTATCTTTTAAAAAATTCCCTTGAAACGTTCTCTTTATCCATGGATCATTCAGAAGCGTACTGTTTAATTTCTAAGTATTTGGATAATTTCCTGTTCTCTTTGTGTTACTGATTTCTAGTTTGATTCCATTGTAGCCAGAAAAAAACACTCTGTAAGATTTCAATTCTTTTAAACTTGTTGAAGTTTGTTTTATGGCCAGGACATGGTCTATCTTGGTATATGTTCATGAGCACTTGAAAACAAGGTGTGGGCCCGGTGTGGTGGCTCACGCCTGTAATCCCAGCACTTTGGGAGGCTGAGGCGGGTGGATCACTTGAGGCCAGGAGTTTGAGACCAGCCTGGACAGTACGGTGAAACCCCATCTCTACTAAAAATACAAAAATTAGCCAGATGCGCTTGCTTGGACCCAGGAGGCGGAGGTTGCAGTGAGCCAAGATTGTGCCACTGCACTCCAGCATGGGCGACAGAGCAAGACTCTGTCTCAAAAAAGAAAAAAAAGAAAACACGGTATGTTCTGCTGTTCTGAGGTAGAGTGTTCTAAAAATATCAGTTAGATCCTGTTGGCTGATGCTGTGGTTAAGTTCTGCATCTTTTCTGATTTTATATCTAGTTGTACTATCAATAGCTGGAAAGAGGTGTTGCTATCTCCAACTATAAGTGTGGATTTGTCCATTTCTCCTTTCACTTCTATCAGTTTTTGTTTTGCATATTTTGTAGTTCTCTTGCTTGGTGCATGTGTATTAAGGATTTCTTTTCTTTTCTTCTTCTTTTTTTTTTTTTTTTTTTTTTTGATATGGAATCTTGCTCTGTCGCCTAGGTTGGAGTGCAGTGGTGCGATCTCGGCTCACTGCAATCTCCGCTTCCCGGGTTGAAGTGATTCTTCTGCCTCAACCTCCTGAGTAGCGGGGACTACAGGGGTGTGCCACCACACCTGGCTAATTTTTGTATTTTTTGTAGAGATGGGGTTTCACCATATTGGCCAGGCCAGTCTCGAAATCCTGATCTTGTGATCTGCCTGCCTCGCCCTGCCAAAGTGCTGGGATTACAGGCGTGAGCCACCATGCCCGGCCCTGTATTAAGGATTTCTATATCTTCTTGATAGATTGACACTTTTACTATTATATACCGTCCCTCTCTGTCTCTGGTAGTTTTCTTTGCTCTAGAGTCTACTGTGATGGTTAATTTTGTGTTAAGGGATACCAAGATAGGTGGAAAAGCATTATTTCTTTCTTTTCTTTTCTTTCTTCTTTTTATTTTTATTTTTTGCTAATTTATTTTTTTTGAGACAGAGTCTCGCTCCGTTTCTCAGGCTGGAGTGCAGTGGCGCGATCTCGGCTCACTGCAAGCTCCGCCTCCCAGGTTCACGCCAATCTCTCGCCTCAGCCTCCTGAGTAGCTGGGACTACAGGCACCCGCCATCACGCCCGGCTAATTTTTTATTTTATTTTATTTTATTTTTTGTATTTTCAGTAGAGACGGGGTTTCACCGTGTTAGACAAGATGGTCTCGATCTCCTGACCTCATGATCCACCCGCCTCGGCCTCCCAAAGTGCTGGGATTACAGGCGTGAGCCACCGCGCCCGGCCTCTTTTCTTTTCTTTTTAGATGGAGTCTCGCTCTGTTGCCCAGGCTGGAGTGCAGTGGCGTGATCTCGGCTCATTGCAAACTCTGCCTCCGGGTTCAAGGGATTCTCCCACCTCGGCCTCTGGGTAGCTGAAATTACAGGCGTGTGCCACCAAGCCCGGCTAATTTTTATAATTTTAGTAGAGACAGGGTTTCACCATGTTGGCCAGGCTGGTCTTGAATCCTGGCCTCAGGTGATCGCCCGCCTCGGCCTCCCAAAGTGCTGGGATTATAGGCATGAACCACTGTGCCTGGCCTCAGCCATTATTTCTTTGAGTACTTTTTTTAGCCTTGTCTTCCTTCTTCTCTCTTTCAGGGACTCTGATGGCACAAATACTAAATCTTTTGTTACAGTCCTACAGGTCCTGTATTTTTCAGTGTATTTTCTCTCTGTTGTTCAAATTGGGCAATTTCTATTGCTCTCTCTTCCAGTTCACTGACTCTTTCCTGTTCCCCAATTCTACTATTCAGCCCACCCACTGAGGTTTTTATTTCAGTTATTGTGTTTTTCAGTTCGAAAATTCCCACTGGATCTCTTTATACCTTCTGTTTCTTTGCTGAGACTTTCTATGTTTTATTTTTTACTTGTTTCAAGCATGTTCGCAGTTGGTCCTTGAAGCATTTTATGATGGCCACTTTAAAATCTTTGTCAGATAATTCCAACATCTCTGTCATCTCAGTGTTGAAATCTATTGATTGCCTTTTTTTCATTCAGTATGAGATTTTTCTGATTCTTGGGATGAGTGCTTTTTGCAAACCTGGATATTTTCATATTATGTTATGAGACTTTGGAGTTTGTTTAAGCCTCCTGTTTTAGCTGGCTTTCTCTGATTACTGCTCCAGCAGGGGTAGGGGAACACCACCTAGTTACAGTTAGGTGGAGATAGAAGTCCACGTTCTCCACTTGGCCTCTGTTTATATCTTGCAGGAGGCTGCCCACTCATTACTATTGGGCAGGGATGGAAGTTCCAGCATCCTCATGTTCTCCACTGATACCACTGTGGAGGTGGCTTCATTACTACTGGGCAATAGTGAAAGACTTGACTCTTCACCTCTGACACCACCCCAGAAGGTAGGGAGAGAGACACTTCATTACTACCAGGTCAGGTACATGTCCAGGCTTCCCATGTGGTCTACACTGACACGGCAGCAGGAGAGTCTCAATTTTGGCTAGTGGGAAAGTTAAGGTGACTTGTTATAGACTGACGAGGGCAGAAATCTAGAGTCCTGGACTGGGCGCAGTGGCTCACACCTGTAATCCCAACACTTTAGGAGGCTGAGGTGGGAGGATTGCTTGAGCCCAGGAGTTTGAGACCAGCCTGGCCAACATAGCAAAACCCCATCTCTACAAAAAAAAAAAAAAAATTAGCCAGGTGTAGTGGTGTAAGACTGTATTCCCAGCTATTCGGGAGGCTGAGGTGGGAGGATCACCTGAGCCCAGGAAGGTCGAGGCTGCAGTGAGCTGAGATCATGCCATTGCATTCCAGCCTGGGTGACAGAGCAAGACCCTGTCTCAAAAGAAATCTAGAGTCTCCACTAAGCCTTCGCTGGTATGGGTGGAGGTGAGACCAATTTTTGTTATGTTTTGTTTTGTTTTTGTGATTTTTGGCTGGAGCTGAGTGGTTATTGTCTAAGCATTTTGTCTAGCCAGGATGTCCCTTTCTTGGTCCTTTGGCTGGAGAGAGCAGGCTTTTCTCATTTGGTGGTGTTTCTTGCTCTGTGCCCACTGACATTTCTGGGTTGCTGGCCTTTTCAGCTCCAAGTATGCCATGTATGAGGCAAAAGGAAAACCCAGGAAAGTCATCACTGTGTTGTTGCTTGAGTCCCACGTTCCCTAGTCTGTCTGCCTTCTTCTCTCCATCTTTCAGAGTCTTCTTGTGTTTGTTTTGGATATAACTTCCAGGGCTTTTAGTTGTACTTACTGGGAGGAATAGGAAAAAGTAGGCCTACTCCATCATCCCAGAAGCAGAAGAACCAACTCACTTAAAAAAATAAAGAAATAAGCACCAGCTCTGCTCTGCCCTTGAACTAGGCAATAAGCAATAATATCCATTAAATCACAGGTCCGATGGTGCTAGTTTGTGTGTGTGTGTGTGTGTGTGTGTGTGTGTGTGTGTGTATGTATATGTATAAATAGTTTTGTTGAAGTATACGACATGCAGTAAACTTCACGTATTTAAAATGTACAATCTGATGAATTTTGACATAGTTATACACACAGGAAACTAAGAACACAATCAAGTTAGTGCATATATCTATCATTTTATAGTATTTTTCTTCCTTACAATCCTTCTTTGTCATTTCCCTGCCCCGTCAGTCCCCAGGCAACCATTGATTTACCTTCAATCACTATCTATTAGCTTACATGTCTATTTATTTATTACATATAGGGTCTCATTCTGTCACCCAGGCTGGAATGCAGAGGCGTGATCGTGGTTCACTGCAGCCTCAACTTCCTGGGCTCAAGCAGTCCTCCTGCCTCAGCCTCCCAAGTAGCTAGGGTTATTGGCACGTGCCACCACACCTGGCTAATTAAAAAAATTTTTTTTATTTTTTGTAGAGACAGTGTCTCACTATGTTGCCCAGGCTGGTCTCAAACTCCTGGGCTCAAACCACCCTCCTGCCTCAGCCTCCCAAAGTGCTGAGATTACAGGTGTGAGCCATTGTGCCTGGCCAGCTTGCATTTTAAAATAATTTAATAGATGTATACATACATTGGAATATGGCTCAGCAATAAGAGGAACGAACTACTGCAACAACATAGATGAATCTCAAAATAATTACACTGAGTAAGAGTGAAGGAAGCCAGACAAGTACATTCTGTATGATTCCATACACACACGTGTGCACACACACACAGAGACACACACACATATGCATACACACAATGCATATGATATGTATCACAATACAGCATATACAATATATACATCCATCACATATCAAAATCTGAAACTGTTTCATTCATGTGTTACCTGGAATCGAGTATTTGCAATCTATTACTATGAACAATCTTCCCAAGGTCCAGTTTCCAAATCTGACCTTAGAAGTTGCACCCTGTAGGTGTTCATGCCACCCTTGGGTGTGGGCAGGGCCGGGGGTTGTGGACACTGTGGAAGACCAAGAATTGATTAAGTGGAGACTGAAGGGTGTGTCTCAGCTGCAACCTGATGTTCCTCTGGTTGTGAGGCCATTGGCAAGTGCTTCTCCTTCCTGGAACCTCAGGGCCCCCAGTCATGAGTGGGGCTGGGTATGGTGGCTCACACCTGTAATCCCAGTACTTTGGGAGGCTGAGGCTGGAGGATCACTTGAGGCCAGGAGTTTGAGAACAGCCTGGGAAACAGAACGAGATCCTCATCTCTAAAAAAAAAATTGTTAAATATTAGCCAGGTGTGGTGGTGCATGCCTGTAGTTCTAGATACTCAGGAGGCTGAGGCAGGAGGATCACTTGAGCCCAGGAGTTGGGGGCTGCAGTGAGCTATGACAGTGACACTGCACTCTGTCTGGGTGACAGAGCAAGACCCTGTCTCAAAAAAATAAATTAAATCCTTGATGGGACCCAGGGCTGCACTGAAATTTATAGATGACGGTCTCCGCTCCACCCCCCGGCACTGCCTAGGAGAGGTTAAATGAGGATGGTGTGACTGGGCACACCCCTCTAGCTCATGGCCAGGGGCCTCAGCCTGTTTCAGTCCAGCATTGATGCTGGGCCTGAGGCCAGGAGGGGCTGGGGGCAGCACGCTGGTCCCAGCTGTGTTTGCTTTATTAGATCCTTTGGGCCCGAGCCTGCAGAGCCGAAAGGCCGCCGTCACTGTCGTGGGGGGTTGGCAGTCCATTCAGCCCCAAACGACCCTCACCAGGGCCCCTCAGCCCCACCCGGCCGATGGATTTTATTGTCTTACATTTTCATTCCTCGGCCACACTCTTTCTAGGTGGGAAGACTGGCTTTACTCCTCACCTGAGCATTATTGGGGCTTTTGGTGGCTCTGGGTGCTGGCTTTTGCCCCAATTTGTCTGGGAGGAAATGGGCTTGAGCAGCCACAAAGGAGAGAGATGGAGAGATGGCAGGACCAAGCTGGATGCTCTCCTGGGCGGTATCTGGTGAAGCCTGGGGTTGTGATGGCAGCCTTCCCTCGTCCGGGAGGGAACACCAAGGCCCTGGTAATCATGACCTCCAGTCAGAATGTGATGCTGAGGGAAACTGAGGCAATTGAGTAAGGGGCAGTGAATGAGGTGGACTCAGTTCTGCACTTCTGTTTCCCCCTGGAAATGGGGGTGGGTGAACCTCACACGGCCTGCCCAAGAGGCTGTGCTGTAAAGGACGAGAAGATTCCAGGCAGAGAAGGGTGGTGCTAAAGTACATACGTTCTAGAGCCAAACCACACTGTCCGAGCCCTGGTTCCACACTTGGGCAACTCACCTCACCTCTCTGTGCCTCAGCTTTGCCATCTGTATTGTGGGGCTCCGACATGTGGGGATGTGATTGCACCTCCTTTACCCACCCACCCACCCACCCACCATGGGCTGTTTTGGGGGTGGTGTGGGGCAGTGTTCTGTGAGGGGTTACATGCTGGACTCTGATTACCTCCTGGGCACAGATGGTAGCCCACGCCTCAGGGCCTAACCCAGGCATCTACTGGGAGAGGGTGGGAAGGAGGAGGCGTCCCTGGCAATCTACACTGAGAATGGAGGCAGGGAAGGGTCTGGGGCCAATCCCAGCTCCACCTTGGGTCCTTTCACCATTGAGAGCCTCAATTTCCTCCTCTAGAAATGAGAACACTAAGAGTTCAGTGAAATAAGACCTGTGGAAGCAACCACCTGGTTCATGGAATGGAGGGAGGCCTGTCGTCACAAGTACTGAGGGGTTTTATTTTTGCTTTGTTTTTGTTTTTGTTTTTGTTTTGAGATGGAGTCTCGCTCTGTCACCAGGCTGGAGTGCAGTGGTGCGATCTTGGCTCACTGCAACCTCCGCCTCCTGGGTTCAAGCAATTCTCCTGCCTCAGCCTCCCGAGTAGCTGGGACTACAGGCACACACCACCATGCCCAGCTAATTTCTATATGCTTTTGTTTTTTGAGATAGGGTCTCACTGTGTTGCCCAGGCTTGATTGCAGTGGTACGATCATGGCTCACTGCAACCTCGAATTCCTGGGCTCCAGCGATCCTCCTGCCTCAGCCTTCTGAGTAGCTGGGACTACAGATGTGCGCCACCATGCCTGCTTGACTAATTTTCATATTTTTTGTAGAAACAGGGTTCTATGTTGCCCAGGCTGGCCTCAAGCAGTCCTCCAGCCTTAGCCTCCCAAAGTGCTGGGATTACAGGTGTGAACCACTACACCCAGCCAACCACTGTTTTAATCATCTTCTCTGGGCCTTAGCCCCGCAAACCTGAAGTTTTCACCCAGGAAAGGCAAAGCCCTTCTGTGGCGTGACTTTTCCATGCCCTTGACCTCCAACCATGTTTATACCGTACACGAAAGTTTTCAGGGAATTTTTGCCCACGCTATAAAATCATTTCCCAGGCCCGGCCATTCTAGCTACTCTGTGATTTTTGCCAGATTCAAGCATCTCCTCTACTATTATTTGCTCAAGACCTTTCTTTAAATCACCTCACATTTTTCTATTTGCCTCAAGAACAAACTGTATAAATAAAATACCTTGAAAATAAGACAAGCACATTCAACCGGGGCTGGCAAACAATGCCTGCCTGGAAAGCTGTAAGGCTTTTGTTAAAAGGCGTTCAGCACATGTCAGAGAGAGGACAAACCCATGCTACCACCTGTCTGAGGCGTTCCCCTTGACAATAGTCAGAGAAGGAAAAGAAACACGAATAGGGAATTGCTTTCTCATAGTTCAGCCCAGTGTTGGTTAAGGCCATTTAGTGGAGTGTGGCTCAAATCACTGTATATATCACCATGGTGTGCTCCACACCTGGGGAGTCACCTTACTAGCCTATTGAACCTCACGGAAACAATCTTCATTTCACAGGTAGAGAAACTGAGGCCCAGGAAGTAGAAGAATCTGTCCAAGATGATGCAGTCATGCCAGGACTTGAACTAGTGACTCTGGAGACTCTGTTGCTTGGGGCCTTGGCATAACCTAGAAGGATGGGGGTCCCTGTTCATGTCAGCCTTCTATGGGGCCTCTCGCAAGGTCCTTGCTCCCCCCACACTCCCCAGGTCTACTCTTGGGGAAAAGGGTAAGCTCCACAGAGCCAGGTGCCAGGCCCAGGGAAGAGGAAGACACCTGGAGTCCCCTGAATCCTGGGCAATGTCACCACAGCCATCAGACTGGTGAATTCTTTTTTTTTTTTTTTTTAAGACGGATTCTCACCCTGTCACCCAGGCTGGAGTGCAGTGGTGCGATCTCGGCTCACTGCAGCCTCTGCCTCTTGGGTTCAAATGATTCTCCTGCCTCAGCCTCCAGAGTGTCTGGGACTACAGGCGCCCGCCACCGTGCCTGGCTAGTTTTTGTATTTTTAGTAGTGATGGGGTTTCACCATGTTGGGCAAGCTGGTCTCAAACTCCTGACCTCATGTGATCCGCCCGCATTGGCCACCCAAAGTGTTGAGATTACAGGCGTGAGCCACGACGCCTGGCTATGAATTCTTTTCAAATGACATTGGTGAGAGGCTGGTGTCTTCGAGAGCTACACGGGAGCACTGAGAGCTGGCCCCTCTGTCCAGTTAAGATGAGGCCTTGGCCAGGTGCTGTGGCTCATGCCTGTAATCCCAGCACTTTGGGAGATTGAGGTGGGAGGATTGCTTGAGCACAGGAGTTCAAGACCAGACTGGACAACAAAGCGAAACCCTGTCTCTACAAAAAATAATAATAATAAAAATTAGTTGGGCACGGTGGCGCATGCCTGTGGTACCAGCTACTCAGGAGGCTGTGGTGGGAGGATCACTTGAGCCCGGGAGGTCGAGGCTGCAGTGAGCCATGACTGTGTCACTGCACTTCAGCCTGGGTGACAGAGTGAGAACTTATCTCAAAAAAAAAAAAAAAAAAAAAAAAAAGAAGAGATGAGGCCTCTTCCTGTCTCCCTCCCCGACTCGACAGTGACACAAACCAGCCTCCCCAGGAACCTTCACATCAAAGTGGACTGACCAGGAGGGGCGTGGAGAGGAAGGAGACAGGGGCCCCCTAGCTCCTTTAGCTTCCTCCTGAGGAGGCTGGGCGAGGGGCGATTTCTGATGGGCTCAGAGAGCAGCTCACAGGAAGGAGGCTTGGGACATCATTCCAGCCCCACCTCCCCGCACAGGGTTCTCCCTGGACTGCCTTCCTGAGCACATGCGTGAGATGCTAATAGCAGGTCTGACAAGCTGCTCCCTGGACAGGCAGCAGCGAAGGGAGGCCAAGTGCTTGGGCCAGCCTCCTCTCCCTCCCTGATTCATTGATCCACTCAGCAAACATCTGAGCACCTACTCTGTGCCAGGCACTGGGCACTGGGGACACAGTGTTCCACAGGAAGAGTCCATGGCCTTGAGGAGTTCACGGTGTAGTGCAAGTGACCAGCAAGTGCAACTGTGAGAAGGGCAGAGGGAGTGGAAACAGCTATAGGGTGCTAGAAGAGATACGGGGGCCAGGCACAGTGGCTCATGCCAACACTTTGGGAGGTCAAGGTGGGAAGATCACTTGAGGCTGTGAGTTCGAGACCAGCCTGGGCAACATAATGAGACCCAGTCTGTACAAGGAAATATAAAAAAACTAACCAGGCATGGTGGCATGTGCTTGTAGCCCCAGCTACTTGGTAGGCTGAGGCAGGAAAATCACTTGAGCCCAGGAAGTCAAGGCTGCAGTGAATCAAGATCATGCTACTGCACTCCACCCTGGGCAACAGAGAGAGACCCTATCTCTAAACACAAAAAACAAAAGACAGAGATACAGGGAGACCTGATTTGTCTGGGAAGGCTTCCTAAGGAAGGGACCCTTAAGGTGAAAGTGAAAGGATTAGTTAACTTGGTGAAGAAGAGAGGGAGAGTGTTCTGGGTAGAGGGAACTGCACGTGTAAAGGCCCCTTGGCAGAAGAGACCCTGGCCTGGAGATGGGCTTGGGAGGAGGCCAGGGTGGCTGAGTGCAGTGAGGAGGGGAAGTGCGTGCTTGGAGAGGCCAGACACAGGGTCTTGAAGGCCAGTCCCAGGGTTCCAGCTCTATCTTAAGAGTAACAGGGAGCCAGTCAAGGGTTTTACACGAAGCAGGAGATAAGATCCAATTGACTTTTTTTTTTTTTTTTTAAATGGAGTATCACTCTGTCGCCCAGGCTGGAGTGCCGTGGCGCGACCTTGGGTCACTGCAACCTCTGCCTCCTGGGTTCAAGCAATTCTGCCTCAGCCTCCTGAGTAGCTGGGATTATAGGCGCATGCCACCATGCCTGGCTAATTTGTGTATTTTTTTAGTAGAGATGGGGTTTCACCATGTCGGCCAGGGTGGTCTTGAGCTCCTGACCTCAAGTGATCCACCTGCCTCAGCCTCCCAAAGTGCTGGGATTATAGGCATGAGCCACCGCGCCCGGCCCCAGTTTATATTTTGAGAAAGAATCCCTCTGGCTGTCCTTAGAGAGCATATGGAGGGGGCCTAGTGGAACTGGGGGAGCAAGACAGGAAGCAAGAGCAAGTCTCGAAGGAGAGAGGTGGTGAGTAGTGAGAGGGTTGGTGGCTCTGAAGAGGTCTGAGAGATCTTCAGAATGGCAAGTGTCCCTGACTCCTTGGTGATTGGCTACTGGAAGCCAGGACACTCAAGGATAAGAAGGAAGAAAAACAATGACCCTGAGACGAACACTATGGTCTCAGTGCCTCCACAGATATAGACAGAAAACCAAGCCCACGTTGGATGCTTTTTTCCAAAACTGATTTTTCACTCACTCCCTCTTCTTTCGCAGGAAAAGGTGAATTTTACCAACAGTCTCCGACATACCCCTGGAGAAACACACTGTCATTTATTTAACCAGTACCTGACTGCGGCCATTTAGCTGTCTCTATTTTTGCTTTTGTAAACAATGCCACAATGAGCACTCGTGTGGCTAAATATTTGCGCCTGCACTTACAGATGATGTGTGCTTACAGACTTCCTTAGGAGAGATTTCTCAAAGTGAACTGTTTCAGCTGCATTTTGCCAGCCTGCCCTGTTCCCATCTGAGGGTGGGCATCGATGGAGGAAATCTTCTGATGCCCATAAGGTCAAAGCTGTCTTACCTTTAATATTCAGTACCTGAAAAAAAAAAAAACCCTTCCAAGACCAATATGTTGACCAAAGGCTACTAGGAATTCCCCAGATGATTCAAATTAATTTGTTCCTCCTCTGCTATGAGGACTCCAAACTTCCACTTGACAAGAGTCACAATTGTTTGGGTGAAACATTATTTGCTCAGTCCACAGATGAGACTTGCTGAACATATGGGTTTGGGGACCCCCCTGCCATACCCTTAAGTCCCCTCCCCAGGGTCTGAGACTTAGCGATGCGTGGAGAAGTCATTCCCCACAAACTTGCGCATCCCCTGAAGGGCATCTGCACTGAGCAGCTGGGAGGACCTGGGTAAGGTGAAGACGGAAGGTGTGGGGATTAGGTCAACCCTCTGCAGGGACAGTCCATGGCCTAAAGGTATAGGCATTACCCTGGGGATGCACCTTGCGGCCATTTCCTGAAGCAGCATTGTCCTGTGGCAGCAAGACTGGCCACATCATTTTTGGGGCCCAGTACAAAAAGAATATGTGCCCTGCCGACAAATTATTAATAAATTGCCGAGGGGTGACAATAGAGCATTAAACCAAGCCCTGGGCCCTCGGAAGTGTAGGGCCCAAAGTGACAGCACAGGCTGCCCGCACAACCGTGAAGCTGGCCTTCTTGGCAAGTCTCTTCCTCCCAGAAAAGAGGTCTTGCAGGCGTGGAGCAGCAGAGAGGAGGTAAGCGTGGGAGGCCAGCTCGGGGAGCAGCCCAGCCCAGCCATGGCTCACTGCCGGGTAGCCGGAGAGCCTCTGGGGCCTCCTTGAGGCTGCCTGTCAGGCTGATGGAGTGGATAGATGCGGTAGAAGCAGATGGGGCCGGTGACCTGGCAGACAGGTGCGCGCATAACACCTCTGCAGCCACAAAGCCGTGCAAGCCCAGCATGTGGGAGGGACTGGCGTGGCAAGGATTTGCTGCCTGCGGAGCGGGAGAAGAAAGCTGAGATTAACAACAGTGAGAGCAACAGAAGCTCTTCCTGCACACTCATGGGTGCCAGGTGCTGTGCTTGGCCTGAAGAGCCATCCCTTGAGACTGGAGCCACTGTTACCCCCACTGAGGCCCAGAGGGGAGAAGTGGCAGCATCTAGAAATCCTGAGTCCTCTTCTCTGTTCTTCCTTGTCCACCTCCAGCCCTGTCCTGCAAGGGACCAATGCCTGGAGTGGATGGGGAACTGGCCACCAGTGGCAAGGGAGAAACCCAGGAGTCCCACCTCCCAGAATGGGGCTTTGCCTCGATGTTGGGGGACCTGTTGCCCCAGTCCCTTGTTGAGCCTCCACCTTCTCCTCCCTTTACGAAGCCTGTCCCTTGGGACTGAGGGCAGAGGGGTGTGTGTGTGTGTGTGTGTGTATGTGTGTGTGTGTCCTGGATGCATAGGAGCTTCCCCTCCTTCCTCAAGGGAGTCAGCCCCCCCACTGCCAGGACCCACAGCCAAGGCCAGCTCCATGGCCAGACCCCAGATGTTCCTTCCTGGCGCCTCTGTTACTGTTTTTGAATCAGCCGTGCGGTAGCCCCTCCACCCTATCTGGGTTTGATCGTCCATAAAAAAATTAATGGTCCCTGCAAATAAAGAAGCACAACAACAGAGGAAGGCTTTTTAGACAATCAATTAAAAGCCTAGGAGAGGGATTATCTCATTGAAATATCAATTTTTAATAGCACTGCATCTTTGAATTTCCTCTCAAAAAACTTTGCACAGTGCATTTGCCTGACTTGGTTTCTCTCTCCAGCTCTTGCTGCCTTCGAGTGCCCAGAGCAGGGGCCTGAGAGGAAGCATGGGAGGTTATCCAACCATCCATTCATCCATCCATCCATCCATCCATCCATCCAATGCTTAATGAGCTCCAGCTATGTGGCAGGCATAGGTGGTGGGGGCACCAAGGTGAGCAAAAAGGAGGAACTCGCCGGCCGGCAAGGTCACGGGAGGGCAGCACCAGCCAGGTGAAAACATTGGCAATGAGGAAAGTGAAGCCATCTGGAAAAATCAATGTCAAGGGACTGAAATGCAGGTTAATAGGGGCACAGGAGAGGGTGTATCCTTTTAGCTAGAGGAGTCAGGGAAGCCCTTACCACTTCCTTGCCCTTGGGAAATGACCTTTAACTTTTTTTTTTTTTTTTTTTGAGACAGAGTCTCACTCCGCACCCAGGCTGGAATGCAGTGGCACGATCTCCGCTCACTGCAGCCTCCACCTCCCAGATCAAGTGATTCTCCTGCCTAGTAGCTAGGTTTACAGGTGTGCATCACCATGCTCGGCTAATTTTTGTATTTTTAGTAGAGATGGGGTTTTGCCATGTTGGCCAGGCTGGTCTCGAACTGCTGACCTCAAGTGATCCACCGCCTCGGCCTCCCAAAGTGCTGGGATTACAGGTGTGAGCCACTGCACTCGGCCTGGAAGTGACCTTTAAAATGAGACTGGAAGGATATGAAGGAGGGAAAGGTGGTTCTAGGCAGGAGGAACAGCCCGGCTGGAGGCCCCGAGGCAGGAGTGGGATTGGGGTGTTGGAGGAGTGGAAAGGAGGCCAGTGGACTGGCATATAGTCAGGGAGGGGGTGCTGTGGGGAGATGAAGCTGTGAAAAGAGACACCATCCAGACCTCAGGGCCCCGGGAGGCCCAGGAAGAGGTGTGTGTTATATTTAGGGTGTGCCATGGGCAGCAGATGCAGTGGGGTTACTAGCCCTGGTTCGAGCCCTGCCTCTTAGTTGCTCTGAGACCCTGGGAAGCTGCTGAAGATCTCAACCTCGGTTTTCTCACCTGTAAGATAATTAATTATTATCCCCTTACAGGGGATAATTGTCATCACTTTACCGGGCTGTCAGGAGCATCAAAAGAAATAACGAAGTCAGCCTGTTTAGCCTGGCACCTCTTTTTTCTCTCTGCCCCTACCTTTCTTAGATTGGCAGCTTCTTCAGTTTACACTTCAGGGATTGGGGGACCAGATAAGCTTCATCTGATAAAGGATTTCTACCAGACTGATTCCTACAGGATTTTGTTATACACCTGAGTCCAGTTTATCAGCCATCAGGGTGGGGATGGTGGGGACGGTGGTGGTCCAGGGACAGACAAAGGTGTCACTGCTCTCTAAGCATCGCCACTTCCCATCCCCATCCTATCCTGGAATTGAGATAGCTCAGCATTAAGATGCCTAGGCGGGCCAGTAGCGGTGGCTCATGCCTGTAATCCCAGCACTTTGGGAGGCCGAAGCGGGTGGATCACGAGGTCAGGAGTTCAAGACAAGCCTGGCCAACATGGTGAAACCCCGTCTCTACTAAAAATACAAAAATTAGCTGGGCGTGGTGGTGCATGCCTGTAGTCCCAGCTACTTGGGAGGCTGAGGCAGGAGAATTGCTTGAATCTGGGAGGCGGAGGTTGCAGTGAACCAAGATCACACCATTGCACTCCAGCCTGGGTGACAGAGCGAGACTCTGTCTCAAAAAAAAAAAAAAAAGACACCTGGGCGACTGATCGGGTGGAGGTTTCTGAGAGGGGACTGAGGGCAGGGGGAGACACTTGTGGCTGGGTAGGGCAGGCCGTGCAGGCAGAGGCAGATCCTGGACAAGGATCCTGCCCCAGTGTAGACAAGTGTGCTTTTTTTGCCTGAACAACTGGTCTCCCACACAGACCTGACAGGTGCCCTGGGACAAAGGTGGACACACAACAATACTGCTGGTGCTGGACCCTGTGTGAGGGGCGTGACAAAGGTCCTTTCTAAGCCCCACAGCACATCCCGTGTTACACAGGTGGAAACTGAGGCTCTGAGATGTTGTGCGGCTTGCATGGTTAGGGGTGGAGGCAAATCCACATCTGTCTGGTTACGCTCTCTGAATTTATGATAATGAAGGGGTCATTATTTCCTTAACTACGAAAAAAAATAAAAAGAATGGGTGGGGGATAAAGGAGTGATGGATTATGGCCCAATTAAGAGGATCTGGGGATTCTCAGGACACAGATGCTGGGTACCCTGGGACAAGCCACTTTGCTCTCTGGACCTCAGTTTACTCATCTAGGTAATGAGATTCACAACTGCAACCCTTCTAAGTTAGGGGATCAGGTGAGGCTCTGGGTGAGAAAGGGCTTTGCACAATGATCTGAAGGGAGAGGGTTTGGTGACAGCTGTCAGCTCATCGCTGGCTCAGTGCTGTAGCTGCAAATGCCCAGCCTTTGGAGCTACCTTGGTTCGAATCCTGATCCTGCCACTTCCTGGCTGGGTCCTTCCCTCCTTGGGCCTCAGTTTTCTCATTTGCCATTTTTCACCTCCCAGGGGGTTATGAAGGTAAAAATTAAACAGCAAAATAGAGAAGGAGCATGAGCCCCGAATGACACTCTCCTTCCTTTCCTGGGGACACACTCAGGTTCCTGCAGGCAGGATTCCTGCCCTCAGAGCTCGGAGCTCAGGGTCCAGGGGTGGGCTGATGGAGCATGGTCCCAAATCCCTGTGTTCTCTGGCATGCAGTCAGACCAGGTCATTGGTGCCCAGGTCGCAAGGCAGGTGCAGTGGCATTGCTGGGGAAGGCAGTTGGGGAGGAGGAGAGGCCATAGCAAGGGGCCCATCTGGACTTTTCCCTAG
The DNA here is from genome assembly GCF_000001405.40 of Homo sapiens. Taxonomy (NCBI): domain Eukaryota; kingdom Metazoa; phylum Chordata; class Mammalia; order Primates; family Hominidae; genus Homo; species Homo sapiens. Next base: position 57,507,357 of record NC_000016.10, read on the forward strand.
AGTAACAGGGAGCTGAGCCCACTTGGAGAATGTGCTCAAGGGTGAGAGTCTGGGGCACCCCAGGAGCCAGGATGTGGCCAGCCCTGCTAGGCCTTCAGCAGGGGAGGGGAAGGCCAGGCTGCTCCTCTCTGACGTAGGGGAAGCCTGGGAAATGGGAAAGCCTCGGAGGAAGGCTTCACGCTTCCACCTTTTCAGGCCCCCTCCCTGGGATGGGGAGGGAGTCTGAGCACTCTGGAGACCACCCCCAGTGCAGCTGGGTCTGTGGGGCTTGAGGAAGACTGGGAGGCTTTCCAGGGGGGCCCTTCTCCATTGGGAGGCGCCTGCCTGGGGCCTGGGAGGCAGATGGCATCTTGCAACCCTGCAATTAGTAAAGTAGGCAGGGGAGCCGGTGGGGGTGGGGGTGGGAGGCGGCCGGCTGAGAGCTGCAGCTGGCTTCTGGATGCTGCCGCTGCCTCCAGCCCCGCTCCGCTGGCCCAGAAGGGCTGCCTGGAGTGGCTGGAGGGCCCCAGGAAGACAAGGCAGTGGGGGCTTGGGAGGAAATACAGGGCAGCAGGGAGAGTCAGAGAGGGAATAGAATGGCACAGTCAATGTCAGTGAAGGCGGGTTTGGACAGCCCATTTGTTCCTGTCCCCATTTGACAGATAGGGAAACCAAAGCTGGGAGAGAGGCAGGAGCTCACTGGAAGACACATAGCCAATCAGAGAGCAGGCTGGGGCCAGAAGCCAGGTTTGTCTGGAGGGCTGGAGTGCAGAGGGCTCACTGCTGGACATGGATTTCTAGGCAGGAACCCCTAGGGGCTGCCTGGTAGAGTCAGGCTGGACAAAATGGCCTTGGCTGGAGAGGAAGGACAGGCCCAGGGCCCCCAGCCCTCCCACTATGGGAGAGGAGGGGCTGGGTGGTGGGGTAGTGTCTGGCTCAGCTGGTTCTCCAGCCCGTCTGGGCACTCCAGCCTGTGAGGAGAGGCACTGACACTGCTGCCCCTGGGCTGCTGTGGCTTTCGGTACCTGGGCTTGGGGGACTTCCACGTCCCCCTCCAGGAGGAAGACTTAGCTGGGCAGCAGCAAGACCCTCCTAGGACTGGCCTGGCAGTTATTGCAGTGGAGCTGGGGGTGGGGTGGGGTTCTGGTTTCAGCTTCTACCATCCCACCCATCCGTCCTTCCTCCACCCATCCTTCCACGCATCCATCAAGCTTTCCCTCCTGCCTCCCCTCTAACACTTAAAGATGCCCACTAGGCCCAAGGCATGTGCTGGTTGCTAGAGGATTCTCTGTCCTCCAGGAGCAGCCAGGGGGGCAGAAGCAGCAGACACATAAACAGCCCCTCTAACACGCTAAGAATGAGCCCAGTAGACCGAGTTCTGAAGGGCTGGTGGGACTTTGATGAGTGCAGGGCAGTACTCGGGGCAGTAAGGAGGTCGGCATGGCTGGAGCTGCAGCGTCTGCAGAGTAGAGTGTGGTGGTGAGGCAGAGGGCAGGGGCCACATGGGGCCTTGCTTTGGAGGGTGGGGTGGCGACCCATGATCAGGAGCGTGGGCCAGGTGCGGTGGCTCATGTCTGTAATCCCAGCACTTTGAGAGGCCAAGGCAGGTGGATCACTTGAGGTCAGGAGTTTGAGACCAGCCTGGCCAACATGGTGAAACCCCGTTTCTACTAAAAACAAACAAACAACAACAACAACAACAAAAAACAGCTGGGCGTGGTGGCACATGCTTGTAATCCCAGCTACAGGGAAGGCTGAGGCAGGAGAATCTCTTGAACCTGGGAGACAGAGGCTGCAGTGAGCCGGGATTGTGCCCCTGCACTCCAGCCTGGGTGACACAGACACACATTGTCTCAAAAATAATAATAATAAATAAAAACAATAAAGGAGTGTGGGCTCTGGCCGGGATCCCAGTTTCATGTCTAGTCAGCTGTGTGGCCTTGGAACAATCACTCCATCTCTCTGAGCCCCTGGATCCTCAGCATAAAATAGGATGATGATGGTGACACCTACCGCGTGTGGCTGTTGGGAATGATCAGTGAGACGATGCCTGTGAGGCACAGTGGGGTGGGAGGGGCGCTCAACACATTCTAGCTGTTCTTGGCAGTCACCCCTGGAGTGACCAGGAGCCTGCAGGGGATCAGAGCCCGCGAGTGACATGTGCTCTTGGCCTGGCTACATCTCATGCTGGCGGGCTCAGCACCTCCCCTCTCTCTGTTTCCTTACTTGCTCAAAGAGAAACTGGACTAAGCCCGAGGAAAAATCTTCAAATGCCTCCAAGAGTGGGGCAGTAATTTAAATGAGTGAGGGCAGTGCAGGGGAAGGCTGCAGGGAGTGGTGGGGACTGCGGTGCCCAGGGTGCCTGTGTCCCACCCCAGGGAGGAGCCTCCTCTCAGCCCAGCAGCTGTAGCCATGTGGGAGTGAGTCCACGCTGGTCAGAGATGCTAACTTCTCAAGAGAGGGAACCCCATGGCTTTGTGGGAAAACCTCCCATTACTAATGTTAGCAACGCATTAAATACTTTTTAAAGTATCAAATGAGGCAAAGCTAATGCTTCTTTGGGCAGTGGCCACCATGAACACTAGGTGACTTTCTCTGCAGGTAAGCTGGGGAGCCACAGAAGGGCTGTGAGCAGAAGCAGCACACGTTCCAGGCTGGGACCATCTCCAAGCCCTATCTGCAACCGTCCCTCCCCTCCCGAGGCCTGTTTTCTTGTGTACCATGGAGGTGGGAAGCCAGACCCTCTCCTTGCTGACATTCTTAGGAGCAGTCTGCCTGGGAGATAGGGGCTGTAATGAGGCCCCTGCTCAGTGCTATCTCACAGGTGGTGCCAGGGAGTCTGGGGGAGCCTGGCCACGCCAGACAGGGTCTGCTCTGTGTCTGGGAATGGCAGGTCTGGCAGGTCCAGCCGGAGGTGGCTCTTAGAGCTAGTGTCAGTGAGGGCCTGGCTCCTGCCTCCTAGCTCTTCAGGGTCAAAGGGCAGCACTTTCAGCCTTTTCTGGGACCAACTTCCTATTTGGGAGAGAAAGCAGACAGATCCCTGGCAGGAAATGACCTTCTTCTCAAAGCCCTGTTTTCCACTGGCGCTGACTTTCCACTGGCCACAAAGCAGGAGTCCCCGTGGTTGTCTCACTCAGCCTCCCCATCCCCCTCAGAGCCCAGGGGCTTTGCCATGGCAGCAAACCCACCTCGCTAACATCATTAATTTAGTGTTGGCAACAGAAAATTTTTCAGTGCCCTTATTTATTAGCGCCCAGCTGGGCTCCTGGGTCTGCCTCTCTCCTCTTCACAATCCCCAGAGCTCCTGGTGACCCTGAGACCCAGCACCAGGTGTCCCTGGTGTCCCTGGGACAGCTCTGAGCATTGTGGCCTCATGGCTCCCTCTTAACTAGGCCACACCGAGAGAAAATCATTTAGTGCAGCTCTCCCACCCCTAGCAGGCAGCCCCTTTGTCAACCGAATTTAACTGCTCTTTGGGGCCAGGCTGGAGCCCTAGCCTCTCCTTGCACAGCCCTAAACACAGGGAGCTCACCACCTTCTTTATGCTAGAATAATCCTGGCAACGCTTCCTTCTGCAGAAAGCAGGCCCGGGTACTGAGAATTTACCTAAAGGGTCCCATCAAAAGAGCAGATGCCCCGAAAGCCACTTTGACTGTGAAAGATCAAAAGTGTATGCTACCGTGTTTCTTTTTTTTTTGGAGACAGAGTCTTGCTCTGTCGCCCAGGCTGGAGTGCAGTGGTGCAATCTCGGCTCACTGCAAACTCCACCTCCCGAGTTCAAGCGATTCTTCTGCCTCAGCCTCCCGAGTAGCTGGGATTACAGGCGCCTGCCACCAGGCCCGGCTAATTTTTGTATTTTTAGTTGGGACAGGGTTTCACCATGTTGGCCAGGCTGGTCTTGAACTCCCGACCTCAGGTGATCTGCCTGCCTCAGCCTCCCAAAGTGCTAGGATTACAGGCATGAGCCACCATGCCCAGCCTGCTACCATGTTTCTAATCACTGTTACCATCAGATTTAACATAAATCTGCTGGTTATAGAAGGTATAGAAATTAAATACCAAAAATAAAACTGCCTGTAATTTCGCTATGTAGGGCAGGGCTGGGGGGAAAAAAAGGGTTTGTAATTTATTGTGTCCACATCTACCTCTAGGTAAACTTCCATCAATACTTGAACTTCATCCCCTGCGCCCACCTGGCAAATCCCTCCTCTCCAGGGAAAACTTTTAGGTATTTAATATAACTAACCTTTACCGAGCTCTGGGTTAACCTATCTAATTCTTGTGACAGCTCTGAGACATCTTATAAATGAAGAAACTGAGGCTCAGAGAGGGCAAGTAACTTCCCAGAGGTTGCACAGCTAATAAGGGGCAGAGACATGAATCCATCGGGTGCCAGAACTGAAGTCTCTAGAGTAGGCATGCACTGTACTTTCTTCCTCCTCGCCACAGGAGTGGATACCAGACTGCTCAGCAGCTCAGATGTTTATTCATTCATTCTTTGTGGGGTTTTTTTTGAGACCGAGTCTTGCTCTGTTGCCCAGGCTGGAGTGCAATGGTGTGATCTCGGCTCACTGCAACTCCCACCTCCTGGCTTCAAGCGATTCTCCTGCCTCAGCCTCCTGAGTAGCTGAAATCACAGGCAATCAACACCATACCCGGCTCATTTTTGTGTTTTTTTTTTTTTTTTTTCATTTTTGTGTTTTTAGTAAAGACGGGATTTGGCCATGTTGCCCAGGCTGGTCTTGAACTCCTGGGCTCAAGCAATCTACCTGCGTTGGACTCCCAAAGTGCTGGGATTACAGGTGTGAGCCACCGTGGCTGGCCTCATTCATTCATTCTTTCTTCTTCACATTCACTCATTTATTAAGTTACTTGACATTCCTGAGCTCTGGTTCAGCGTCAGGTGCAGGCCGATGCCGTCCCCCACAACCCCCGCCCACATCTGCCATACTTTCAGATGCCCCAAGAACTTGAACTTCATTTATTACAAATAACTGGGTTCACTGCATTGTATGATGAACAGCGAAGCCTAGAGAGGCAGCCCAGGGTGGGGCTCCAACAACTGCCCCCAACATGCCCAGCCCTGCATGAAGTCCTGGGTGGGTGAGGTCATCTGGACTGGGCCTTGGAGCTGTCCTGTATTTATAAAACCAAATGGGTCCAAAGACTTCTGGGTGTGCGCGCGCGCGCGCGCGTGTGTGTATATATATATATAAAACATAGGCTTCCTTTCCACAGGGCGTTGGTAGGTGGGACTGTTGACGCCATCCCTGGGAGAGAAGAAAGTCGGCTGTGGCAGGGACTGGTCCCAGAGTGAGCCTAGGCACTGCATCAGTTTGAGTGGCTGGTTAGCCTGGACCCTGGGCAGGTATGGGGCGGCCCATCCTGCCCAGCCACAGGAAGCTCTAGGCCACCTGGATTTGCAGGTCCTCGTCCTCGTCCAGGTCACTGGTTCCATCCTCGGCCTCCTCGGTGCCAAAGCGAGCACTGCGGATCTTCCCGAAGAGGGGAGCGTTCTGCTGCTGCCTGCGGAGCCTGTGGGGTGGGGGTGACAGGAGGTTAGAGCAGCCTGGCTGGTAGTCCCCCGATAAGGTGGCTGCAGCTGGTGCTGGAGCAGTTAAGCCTTCCCTGGTGCTTTCCCTGCTGTCTCATCTCCTGTAATCTCCTTATATGATAGAAGTGCCATTATCACCCCCATTTTACAAGCAAGGAAACCGAGGCACAGAAAGGTGAAGTCATTTGCTCAAAGTCACACAGATGGTGGGGAGTGGGGCAGAGCTCTGAACTGAAGTGGGTGGTGCCAGAGCAGCTGGGCGGTTAGAGAGGTGAAGGAGCTGGCTCAAGGTCATGCTGCAGGATTTGAACCCAAGCCTGGCTCTCAGAGCACAGGCAGCAGAGTTGGTTGGTGTGACAGTGCAGGGTGGGCTGAGCCCTCTACATTCCCAGTGTCAGTGAGAAAGGGCTCAGCCCTAGTTCTTCCTCACATTAAAATTCCTAAAGTCAAAATTTACGAGGAAAACTTTGAGTCTAAGAAGAGCTGGTGAAGGAAATGCCGATCCCTCCCCCAACCCCCCAGCAAAGTGGCCGCCCCGGCTGCATCTTACTGGAAGACATGAATTATTAACACGTAAGGGAGGGGCACAGGCGGGGGCCTCCATTACTGCACAGTGATTTAGTGAGCTGTCCCCGGAACATTAAAGCACAAAAAGTTGGAAAATAAAACGACACAGCGGTCCTGGGTGGCCCCACCCTCCCCGATGGAAGCACTTGAGAGGCCCAGCAGGGCCTGCCTGCCCACTTCTGGAGTTTATGGCTCCTGAACAATGTGACCCAGACTGCGGGAAAGCCCCAAGGCTAAGTGGTCTTTTGAAGGGTGTGTGCTGCAGGGTCAGAGCAGGCAGAGCCAGCCAGGCATGGGTCCTGACTTGGGCCCACGCCTGGGCCCCTGCACAACACTTTATGGGCGTCATCCCAGGCAGATGGGGAAATCGAGGCTCAGTTTACCATGGCACAATAGCTGTTAGGTCTCTGCAGCCCATTCTCTAAGCCACAAGATCTCAGCAAACAGCAGCATATAGTAAATGCTCAATAAATAAGGGCTTGGATGGCTGATGGCCAGGGGTGATTCTGCCTGGCCACCCACCAACTGTGTGGCCATGGAAAGACTTACCCTCTTGGGCCTTAGTTTCCTCATCTGCCAGCCCCCTAGGAAAAAACATCTTTCCTTTCTCTCATAGAAGCAGCGTGATGCTGATGCACAACATGTAACCCAAATATAAGCCCCTCCGCAGCGGTAGTAGTAACAGTAGTAATAGCAGCAGCTGCTGACAATCACTCAGCATTTATTATGTGCCAGGTGTTTTCTTTCTTTTTTTCTTAGAGACGGGATCTCACTTTGTCTCCCAGGCTGGAGTACCGTGGTGTGATCACAGCTCACTACTATAGCTATGAACTCCTGAGCTCAAGTGATCCTCCTGCCTCGGTCTCCCAAGTAGCTGGAACTACAGGCACACACCACCATGCCTGGCTAAGTTTTGTATTTTTTGTAGACATGGGGGTCTTGCTTTGTTGCCCAGGGGGTCTCAAACTCCTGGTCTCAAGCAATCCTCTTGCCCTGGCCTTCCAAACTGTTGGGATTACAGGTGTGAGCTACCATGCCTCCAGGTACTTTCTTAAGAATGGATCAGCTCATTTAATACTCACAACAATCAAGAGGTAAGAACTATCATCATCCCCATTTTACAGATGAAGAAACTGACACAGAGAGGTTAAATAAATGTCCCAAGGCCACACAGCTGCTAATGCTGAGCCAGGCTTCAGACCATTCAGGCAGTCTGGCTGCAGAACCGGGCACCCTCTATTCCACGAAAGAAGAGAATGCAACTAAGTGCATTCTCAGGGCCCGGCACAGGTCAATGCTGTGGCTCCGATGCTCCTTGGGCCTCCCAGCTGTGAAGTGGGAGGGACGTGGACTGAAGTTTTCTGATATCGCCTGGTTCTGTGATTCACAGAGTGCTGGGACAGAGACAGGGTTGGGAGAGGGAGGCAGAGTGTGCTGGGTGGGGCCTGTTGGCAGTGGACGGGATCCAGGCCTGGGGCCCCTCCACGAGTCCCTGCTCACCAGTCTCTCAGATCCCTGCTGTCTTGGTGTCACCTGGGCCCAGTAACGCTGAGGGCTGCCTATTTGAGCCCTGCTGGCCCCACCCACTGCCCCAAGCCTTGGGCCTGACCTCTCCAGCCCGCCCTTCCTGCCCTCACTCTACCCACCAGCCCTCCTGCTAGAGGAGACAATTCCAGGGCCTGCAGCTGGCCTGACTTCCTGCACCCCCTGCCCTGGTTTCCTGGCTCTGGCCCTTCCTGCCCGGAGGGGACAGGATTCTGGCTCCAGGCACCTGGATCTCTTCCTTCGTCTCCCCCTCCAGCCTTGGTTTGGGCTCCGTCCCTGACCGGAGGGTTCCCTGGCTGGAAGTCTCTGCCCTGTTTCTGTTCCCTGCCCGGGGCCCACCTGGACTGCAGGTGCTCCAGTTGCACTTGCAGGTTCTCGCTCTGCTCCGTCTGCTCGTCCAGCGACCGCTGCAGCTTACGTGCCTGGTTGTGGGCCTCGTCCAGCTGTGGGGGTGAGCAGGGCCGAAAGCACGAGGGTCACCCAGGGCTGGGCAAGGCCGGCCACCCGCCCAGGGAAAACCACTCCTGCTGTTCCCTGGGAAGGTGCTCCTCCGAGAGTGTTTGCTCCTTGAGGCCTAGGCTAAGGCTTACCTCTTCTAGAAAAGCATCCCTTTGGTTCCTCTCCATCCCCTTTGCCTCCTCTTGCACATCTACCCATCCTCCCAGGCCCTGCACTACTGATGCAGCCATCCACCTCCTATCCTTCTGTCCCCATCAGTCTGTCCATCGGACCATTCGTCCAGGGAGATATTCATCTGCCCATGGAGACAGTCACCCACCACTCCCCATCCATTAATCTAATCAGCAGCCCATCTAGCATGCCTAGCCATGCCTTCCTGCTCTCCCGGACACACCTATCTTCCCGTCAACCTGGCCTTCTTTCTCCCTCTGTATTCGTTCTTCCACCCACTGACCCAGTCAGCTGTCCATCCATCTGTCCACTCTCTACCCATCCAGCCATCATCTGTTCATACATCCATTGGATCCACCCATCCATCTGCCCGCCCTGCCTCTCTCTCCCATTCATCCATCCATTCATTCCTTTACCCATTGGTTCATCCATGCACACATCCATCTTGTCTTCTGTTCATTTTTCTTCCCATCTTCCCACCCACATGTCCATCCTGCCATCCATTCATCACGCACCTACCCACTCTATCCTGGGCGACTCCTGAGAGACAGGCTTGTGCCAGGCACCAGGGGCTGAGAATGGAGAAGCCAGGATGGCCCTGCGGCCCCCACTCCTCCCTGGCCAAGGTCTGTTGCTGCCCCTGCCCCTCTGTGGTCCTCACCTCGTCCTCAGCCTGGGCCAGCTCCTTCTTGAGCTCCTCCACCCGCAGCCGCAGCTTCTTCACCTCAGCCTCGTGCTGCTCCACCCGCCGGTTGGCATGTGCCAGCTCTGCCACCTTCTCCTGGAACTGCTTCTTCAGCTTGCCATGCACATGCTTCAGGTCTGCCAGCTCCTACAGGGCACAGGGATGGGGTGGGAGGGAGGAGGGAATCAGTATCAGCTTGGGCGCCATGCCAGGGAGTCCCACGAGGTCAGGCAGTTCTAGGGATGCTGGGTGTCTCTCCTTCCCAGAATCTCTCCATCTGTTGTCTGAAGTATCAGCAGTAGAGGTTTGGCTGAGCAGCCAGAGGCTGGAGGTGCCTTCCAGGGAGGTGAGAAGGCTGGGTGGGTGGAACCTGTGGCTCCGGTTTGGATGTGTAACTTTCAGATGCTACTGGATCTACCCTGGAGCTGTTGGAGCAGGGTCGGGGTTTCCGGGGAAGGATGAGGTCTGGAGTCTTCAGGGGCGTATGGCATTGAAAGAGCTGGGTTGGGAATGAGCTAGGCTGGGGAATGGGTGGGTGTCTCAGAGCCCAGAGTGGCTGGGAAGAGGAAGGGCAGCCAGCAAAAGAGATGCCCACCCTGGAGCTCTGTGAGTTCTCTAAGCCTCAGTTTCCATTTCTGTAAAATGGGAATAGGCATTGCCTAAAGGTCTCTTGAGTCCATCCTTTTTGTTCCATCTCTACTGACTGCAACCTGGTCCAGGTCTCCTCCCTCTCTTGTTGTCCAGGGAATGTCAACAGCTTCCCCCCAGCCTGTCTTCCCATCCTCTGCCCACACAGCCTGCTCACACTCCCCTCCTGCTTTAAACTCTCTCGAAGAGTCCCACCACTCGTGCCTCACTTACCACATCCCCCCGCTCACTCCCCTCCAGCACACTGGACTTGTTCCTCCAAAGCTCTGTGTCTCTTTCACCACGGACATTTATTCATGTTATTCCTAACTTCTCTCCATCCCCTCCCCTAAATCCGCACACTACCAGTTAACGGCTGCTTTTCCTGGAGAACTCAGTTTATTTATTTATTATTATTTTTTTGAGACGGAGTTTCTCTGTCACCCAGGCTGGGGTGCAGTGGTGCAATCTCAGCTCAGTGCAACCTCTGCCTCCCGGTTTCAAGTGATTCTCCTGCCTCAGCCACCCGAGTAGCTGGGATTACAGGTGCCCACAATGCTCGGCTAATTTTTGTATTTTTAGTAGATATGGGGTTTCGCCATGTTAGCCAGGCTGGTCCCAAAATGCTGACCTCAGGTGATCTGCCCACCCCAGCCTCCCAAAGTGCTGAGATTACAGATGTGTGCCACTGCGCCTGGCTGAGAACTCAGTTTAAAATGTCACTGCCTCCGGGAGGTATTTCCAGGACCGTGGGCCTAAGCCAGGTCTCCTAGTATCCCCTCTTCTTGCTGGTGACCATGAAGCTGTGTGATTGGCATGAATCTGTGTGACAGAGAGAGCCATGTGTACATCCCCCAAGTAAGTCTTCAGCTCCATGAGGGGAAGAGGGGAGGCCACATCTGTCTGTTCAGTGCTGTGTCTCTGGCACCTAGAGTGGAGCTTGGCACATAGTAAGTGCTCAATGAATGCGGCTACTATAATTACCAACTGGTCTAGCACACAAGGTGCTGAATACATGCAGCTACCATAATTATCACCAGGCCTGACACATAGTAGGGAAGCTGCGCTCTGGCTGGATGGGGAGGTGGCAGCCCCAGCACTGGCCACTCCACTCCTTGCCCCACCTTGTTCTTCTCGAAGAGCGCGGCCTGGCTGGCCCTCAGGTCGCAGTCCAGTGCGCTGGCTGTTTGCCGCCGCCGCCGGGCCAGCGCCTCCTCCAGGTCTCCGACCTGTGCCCGCAGCTTCTTGTTCTCCCGCTCAAGGCCCAGTTTCTCTGTCTCCAGCCGCTCCCGGCGGCCCCACTCCGCAGCGTTTTCGGCCTGCAGCCGCTCCATCTGCAGCAGGGCAGGGCAGAGTGAGGACTCCCAGCGGAGGGGGCATGCAGGGCCTGAGCTGGATGCCCCCGCCACCTCCTGGAGCCATTTTTGGCTCCAGGAAGCAGATCCAGCTGCATTGGCTGTAATTAAGCTGGGCTCATTTCATGGTGTACAGGATGTGAGGGCGCTTCTGGCCTCTGTGTGGGAGAGAGGCCTGCCTCTTGCAGATCAGGACACCATTGGATGTGGCTGGCCCCGCTCAGAGCACAGTCCTGGCCCCTGCCCTGTTCCCAGTGACCTGCTGATGGAGCAGGGCCCCAGGACCCCTAAACCCAGGTCCTCCTGGGTCCCATCCATGGCCTCACCTCGCCCCTCAGCTCGGCCATTTTCCGGTCCATGCTGGAGCGTGCACCGAGCTCATCTTCCAGGTCCTCAGACATGCGGCCCAGCTCGTCCTGGTGCGCCTCCTTCAGGATGCTGAGCTGCAGGGATAAGGCCCCACCTGGTCATGAGAACCACCAGGATATAGCCTGGAACCACCTCCGGGGGTGGGCGCCAGTGCAGGAGTGCTCAGCGTGGAGCCAAGGCAGCGCCCAAATGGGGCAGGCACCAGGTATTCCAAACAGACCTCGAATCTGACCACTTCTGCTCCTCCCAATGTCTCTCCTCCTCATTACTGTCTAGCCTCCCAGTGTCTACTCCTGGCCCTTCTCTGTCAACCCGTTTTCTACAACAGCAGCCCAGAGGGAGCTTTTAACAAAGATGAATGCAATCATACCACCCTCCTCCCACAAAGCCTCTGATGGCTCCCAGGTGCCTTAGGGTAAAGTCCAACTCCTCTCTACGCTCTCACAAAGCCCTGCACGATTGGACACCTACCCGCCGCTCCCCCTTAGTTCACTGTACTCCAGGCACCAGGGACTCCTTTCTGTTCCTCAGACACACCAAGTTCCTGCCCACCACAGGGCCTTTGCACATGCGTGGATCTTTCTGAGACACTTCTTAGGACTGATTTTTCTTATTCTCAGGCCTTGACCTAAAGGCCCCCTCCTTAGGAATGCCTCTTCTGCCCACCTGGCCTGGAGGAGGGGCCTCCTCATCCCACTCCCCACTGGAAAGCTAGCCTGGGAGGACGGGGAGCTTGTGCGTCTGTCCACCTTTGTGTCGTTGTATGGCCTGGGCACAGGGCCGCCCTCAGTGTACAGTGACTAATTCCAACACTGCTCTGCACACAGGTGCATCGGCATTGCTTGGCGTGCATTTAAGACAATAACATTTCTTGCGGTATACAGCAAACCCCAACAAACTGCTGCTCCCTGTAACACACGGATGAGTTTTCAACACATAATGTTGAGGGAGAGACACCAGATACAAAAGAGAACCTTTATAATTTTCTACTAAATTGTACATTTGTGTTTCATTCGCTTTTCTTCGAATGATTATACTTCATAATTTGAAAAGACTAAAAGAACAGGGTCCTGGACCCAGCCCTGAAAGGTGCTGATTCAGGAGGGTGGAGGCGAGGTCTGGGAATCTGTATTTTAGGAGATTTCCTCAGAGATTCTCATGTAAGACCAGTCTTGGTCCCCTCCAGGACAGTTTCAGGCTCTAAAGTTCTGTGATCCTCCCAGCTGCTAGAAACCCACCGATCCAGTGTGGCGTTCCCTGGGTGGCTGCGCCCTCTGGTGGCCATTGAGGCCTGCACAGGAGGCCGTAGTGGCAGCTCAGCCTGCTCTGAGCCCCCACACTGCAGTGGTGGATTCCCTTCTCTGGAGCCTCAGTTTCCCTATCTGTAAGATGGGGACATGAGGACCCAGCTCCCTGGGCTGCCATGAGGCTTCAGTGACACCTAGTACAGATAGGAACCCAATGAATGCCACATCCAGCCTCCTCGTCTTCATCCTGGTCTACAAGGCCCCCTCCTGCGGCCTCGCCTCTCACTTCCTGCTCTCCAGCCACCTGGCCCTCCCTGTTTCCCGCACACGCTGGGCTTGTTCCTGCCTCAGGACCTTTGCACCGCTGTGCCTTCTGCCAGGAACACTCTCCCCTGTATCTTTTCAAGGACAGCTTCCTCTAGCCCCTTTAGGTCTTGCCTCAAATGCCACCTTCTTAGGCCTTCCCTGACCTACCACCCCATCTCTCTCATTCTGTTTTGACTCCTTCATAAATTATGAATCTGCCTGGTGACTGTCGGTCTCCCATGCCCACAGCCCCCACAAAGTGAGCTCCTGAAGGCAGGGACCTTGCCTGCCCAGCACTCAGAACAACTCAGAAAAAATAACATAACATAACATAACATAACATAACATAACATAACATAACATAACATAACATAAATAAAATAAAATAAATAAAATAAAATAAAATAAATAAAAATAAATAAAATTAAAATAAAATAAAGCCAGGCACTGTGGCTTACACCTGTAATCCCAGCACTTTGGAGGCCGAGGCAGAAGGATCACTTGGGTCCAGGAGTTCGAGACCAGTCTGGCCAACATGGTGAAACCCTGTCTCTACTAAAAATACAAAAATTAGCCGGGCGTGGTGGCGGGTGCCTGTAATCCCAGCTATTCGGGAAGCTGAGGCAGGAGAATCGCTTGAACCCGGGAGGTGGAGGTTGCAGTGAGCCAAGATCACACCACTGCACTCCAGCCTAGGTGACAGAGCAAGACTCTGTCTCAAAAAAAAAAAAAAAAGAACAACTGTTGGATGAATTAATGAATGAATTCTCTCTTCCATCTCCACTACTGAAATTCAACAGCGCGATCCTGCCGCCTCCAGGAAGACCCTCTGGTCTCCAAGACTCACCTGCTTGAGCATCTCCTGCTTGGTCTTGCTCAGCTCCTCATACTTGATCTTCCACTGGCTGAGCTCCCCCTCTAGCTTCTCAATGTTCCTGCTCAACGCCAGTTTATCCCTGGGGAAGGGACAGACATGGGGGTGAGCCCACCAAGGCCCTCTGCTTGGAGTCCTCACCAAGGGTGGCCCTGCTGTGTGCCCTCTGCACTTGTTGAGCCCAAGTCCAAAATCCTTGCCTTGGTATTCAGGCCCAGGCACCCTATGTGGCTAGAAGCACCCTGGCTTTGCAGTTCTCCTGGAACTGCATTCCCTATCCAAGTGCAAGTGCCCAGCTCACATTGTGGGGAGGTGGTCGGGGTTCCAGAGCACTGAGCATCCCCGGGCAAGTACCTCTCTCCTGCTGCACCTCAGGCTCATCTGAAAATGGCTCCAGGAGGTGGCGGCCCCAGCACTGGCCACTCCACTCCTTGGCCCACCTTGTTCTTCTCGAAGAGCTGTCAAAGACCACCCTGCTCCTGTCTGTTTTGTAGACTATGTTCCCTGCAAGGCTTGGTCTGAACACATGGTTCTGCAGATAGAAACACTGGAAAACACTGTCCAGTGACCCGAAGAGAGGGTTCTCTCTTGCCATCGACACTGTGTGGGATCCCTACATCCTCCCATAACCCCCACCCTGCCTTGATCTTGAATAAGGCACTGTAGGTAACAAGCATGATGCCTGGCCCTGGCAGAGTAGGTGCTCACCAATGGCTGAGCTCAGCATCACCTTCCAGCACGCTGCCCTTCATGACCCCACACCACACTGGCCTCTCTCTCTGAAAGTGGAACACTCCATGCCTCCAACATGGGGTTCCCAGAGGGGACAACGTCACCCTGTAGGAGGCATGTTGAAAACCCATGGCAACATTTTTGGCTATCACAATGATTAGGGGTCATTTAGTGGACGGGGGCCAGGGTGCCTGACTCCCTGCAATGCCCTGGGCGTCCTGCCCATCAGGATGCATCCTGCATCCTACTGAATGCATGCACAGCCCACTGGACATTGCTCGGGGTAGAGATGATCTGAGCCTACAGCCTCATTCTGATTTACATTGAAACAGAAAGTAATTTTTATACTAACATACACTGAATTTTCTAGGAATGGAATCACTGTATAAACTGAAGGAAGACTGCACTTTTCTTTGTTTTTAGAGAGAGGATCTGGCTCTGTTGCTCAGGCTGGAGTGCAGATCACAGCTCACTCCCTGGAACTGCACTCCCTACCCAAGTGCAAGTGCCCAGCTCATATTGTGGGGAGGTGGTCAGGGCTCCAGAGCACTGGGCATCTCTGGGCAAGTACCTCCCTCCTGCTGTACCCCAGGCTCATCTCTTAAAGACTACCCTGTTCCTGTCTGTTCACAGCTCACTGCAACCTGGAACTCCTGGACTCAAGCGATCCTGCCACCTCGAGCTCCCAAAGTACTGGGATTATAGGCATGAGCCACGGTGCCCGGCTGCACTTTGCTTTGTTCAGAACTTTACCAAAGGCTGTTCATCTCTCAAGAAAGCGCATCGCAGTGACACCACTTGTGTCTTTGAGTTGCTAAGTCTGCACACCTGCATGAGCCGCCTTTGTAGCTGTCCTGCGAGGTGACTTAAATGTGCAGATACATGTAAGCCTTCAACACAACACCTGACTCGGAGCACATGCTATGTCTTTGCTGTTATAACTATCGTCACTATCATCCCATTTAAAGACACCCACTCTGACCACTTCACCATTTCTTCTAGAGGAGCTATGCCCAAGCACTCCCATATCACAACACGTGTATTTTAAGTTACTTTCAGGCTGGGCGCAGTGGCTTACACCTGTAATCCTAGCGCTTTGGGAGGCCAAGGCAGGTGGGCTCCCTGAGCTCAGGAGTTCGAGAGCAGCCTGGGCAACATGGTGAAAACCTGTCTCTACTAAAATACGAAGAATTAGCTGGGCGTGGTGGTGTGTGCCTGTAGTCCTAGCTACTCGGGAGGCTGACACATGAGAATTGCTTGAACCAGGGAGACAAGAGATTGTAGTGAGCTGAGATAGAGCCGCTGTACCCCAGCCTGGGCAACAGAGCGAGACTCTGTCTCCAAAAAAAAAAAAAGTTACTTTCACTTCTACTTTATATTTCAGTTAGTGCACTAGGTTGATTTTTTTGCTTGTTTGGCTTAAACAGTCTAAATTTATTCTCTCATATTTCTAGAGGCTAGAAGTCCAAGATCAAGCTGTTGGCAGGACTGGTTCTCTGAGGGCTGCGAGAAAGAATCCGTTCCATGCCTCTCTCCCAGCTTCTGGCAGTTTGCTGGCCATCTTTGGTATTCCTTGGCCAAAGATGCAACAATGTCCGCAAAAGCATCACCCTGACCTCTGCCTACATCTTCACAAAGGCATTATAGTGATTTTTTTTTTTTTTTGAGACAGCGTCTCTCTCTGTCACCTAGGCTGGAGGGTACTGGTGCATTCATACAATCACAGCTCCCTCAGCCTCGACCTCCTGGGCTCAAGCGATCCTCCCGCCTCAGCCTTCCAAGTAGCTGGGACTACAGTGGCACAGCCCCGTTCCCAGCTAATTTTTTTTTTTTTGTAGGCCAGGCACAATGGCTCATGCCTGTAATCCCAGCACTATGGGAAGCTGAGGTTGGTGGATTACCTGAGGTCAGGAGTTCGAGACCAGCCTGGCCAACATGGTAAAACTCCGTCTCTATGAAAAATACAAAAATTAGCCGGGTCTGGTGGCTAATTTTTTAGCCACCCTCTGGGTTGTCCCCTCTGGGAACCCCATGTTGGAGGCGTGGAGTGTTCCACTCTCAGAGAGAGAGGCCAGTGTGGTGTGGGGTCATGAAGGGCAGCGTGCTGGAAGGTGATGCTGAGCTCAGCCATTGGTGAGCACCTACTCTGCCAGGGCCAGGCATCATGCTTGTAACCTACAGTGCCTTATTCAAGATCAAGGCAGGGTGGGGGTTATGGGAGGATGTAGGGATCCCACACAGTGACGATGGCAAGAGAGAACCCTCTCTTCGGGTCACTGGACAGTGTTTTCCAGTGTTTCTATCTGCAGAAACATGTGTTCAGACCAAGCCTTGCAGGGAACATAGTCTACAAAACAGACAGGAGCAGGGTGGTCTTTGACAGCCCTTCGAGAAGAACAAGGTGGGCCAAGGAGTGGAGTGGCCAGTGCTGGGGCCGCCACCTCCTGGAGCCATTTTCAGATGAGCCTGAGGTGCAGCAGGAGAGAGGTACTTGTCCGGGGATGCTCAGTGCTCTGGAACCCCGACCACCTCCCCACAATGTGAGCTGGGCACTTGCACTTGGATAGGGAATGCAGTTCCAGGAGAACTACAAAGAACATGCGCCAGAGGCATGGTGGCACATGCCTGTAATCCCAGCTACTCAGGAGGCTGAGGCAGGAGAAACACTTGAACATGGGAGGCAGAGGTTACAGTGAGTCGAGACTGTGCTACTGTACTCCAGCCTGGCTGACAGAGTGAGGCTCTGTCTAAAAAAAATATATATATATATAGAGAGAGAGACAGGGTCTTGCTGTATGGCCCAGGTTGGCCACAAGCAATCCTCTTGCCTCGGAATCCCAAAGTGCTATGATTACAGACATGAGTCACTGCACCTGGCCATTATATTGATTTTTTAAAAAGGAGTGTGTAGATAGGTTATGCTATTGTCGTATTTAATTTCTGGACAGAAAAACTGCAGAATATTCATTATCATCAAGCTCGTGCCCTCTAAACTGCTCTGATCAAGGTCACTGGTGACCTCCACATTCTAAATCCAATGGTCCAGGGCTCAGCCCTGTTCTTACTGATCACTCTGTCCTCCGGGAAACGGTTTCTTGTGGTTCCCCTTCCCAGCCCGGCTCCCTTCTCTTGTCTCCTCTGCTGTTTCCCTTTCCTCTAACTGACCTCTAAACTTGGCACTTCAGGGCTGGATCCTCTGACCAGTTCCCTATCCACACTCATTCCTTGGCCCTTGTCCACGCTCATCGTTTTATTTATTTATTTATTTATTTATTTATTTATTTATTGAGACAGAGTCTTGCTCTGTCGCCCAGGATGGAGTGCAGTGGCACAATTCCGGCTCACTGCAACCTCCACCTCCCGGCTTCAAGCAATTTTCCTGCCTCAGCCTCCTGAGTAGCTGGGATTGCAGGTGTCTGCCACCACGCCTAGCTAATTTTTGCATTTTTGGTAGAGATGGGGTTTCAATTCACCATGTTGGTCAGGCAGGTCTCCAACTCCTGACCTCAAGTGATCTGCCCACCTCGGCCTCCCAAAGTGCTGGGATTACAGGCGTGAGCCACTGCGCCTGGCCCAGCTCATGGCTTTCAATATCATCTCTTCACTGGTGACTCTTGCATTTTTACCTCCAGCCCAGGCCTGTCTCATGAACTCCAGACTCATTCACATCCCCAGCTGCCTCCCTGCCATCTCAAACTCACACGTCCAAAACCAAGGTCCCAGCTGCAACCTTCCAACTTCCCTGTCTCCATTCCCTGCTTTTACCCTGCCCACAGCCCTCTCCCCCAACTAGAAAGTACGTTTCAGGAAGGCAGGGGCTTCTGTCTTATTTACGGCTGTATCCTCAGGGCAGAGCACAGTGCCTGGCCCAGAACAGGTGCCTGGTAACGTATTATTTGAATGAATAAATAAAAACTTGCACTGAGTTCTTGGGTGGAACACCACTGCTCTACAGTTCCAAGATACAGTCTAAACACTACCTGTCATCTTCGTGAGTCTAATGTTCTGTGATTCTGAGGGCGTTGTAGCACGGCCTGGCCCTGGCCCTGCCCCCTCCCGCCTCCCACGACTCACTCTCGCTCCTTGAGCAGCACCTTCTGGGACTCATCCAGCCGTAGCCGCAGGGCGGTCAACTTGGAGGCCTCCTCCTCCGTGGCAGCTGTGTCCTCCCAGGGTAGCCGGCTGCGCTCCTGGCGGCCTGAGCTGCCCCGCGGGCCCCCAGCCCCCAGGCTGCGCGCCTCCCAGCAGTCCTCAGACTCCTCTGGCATGCTCTTCAGCAGGCTCTCCACCAGCTCCAGTTCCTGCGGGGACCAAGGTGGAGGCTGGACCAGTGGCCGCCAAGCCAGGCCCTGGGTCTGAGATCAGCTTGATGGGTAACCTTGGGCAAGTCACACAGTGTCTCTGGGCCTCAGTTTCCTCTTCTGCTGCCTGCCTCTCCATCTCTGGAGAAGGAAGACACACCCTGCTCTGGGCCTCCCCTTTCACCTCCTGGAGCTGCAGAGTGTCAGCCACCATGGTTCCCTGTATCCTAGAAGATTCCCCAGGAGAGGTGGTGAGCTCCCTGTCACTGGAAGTATGCAAACCTACGGCGGGGCACCGATGGGAACAAATGTTGAAGCAGGAATTCCTATAATGGCTTAAGCCTAGATTCCTTCCAAAGGAATTCTAGCTCTAAGATCCTGTTTTTTCAGGGGCAAATAGTAAGGCATGGGGAGACTGGTGACACAGGGAAGCAGTGCCTGTGAGGAGAGCCAGCTCCCAGACAGGAAGCAGTTGAGAAATTAGGAACCCAGGGCCGAGCCCCTTTCCTTCTTGCCATCCTGCCCTTCTTCTCCGCCCCGCCCATCTCCAAGGCCTGTCTCTGACACAAACCCACAAGGACCACAGCCCCTGTTCCAGCTTCTCCCACAGCCTTTCCAGATGAGTCTGGACCAGCCTCTTCCTGGCCCGGCCCTCAGTTTCCCTAGCTGGACTGGAG
Organism: Homo sapiens; assembly: GCF_000001405.40. Taxonomy (NCBI): domain Eukaryota; kingdom Metazoa; phylum Chordata; class Mammalia; order Primates; family Hominidae; genus Homo; species Homo sapiens. The sequence continues at coordinate 57,526,805 of NC_000016.10, forward strand.
CGGTGGCCCTGAGGACTCCCTGAGGAGTGAGAGCTACTCTTCTGTTTCTCAGATTATTCAGGTGGAGGTGTCCAAAGCCCCATTTTACGAATGGGGAACAGGGAGAGAGAGGACTTGTTCTGGGCCACAGCATGAAAAGGCTGGGCTGGAGAACAAACTCAGACTGCAAGCCTAGGGCTCCTGCCACTGCCCACAGCCCTCTGGCCTGTGACCGACAACTGGAATAAGGATAGGACAGGAACAGCATTGTGCGCAGTGAACACCACCTCCAAACACCAGGTCACCCCAGGGAAGAGGGGACTTCAGCCACAGGAGGCAGCAGTGCCCACGCTAGCCTACGGGATGGAGGGGGCTGGGCAGAATAGAGGAGGGGCAGTCTTATTTGGAGGAGTTGGCCTGTCCAGGGACTGAGCTGGGGACAGAGCTGGGGAACTGAGCTTGGACCCTGCCCCTAGGTGGCTTTCTGGTAACAGGCCTGCTGGCTCAGGAGAGGGTGCCCTCTGCACCCACTGTTAATGCAGCAGCCATCCTGATTATTACCCTGGACTCTGGAGCCAGATTGTCCAGGTTCAAACCCCAGCAAGTTGTCACCGGCTGGCAGACATTGCTGCTGCTTTTTTTTTTTTTTTTTTGAGATGGAGATTCACTCTCGTTGCCCAGGCTGGAGTGCAATGGTGTGATCTCGGCTCACTGCAATCTCCACCTCTCGGGTTAAAGCAATTCTCCTGCCTCAGCCTTCCGAGTAGCTGGTATTACAGGCGCCCACCAGCATGCCCGACTAATTTTTGTACTTTTAGTAGAGATGGGGTTTCACCATGTTGGCCAGGCTGGTCTTGAACTCTTAACCTCAGGTGATCCACCAGCTTTGGCCTCCCAAAGTGCTGGGATTACAGGCGTGAACCACCACGCCCAGCCCTTACTTCTGAATCTCTCTGTGCCTCAGGATCCTCCCCATGGAGCAAATATCTTAGAGGGTTGCTGTGGGGGTTACCTAGATAACGCACATGCTCGGCTAAGTGCTGCGTGGGCGCCCAGTGAATGACGGCCGTTGCTATTACTGCCTTTTTCCAAACTCACCAGGCCCTCTCGGCCTCTAGACTTTTTGCACAGGCAGTTTCTATCAGCTGGAATGCCTTCGGGCACTTTTTTTCTTAATTTTTATTTTTTAGAGGTGGAGTTGTTGCCCAGGCTGGAGTGCAGCAGTATAGTCATATTTCACTGCAACCTCGACTTCCTGGGCTCAAGGGATCCTGCTGCCGCAGCCACAGCCTCCCAAGTAGCTGGTACTCCAGGTACGAGCCACGTCGTCCTGCCCTCCTGGCACTTTTCACAGCTAATTCCTACTCATCATTCTAGTCTCAGCTTAAATGTGACCTCTTCCAGGAAAGCTTCTGTGAAGCCTGCGTCAGGGACCTCCTCTGTGATCCCAGTGCCCTGATTTCTCCCACCGCTCAGCTCTGATTGAATCAATGGATTCGGCTCTGCTACGAATCAGCTAACTTCTAGGCAAGTTGCTGGATCCCTCTCCTGGCTCAAAGGGGATGATTCCTTGGTTCTGTTGACTTCTCAGGTGTGGGAGTGGAGGGATCACAGAACTTGGGATTCTCCACCCTGAGGTCTCTGGAAGGAAAATGATGTGAGGCCCCGCAAGGGTAGAACCCGACCTGGAGAAGTGAAACCTCCAGGAGGCCAGGCCTTTACTAGCTTGTTTCTGAGCCCAGCAGCTCAGGACAATCGGCCCCGCCCACTTCGAGACTGGAGCGCGAACGCCCCGCCCGCGCCGCGCACCTGGCTGCCTGGCGGCCTCTCGGACCCGACGTCACGCACTGGCTCGCGCTCCGCTTCCGGCTCGGGGCCGTCGCGCGTCTGGTCGGCGACCCCCCGGGCGCCCCTCAGCCGCGCCAGCTCGCGGCCCCGTGCCTCGCACTCGCCCTGCGCCTCTTGGCGCTCGCGCCGTGCGCCCGCCAGCTCCTTGGTGAGCGCGTCCAGGCGCTGGCGCAGCTGGCGCACCTCCTCGCGCGCGCGGTTGCGCTCAGCGCGCACCTTGCTCCATTTCTCGCGCCAATTGGCAGTGCAGTCCGACCACCGGCGCATGGTCTTCTCCATCTGCGCCGCCCGCGCCCGCGCCTCCTCCAGCTCCCGCAGCCGCAGCTCCTCGCGGCTCTCCCAGTCGCCGTCGGCCAGCAGCGCGGGCGCGGGGGGCAGGGGCAGTGCGGGCGGCGGCCCGGGCGAGGGCGTGCCGCTGGGCGGCGTGGGCGGCAAGGAGTCGGCAGGCCCCATGCGCTCCGGCGACGGGCTGCCCAGGATGGTCAGGAGGCTGCCCTTGGACAGCTGCGGGGACTCGGCCAGCCGGGGGCTGGGCCCGTGGCTCATGGTGCGGCCGGGCGGGCCCTGAGCTCGAACTCGCGGTCGGGCTCAGGGGCGGCTCCGGGGACGCGCGGCGGGCGCGATACAACTGTGCATGATGACGCCGTGCCCCGCTTCCCTCTGGGCCACCGGGCGGAGGACGCCTCCTCGGACCTACGGGAGAACACAACCGTTATTGGACTGCGACCACCGTCAGTCTCGAAGATCAGCCGCGCCAAGGCCCTGGCGGAGGGAACAGAACGGCCAAGGTAGGAGGAGAGAGTTCTGTTCCAGGAGAGTCCCAATGAGGCAGGATTGGTGGAGCAAGGGCCCGCAAAGGCCTCCTCAGTGGCCTCGACTCCCTGCTCCAATCCCTTCACCCAGCGGCGCTAATCTGAAACCTTGATCTGTTCTTTATTCTCCCGGTCCCGGCTCACACACTGATGGCTTATACTATACTACTATGCAACTTCCGCACAGGACCCAGGCGGGGGCACTGGGCTGGTGCCAGGAGTCCCCTCCCTGCCTTTTCCTGCACTGGGCTAACTCTTCTCATATTTAAGACTCTTCTGAGGTATCACTTCCTCCTGGAAGCCCTCCTGGAGCACTTCAGGCCAGGTCCATCAGCCCCTTATGTGTCTCCATCACTGCACTAACTTACCCTGTCATTTATGTGTCTGCTGTGTACCTTTAACCAAGGCTGTGAGTTTGCTGTGGTCCAGGACTGGGTCCTGACCACTGTTTTAGTCCCAACACATGATGACAATGATATTTGTGGAGGGCAGGCCACAAGCCAGGCACTGTGCCCAGGGCTTTAGGTGAACGATCTCATTTATTCCTTAAAGAGTGGAGGTGAAGAAAATGATTACCTCCATTTATGGTATCTATGAGTACAAATTCAAACTCTAGTAAGGATTTGCTGAATGAACGCACGCGCTGGGGATGATGATGGAAACAAACCAGTCCTCAGATGGAAAGGGCTTCTGAGAGTGCAGCAGGATGTTCTCTCCCCTTCTCTGCCGGAACCACCCCTCCCTGACACCGTGACTCACCGCAAACAGCTCTCTTGTTCTCTGTGTCTCACTTCAGCCTCCCCATCGCCCAGCACTGGGCTCTGCCATTTATGGGCCATGCCCCCCTCCTCCTTAAAATAAATGAGAGGCATGTCCCTCTCTGTCCCCAGTCTCCCTCCACTGCGGCCTCTGTTGACTGCCACCCACCAACAGCCCCTTGGGACATCACACTTTTCCTTCCCCATTAGGCAGAGAGCCCTGGTCCACAGATCTTCACACCTGCCCCTAAGACCCACCCTTTCTGAGTGATCAGTGTACTGTCGGTGGGACTCGGCACTGGCTGTCCCCAAGGCTGCCTGGCAGCCCTCTATGTCCCCTCTCCACCTTCTTCCAATCTCTAACCCACCTCATTCTCGGCAGATGATCTATCGTCATGATTTGCAGTGAAAAAGGAAGCTGTCAAGCCCCACGGCCCCCTCCTCTCTGCCCCTGAGAGGACAGAGGGGTTCTCCTTCCTTGAGCCGAAGGCCTCCCTCCTGCCAGTCCCACCCTAGCCAGTGACGTCCTTTCCAGGGGTCTTACCCCTGCTGAAGTGTCTCCTGACACCTTCTTCTCCCCTCCCCTGGCACCTCCCTTTTAAGGTCCTTCCAAAGTGGTCCACACTCGCCGTCTCCACTCCGTCTACCTGCTTGGCGCTCTGTCACCCGGCCACCTGTGCCAGGCTGGTTTCCAGTCCCCTGTGACGGTGTGCCCTCTGGACCCACCGTGGCACCTGCTTCCCTGCCTCACTTGCTTCCACGTCTTCCTCTCCAGGTTTCCCCTCCTCTCCAGCTGCTCGTCAGCCTCCCAGGTGAACCCCCTGGGCTTATCCCTCGAATGCGGCTGTCATCGGGCCCTGGGCCCCCTTCTCCTCTCACGATATCCCTGCCCGAGCCATCTCGCTATGTCCCCAACTCCAAGTCCCTCTCCAGCCCAGGTTGCCCTCAGAGCTTCCCATACCTCCAACCGGATGCCTGATAGATGATTCAGGCTCATCTTGGTTAAAATAGAACTTGCTGCCTCCATTCCCCCCGTGACCAGCTCCTCCTGGGTGCTCCTCCGAGAGAAGGCACTTCCTCACTCCTTCCAGAGAAGGCACTTCCTCACTCCTTCCAGCTTTGAAGGCACCCTGAAATCTGCCTTCTTTCCTCCCCCACCCACCGCCAAACCTTGTCAGTCTATCTGCTGTGCATCCGCCTTCCATCCACCTTCTTTGTCCACAGTCACTAACCTGTCAGGGTCCACACCACCTTCACTCACCTGGGTAACAGTACCCACACCCACCTCCCTGCCCATCATGCACTTTCACCTCCTTCAAATCCATTCTCAACAGCAACAGCCAGAGTGAGTTCTTGTAAGAACCTGACCACTCTGATGGCCCCTCCCTGTGTCATTACCAATACTGATTCCTCCCTAGCCTCAATTCTAAGGTTACTCCCTCTAGGACTCAACTCCAAATACTCTCCAATCCCAGCAGGAGCCGCAAGCCACTGATCCCACCACTGCACTGCCCACCCCCATGTCCCTCTCTTTCCCAGCTCACCTTCTGTGCTCCTAATTTCTCCCTTGCCAGCACCCTCTGTGCCCTAGGCCCCTCCTGTTCTGGCTTCTCCTGGCAAACGCCAACCCTGTTCCCTCCACTGCTTTGCCCACTCTTACCTTCAACTATGGAGCCAGGCATTGGAGGTCTACACCACCACGTGGAGCAGTATTTTTTAAAACTCATGACCTTTTGTCAAGGTTCCTCCGTGCTGCTCAGCGACCCCGCTGCATTTCTCTAGGCCATTTGCTGTTTGTTTATTGTCTGTCTGCCTTTACCATGCATGAGGTCTAGGCCCAGCTCTGACACCAACCTCATGTAAGCCACTGTCCCTTTCTGGGCCTCAGTTTCCCCATGTGTAGAAGGGGGGATGTGTGAGAGAGACCAGTGCTTCTTCATCAGGGTGTCCTTCAGATTCACCCAGACACTTGGCCCTATACCCGAGAGAGTCATGTTTGCTAGGTGTGGAGCTTGGAATTTGCATTTTAATAGTCTGGGATATTTGAGTATTTGGCGATGCTTTCTTACTACCCACAGTTCCATAAACACAACATGTACACCCCGACCCTGATAACATCTGTGTCACGCACCCAGACACAGCCATACAGATCCAGGCTCTGGTTCCATGTACACCACTGACACCCCAGGAGATCCCTAGCAGCCTGTGCCTCTGTGACCCAGTCTCTCCGCCTGTGCAGTGAGCTGGCTGGCCTTGATGCCCATGTGCATTCACAAACATCTGTGCACACACAGACATGCAATCCCATGCACAGATGCAAAGACCCAGGGGCAGACACACATATGCTCAGATGGACGGACAGGCACACAACGACACGGGTGCATGGAGAGACATTTGCCTGTAGACACAGACACGCCTGAAGACACACATATGCCAGCACACTGACACACAGGTACAAGGACATGCAAGGAGACATGCTCATCCCCAAGTGAAGCAGACACACACACACACACACACACACACACACACACACAGAGGCAGACACACACACTCCTCCTTTTCCTGGCCTAGCTCCACATAGAGAAGCTCTTGGAAAAGAAAAACAATGTGAGAGCCTGTGGGGGGAGGGGAGGAGGAGGAGGAGGCAGGAAACCCGAATGCCAGCCGGCAGCTGTGCTGGGTATGGGGGCCCGGGCCCTGTCTGCTGGGCCCTTCTTGCAGCCGCTGAACTAGGAGCCTGGCAGGGAGGGGGCCACTGCCACATCCTCCCTGCCTCTGGGAGCTGCCAGGCCTGGCACAGGGCTTGGCCCAGAGAGGGCCACCGGCTTCTTCCAGGAATCCAAGCCTGTTGGGCAGGGCCAGGGCAGGCACCACCCAGGTCTCTAATGGCTTCCAGGCACCCATGCTAAAGGCAGAGATGGGGGCTCCAGACTCACCTCATTCTCCTTCCCAGCGGCCTGGCCAGGCCCCTCCTAGGGGCTGGGGGAGAAGGAAAGGGCACAGCAGGAGCACGGAAGTTTTGGAACAGCACTCCCACCTTTGCACTTCAGGCCCAGGGTCCCCTGGAGCGGGTGTGTGGGAAGGGGTGGGGGTCGGGGTCCTCAGGGGAGTTTTCTGGAGAAGCCCACCCCGCCCCCAGCACACCAGGAATCCTGCACTCCCACATAGACCCAAGGGCAGCCAGACCCTGCCTTGCAACGCCTCCCCCTACCCTGCCCCACTCATACAGCACAGCCCTGGGGACACACACTCACATACAGCCCCAGTAATGCACACATTCACACACACACCCCCAGGGACCCGCACTCACACACAGCCCCAGTAATGCACACACTCACACACACACCCCCAGGGACCTGCACTCACACACAGCCCCAGTAACGCGCACACTCACACATGGCCCCAGGGACCCGCACTCACACACAGCCCCAGTAACACTCACACTCACACATGGCCCGAGGGACCTGCACTCACACACAGCCCCAGTAACGTGCACACACACACATACAGCCCCGGTAATGCACAGACTCACACGCAGCCCCAGTAACGTGCACACTCACACACAGCCCTGGTAACGCACACACTCACTGAGGGGCAGCAGCAGCGCAGAGCATGGCTTACAGTCGTGGAGATGCCCCAGCTGCCCTGCCCGCCCCTTCCACCAGGCTCAATGCCCTCTTGCCATGGGGTGTCTATGTGCGTGGGGCGTGGCCTCCTGTTCCCTTGGCATACTGCCCCACCAAGGGGCAGGTCACGGTGGGACCGGCCACCACAGGCCCCGGGGAGCCTTTCCTACCCCACCCTTCGTTGTCCTGCCTCCCAACAGCCAGACAGGTCTATTACTGCTTTAAGTCTCTGGGTTTGTATTCCAAATGCCCATGTCCCAGACTCCAAAACCCCCACCCATCTTCAAGTTCAGCTGCCACCAACTCCAGGAAATGCCTTGATCTCCCCAACCCCACCCCCACCTGGGGACCACAGCCCTACAACCTCCCACAGCCAAGCCTGGCAAGCTGCCATCTCTCTTCTGGCAGTACAGGCTTCCCTCATCCAGATGGGACACTTGTGCCACTTAGAGCTTCCATCAGGGCTCCTGAACCCCAGCCCCACAGCTGTGCTCACTGGTAGCTCACTCCAGGACAGAAACAAGAATATTTTGAGCTGACACTTGCTGCAGGCTAGGCCCTCATCAGCCCTGCCCACAGAAAGTGACCCAGTGGTTCCTGTTGCTTGTGGACTTGTCTGGAATATCTCTCCTTCCTTCATCAGCAAACTCCTACACATCCTTCAAAACCCACCTCCAGTGTCCCCTCCCCTAGGAAGCCTTCTCTAACCTCTCTGCACAGAGTATGCTCCCAAAGCACCAGGCACCTCCGTGTTCTACAGCAAAGGCCTTACTTTGAAGTCCACGAGCGAGGGCATCAGCACAGGGCCCAGCATACAGCAGATGCGTGATGGATGGAAGGTACCCCTAAGAAGGTGGTACCACTCTTAGGGGTACCCTTGTGACCATGCAGAGTTTGGGAAGGTTGAGTCATCCTAAAGATCAGGAGTCAGTCGGTGGCCAGGCTCTGAGACAGGTAGGTATCTGAGCCTGTCTGGCCAGGGTTGGAATAAGAGGTCATCTCACGGCCAAGTCGGCTGTCCCACCTTTTACCTGGGGAAGCCTAATTGACCCACTGGGAACAGCGTTGTGTTTTGTCCTCAGCATGTTTGGATGGGTCTCTCCATATCAGTGAGAGGAATGAGCAATGCCAAGGCCTGGACAGGGGCCAGCTGAAGGGATGGGGAGCCCAGTGCCCCAACCCCTTCCCCGGCTCTGAAACCCTGTAGATCCTCCCAGAGCCTTTCAGGTAGGGCCCTGGGACAAGCCCATGGCCACAGGCCTGGCTGTGGACAGAAAGCAGAGCCCAGTGGGAAACCACAGAGGACAGCCTGATTGAATAAGTGCAGGGCCCAAGGCTGGTCAGCCCACAGACTGCGGGCACCTGTCCCTGTGACCTGCTGCCCAGGATCCAGCTGCAGGACCTCTGGGGGGAGCTGGCTGGCGGGAAAGGAAGGGATGGCGGCTAGGCCTCCAGGCTGGACCTAAGCCCAGGGGTAGGCACCCCTGGCCTATTCCCAGGTAGCCCCATCTTAGACTGAGGAGCCACAGAGACAGCCTGGATCATTGATTTGAACTCCTTTCTTTACATATGGACCAACTGAGGCCCAGAGGGACAGCTACGTGTCTGTGTCCACACCGCGGACCAGCAGCAAGGCCAGAGTAGGGAGCTGGTGATGGGATGCCTCCTCTTCTGGATCTTAGCCACCTGAGGGGCACAATGCCCCCGAGAGCACCTACACGATGGGGTCTGCAGGCACCAGGCCAAGTGGATACGCACAGCTGGAATGGTGGGGTGAACCTTCATGGGGACCCAGCCCCACCCCGACCCCAGCCCCACCCCTCTCGGCAACACCGTGAACTCTTCACTCTTGTACAGCAGACATCCCGCTAGTCCCAGCTCCATCACTGATATGCTGTGTGATATCTGCAAGTCCCTGCCCTCTCTGGGCCTCAGTTTCCTTACCTACAGGATGGGGAGAGGCACTAAAAAGATTCCTGAACGCTCTAACAGGTGGGCAGACCTCCCGAACCCAAACCAATCCAACCCCCACAAGAGCCCTGGGAGAGCGGGGGTGGGAAGGTGGACACCACCCCCACCTAAGGTACTGAAACTGAAGCCCCAGCCCTGCGTCGCCTTAGTCCTCACTTAGTCGACCCCTCCCAAGCCGCTGGCCCTGCGAACCGCCCCGCTCCACCTAGCGACGGGCGGAGGGTGGAGGGGGTTCCCGGCCCGCGCCGCGCGGTCCCGCCCACCCCACCGCATGGCCCCCATTGGCAGTCGCCGCGGCTCTGGGCAGGGCGCCGTGCTCTGATTGGCCAGCGCCGCCCGTCCATCCCGCATTCGCCATGGCGACCACGTTGGGTCCCCCGGGAGAGTCCCAAATTCCGTCCCCGCCCGCCGCCCCCTCCCGTCCGGCCCGGGCCGCGGCATTCCGGAGGCGCCTCCCCTCCCCCATCACCCCGCGGCCCCTCCCCACCGGAGACCTGGGGTTCCGGGGGCTGAGGGAGGCCGGGGAGGCGTCTAGAAAGTTCTGCTCTGAGTTCGGGGGTTGCCGCGGGCGCCCCGACTGTGTCTGCTCCTCCAGCACGCCCCACAACTTAACCCCTTCCTTCCCGCGGAAGGCGCGCGGCCTGGAGCAAGTTCCCGGGCCGCCTTGGCCTGCCGCCCCCCGGCCTGCCGCCCCCGCTCACCTCGGGCCGGGACTTGCGGGCTCCGTACGTCCCAGCCGCTGCGGCGGGGTAGAGCGGGCACCGTGCAGCTGCGACCGCCGCCGGAGGGGCCGAGGGAGGGCCGCGGAGTCTCCTCCTCCCTCCCGGGGGGAGGGGAAGCAGGGGGAGCGGCGGGGCCCCCGAAGCGGTCGCAGGCTGCGGCCCCGCTGTGACCCCGGCCCACCGAGCTGCTGGGGTGGGGGCTCCAGCCTAACTTCGGGGCGAGGGGTGCGGGCCGGGGCGGTGGGCTCTGCTGCAGAGCGGGCCGTACCCCAACGGAGGCCCCACCCCCGTGAGGGGCCGAGAGTTGCGGGGGGGCTCGGCTTTCTTGGTTCAGGTTTCCTCAGCGCCAACTACGTACTAGGCGCCCCCAGCAGAAACGGCCACCGCGGGTCCCAGCTCGGCACGTGGAGCGAGCTTACCAAGTCTTCACTGTTGTTACCTGCATTTTTCCCTGGGCCAGCTCTGCCACCGAGTGGAAGTGGGCCAACAAGTCTGTGCCCATCGGGCCTCAGTTTCTCTTTCTGTACAACAGAAGGGTTGACGAAAGCAACCTTGCGCTTGTTAAGAGGTGGGGGGCGCGGGGAGCACTCGGCCCGGCGGGCGGAGACTTTTCTCTGCATTGCGATGGTGGTTGGCAGGCCCTGGGGAATTACGGTACTTCGCCTTCGGGGACGCCCAGCTGTTTTGGGGCTTTCTCTCTATTGGGGGTAGGATGTTTGTGGTCTTGACTGGAAAGCCGGGACAGGCGTCTGGAGGACTCCCCACTACATCCTGTACCCTGGAAGGCCCCCGAGGTGAATCTATTTAAAAGAAGACCAACAATTCACCAAGATGGTGGGGAAAACCTGGCCTGATTGGGATTTTACCTAGAAAAAGAAGCTAAATATTACGAAGATAAATTAGTTTTACCCCGTGATTAACGGAGTTTAGATTATGATTGCAACCACGCACGCCTTAAAATGAACCAAGAATGAATCAGATGTTAACACTGGAAGTCTTGCTTTTTCTTGTAATAGTTGAGTATGTAGCATCCTTCCCTTCTGAACTGGTTTTTGCAGTAAGAGATTCATTTTTGCAAAAATATTTGAGAGCTTCCTCAAACTCAAGGATCACTCTGAATCCTTTGATAGTCCAGTGCCTTTTTTCGGGTCTGGGTCACTTCCCTTGCAGACGTTCCCTTTCTCTGTGGGCAGCGGCTGTTCCATTTCTCCTGCTTTGCTTCCACCAACTTCATGAAATCCCATACGTTGCAAGACTGGCAGTTTCACTTGTCGATTCATTTGCTTTGTATTTGTTATGCGTGGCTGAATGTTGAAAGCGTCTGTTCACCAGCCAGAGATAGATAGGAGATGTATGTGGGGTTTGAGTACTCAGAGGACAAGGGCATCCACATTTTACAGCTGAGGAAATGAAGGCTCAGAGAGGCTCTTGGCTCAGACTTGCACAAGGTCCTACAGCCAGTAACAGCCTTGGATCAAGAGCCCAGAGGTCTTGCCCAGAGTTTTTGGAGGTGGAAATGGGGCTGGGGAAGGTGGTGGAGACTGAGTTGATGGTGCACCTGAACTCCAGCTATAACCTCATCACTATCAGGCCTTCTCTCCTTAGGAAGAAGCAGTAAATATTGTCCTGAGGATGTCTTTTGCAGGGGCTAGGGTGGGGTGACGTGACCCACCCGATCGTAGAACCAAAGTAGGTGCTGGCCACAGGTTTTGGCAGCTCGCATGATGTTATCTTAGTTACCTAGGGGCTGGGTGTTATTACCACCCTCTCATAATGAGAAAAGTGAAGATCAGAAATGACTGGACTGGGCACGGCGGCTCACACTTGTAATCCCAGTGCTTTGGGAAGCCAAAGCGGGAGGATCGCCTGAGGCCGGGAGTTCAAGACCAGCGTGGGAACATAGGGACACTCTGTCTCTACAAAAAGATAAAAAGTTTAGACAGGTGTGATGGTACGCTCCTGTAGCCCCAGCTAACTTGGGAGGCAGAGGCCAGAGGATCGTCTCGAGTAACTGGCCCGGGGTCACCCTATGAGATGTCAGATCCCAGATCTGACTGTTTCAATTTTACCATAGTTCTCTTTCTAGAACAACACCCCCAGGCGCCTCTCTGAATGCAAGGCTAATCTGGCGTCAACCTCCCCAGTGGTCTCGGCAGGGTTTCTCTCTGGCAGCCTGTCCCACTCAGTTCAGGACAGTCAGGTTTTTGAGGCGTGTGTCAATATTTCCCACACTTCAGCAGTTCTGTTTTCCTGTATTACTGCCACCACTTTTTGCCACTAACACATGCCCTTATTTACCTAGCATTTTTCTTTAAATCATTTCACTTTGTAGGACCTACTTGTATCTTAAAGCCTATTTCATATAGCTAGGTAAATAGAAAATTTGTATAACTTGCCACAAATAGAAAAAGATCATAAAAATAAATAGTATGCAAATAAAACAACGTTAGTAAAGTCTAGCTAGAAACGTTCTCTTTGTTAAGAAGGGGCATCATTTCTACACCCATGTTGATTGTAGCATTATTCACAATAGCTGAAAGGTGGAAGTAACTGAAGTGTCCATCAACAGATGAATGAACAAAATGTAATATGTATTATACACATAGTGGAATGTGATTCAACCTTTAAAAGGAATGAGAGTCTGACACACTACAACACGGAGGAACCTTGAAGACGTCATGCTAAGTGAAATGAGCCAGTCACGCAAGGACAAAGACTGTATGATTCTACTAAGATGAGGCACTTAGAGTGGTCAAATTCAAGAGACAGAAAATAGAACGGTGATTGCTAAGGGCTTGGGGGAGTAGAGAACAGGAAGTTCTGTTTCATGGGTATGGAGTTTCAGTTTGAGAATATGAAAAATGTTTTGGACATGGGATGTGGTGATGTTTGCATGACAGTGTAAAGGTAGATAATGCCATTGCACTGTACCCCTTTTTTTTTTTTTTTTGAGACAGGGTCTCACTCTGTCACCCAGGCTGGAGTGCAATGGTTCGAACACAACTCTCTGCAGCCTCGACCTCCTGGGCTCAAGCGGTCCTCCCACCTCAGCCTCCTGAGTAGGTGGATCTACAGGGGCACGTTACCATGACCAACTAAATTTTTTTTTTTTTTATAGAGGCAGGGTCTGCTATGTTTCCCAGGCTGGTCTCGAACTCCTGGGCTCAAGTAGTCCTACCACTAGGGCTTTGTCCAAAGTGTTGGGATTATAGGTGCGAGCCAACCCACCTGGTCTGAATCTACACTTAAAAATGCTTAAAATGGTAGCTTTTGTTACATATATGTATGTGTGTGTGCGTGTATATATATATATATCTTACCACAATAAAACATTTAAAAGTCAGACGTCCTGTTTTGAAGTCTAATAAAAGATTGAAAAATGGGGAAAAATAAGGGACATAGTCTGTGTTAGAGAGGGGTTAAAACAATTTAGCCCTCGGCGGGGCACAGTGGCTCACACCTGTAATCCCAGCACTTTGGGAGGCAAAGGTGAGCGGATCACTTGACTTGTCAAGAGATCGAGACCATCCTGGCCAACATGGTGAAACCTCATCTCTACTAAAAATACAAAAATTCGCTGGGCGTGGTGGTGTGCACCTGTAGTCCCAGCTACTTGGGAGGCTGAGGCAGGAGAATAGCTTGAACCTGGGAGGCAGAGGTTGCAGTGAGCCGAGATTGCGCCACTGCACTCCAGCCTGGCGACAGAGTGAGGCTCTGTCTCAGACAAACAAACAAACAAACAAAAAACAAAAGAAACAGTTTAGCTCTAAGCTGAGGCTTTTGCTGGACACAACCAAGATTGAAAAAGATGTGTAAATGACTTTTTTTGCATTGTGACTGTTTATCTAAAGTCCTGTCGGGGTCCCACCTACAATCTTCTTGCAGGCTACTCACCAGGGTAAGTAGCCCCCATATAGGGAGACACTTTACTGAGATGGTATGTGGCCTCCTCCCTGCCTGGGGGCCTGAGAGGAGACTGGCAGGCTTCCTACTGCTCAAGCATCCAGAGTGTTTTGTAGAGGAGCAGGAGGCAGAGAAGCCTTCCTGGAGGAGCAGGAGGCAGAGAAGCCTTCCTGGAGGAGGCAGGATCCAGTGGAGCCCTGATGGGTGGAGAGGAGCTGGAGGGCTTCCCAGGTACATGTGTGGGACCACAGCTGGGACCGAGCAGGGAGGTGGGTATTAATATGGCAAGCACAATCAGACTGGGTGGCAATGGAAGTTGGACGGGGTTAGACTGTGAAGGCAATAGGGAGCCACCACTGGTTTTTTGTTTGTTCGTTTTGTTTTTGAGGTGGAGTCTCACTCTGTTGCCCAAGCTGGAATGCAGTGGTGCGATCTCGGCTCACTGCAACCTCCACCTCCCGGGTTTAAGCGATTCTTGTGCCTCAGTCTCCCGAGTACCTAGAATTACAAGCATGTGCCACCACACCCGGCTAATTTTTGTATTTTTAGTAGAGACGGGGTTTTGCCATGTTGCCCAGGCTGGTCTCAAACTCCTAGCCTTAAGTAATCTGCCTGCCTCCACCTCCCAAAGTGCTGGGATAACAGGCCTGAGTCACCGCACCCAGCCTCACCACTGGCTTTTGAGCAGGAGAGTATCTTGGTAGTGAGCTTCAGGATCAGGAGTGCAGGGCTAAGTAACGGGCACTAACTTAGCCCCCAACTGAAGCAAGGCACAGTGAGGCTGGTACAGACCCAGGCTAGAGGGGCTATGGGGTAGGCAGGGCCTCCTCCTGAGCCCTAAGAATAGCCAGTTGGGCTCACATTCAGCATGAGGAAGGAGGAGGTTGGCATGGCAATCCTAGAGGTAGCTGGGTGACCTCGGAAAGGAAGAGCCTGGAGGTCAAGGTCTGGATCCTGATCAAAGAAAACCGAAGCGCAAAGAAGGGCCAAGGCTTGCCCAAGTCACCCAGAGGGAGTGTAGCCCAGGAGTCAGGACACAGGTGCACCGGTGTCCCTGCAAAACCTTCACCGTGCAGCTGGGGTGGGGACCTGGCTGCCCTCCAAGGAGCAGCTCCCTCCTGCTTCAGCAGAGGCCACTTGTACTACCTGCAAGCTGTATTTGGGCTGATGCGGGAAGGGCCCCAGTGAGGCAGAGAGCGGGGAGACCATGTTAGGACCTGTCTGGTTTCTCCCTTTTGCTGCCTCTCCATCTTTCCCCCAGGGCTGGAAGAGCACATTCCTGAGTCAGTTTTCCCAGGAGTCTGGATGGGGCCCAGGCAAGAGAGAGCACCGTCTCCCCATTACCAACACTCTCTCTCTATCCCCCACACACACCTCCTTGCTTTCCCTTAGAGCTCTTCAGAGGGTATGGCTGATGCAGGACAGGCCTATCCAGCTGCCTGGCTCAAGGAGAAGCTGGCCAGCTTTCCAGCCTCATGTTTTCTGGGCTCTGTGGCCAGGGAGGCCCCTCTCCACCATGCTCTGCCACTTGGCAACTCTGGGCCAGGCCCAGGTCCTCTCTGGGCTTCAGGTCCCTCATCTGTGAAATATGACGGCTTCATAGAGCACTTCCAGTGACTTTGCCAGCCTTACCTTTTGTAAGCCCCACACTGCCCTGCAAGATGGTACTGTCATTATCTCCATTTTACAGAGGGGAAACAGGTTCAGAGAGCATGAGTGGCTTGCCCCAAGTCACCCACCCAGTAAGTGGTGGGCTTGGTACTTGAACCCAGGCAGTCTGACCAAGCTGCTGCCTGAGGTCTTTGCCATCATCAATATGCCATCAATTGTCAGGTCAGGCAGGGATCATTTTCCCTTTTCTATAGATGGGAAAACTGAGGCCCAGAGGGGCAACATGTCTTGCCCAAAGGTGCAGAGCTCAGGTGGGTCTTGCGCACTGCATAAGGCCACGTTGCCATGTCCTTGAGCACCTCCACAGAGGAGCAGCCACCCCAGGAAGTAGCTGCAGACTCTACGGGGTGATACCCTCAAAGGGTGACCAGGGCATGACCGACAGCTCGAAGGAAGCAAAGAGGCTGCTGCTGGTGAAAGAAGAAGTGAAGTGAGAGTGTGGTGCCTGGGCCTGGGGTGAAGGGAGCAGAGAGAAGTGCAGTGGGGGTGCAGGTGTGGGGCAAAGGGAGAGGCCACCCACAGACGCCTCCCGACTTCCCCTTCTTCCTGCAGAAGCTACAAGACAGCAGCCGAGACAGCAGCTGAGACGGCAGCGGCAGCTTCTCAGGTCAGCCTCCTCCGGGCCTCTCCCCACTCTCCTCTGCCCAGTTCTCTGTCCTTATCCACAGGCCCCTCAGTGGGCACTGGCCATACCCATGTCCAGGTGGGCACAGACCTGGTGATATCCTGGTGAGCAAGCTGGGGACCCACCCTCCTTCCCTTTCTGGTTGGCAGCTCCACATCTGGGGCAATGTAGAGATCTGTGCTTTTGGAAGGAGGGGCAATTTAAATTAAGAAGTGGTTAGGCATGGGTCTCGAATCTTAGCTTCCCCGCGAGGTCTGGGACAAGTGAAGAGAGGTTTCTTTTCTGGACCTCAGTTTCTCATCTGTAAAATGGGGTGAGTCTGGGAACCTGCACCTTGGATGGCTGTCAGGGGCTCAGTAGAGGACCTGGCACACAGTTTGTGCTTGGCAATCTGGAGCAGGTGCAGCTCCTTTCAGAGTGACCTGGATTGGATCCTGGGGACAGCATGTCTCAGGTAAATGGACCTGCTGCTGGCTTGGTCACAGACTTCCTGTTGGGCTCCAGGGTGGCCTCTCTTTCCCAACCTGGGAAATAGGGTTACTATAGCATTTCTTAGGGCTTTTTTTTTTTTTTTTTTTTTTGAGACGGAGTCTTGCTTTGTTGCCCAGGCTGGAGTGCAGTGGTGCGATCTCGGCTCACTGCAACCTCCACCTCCCAGGTTCAAGCGATTCTCCTGCCTTAGCCTCCTGAGTAGCTGGGATTACAGGCACCAGCCAGCATGCCTGGCTAATTTTCGTAATTTTAGTAGAGGCGGGATTTCGCCACTTTGGTCAGGCTGGTCTCGGACTCCTGATCTCAGGTGATCCACCTGCCTTGGCCTCCCAAAGTGCTGGGATTACAGGCGTGAGCCACCGTTCCTGGCCTGTTAGTGCTTTTTTGCAGAGACCACAGGTTGATTGATTCCTCACCCAGGCCAGGGGCAGGGGCTCCAGACTGTGGTTGGCAGGGGCAGGTGGGGCTGTGTGCGGAGAATGGCTGGCTCAGTAGGCCTTCGTGCTGCTGGGGAGAGGTGGGCTTCGGGGGTGCATGGTCAGCTGTAGGGAGGAAGGCAGGGGTTCCCAAGCCTTGTGCTCAGATGTATTCCTGGCCAAGGACTTTGATCAGAGCCCTGGACCTTTCTCAGGGCCTGATTCCCAGGAGAGGATCAGGGAAATTGTTGTTTGAATTTCTCTTTCTGGGAAATAGATTTCCTTGGCCTCATTTTACAGATGAGAAAACCTGAGACACAGAGAGGTCAGGTGCCTGCCCAGTGTCACACAGCCTAGGCACTGAATACTGCAACTGGTTATCAAATTCTCATCTTCCAAAGGCTCTGTCCTGTGCTCCACAGCTCCTCATTTCTCTATTGGCCTAAATAGAGTCTTACTTGTCTGCAAAGCAACTCAGCTGCCCAACCATCTTTGGGAGGCTGCAGTGTGCAGGGGGTAGTGCCCTGGACCGTGGAGGCCTGGGTTTGAGTCCCAGCTTGCCCACTGGCCTGCTGTAGAACCTCAAGCAGACTCCTCTTACGCAGTATTCGGTTTCCCCACCATCAACTGGAACCATCCTGGAAGTCAGATAAGGGATTGCTGTTTCCTAGAAGGCCACAAATAATGAATTGCAGGGTGGAGAATGAAATGGCTCAGCGTGTGGGGGGATGGTGCATGGTGACCTCTCTGAAGGGATGTGGAGGGGAATTTGGAGGTTGCAAGCAGAAGTGAAGACTGTGGTTTGCTCCTGGGAAAGGGGGTGGAAACCACAGCTTCTATCTGGAGTGCCTGGGGGAGGTATCACTTCTGCTTTGGCCTCAATTTCTTCAGTTGTGTGGTAGGGTCAGGCTTTTCTTCCCTCAGTGCCTGCCTGGAACCAGTGGGGGTAAGAGCCTGGTCTTACACCTTGCAGGTCAAATCCATCTATCTCTCTGGGCCTCAGTTTCACCAACAGTATAGTGAAGGGGTGGACAAATTGGCCCAAGATCCTTTCTGTGCTGTCAGGTCCTCCACTACTGGGCCTGAGTTATCTCTCCTGAATGAGTTCCTTCAGTAGCTTCTTTTGCCTCCCCAAACCTTTCTGTTTTTTTGTTTGTTTGTTTGTTTTGTTTTGCTTTGGAGACAAAGTCTCACTCTGTCACCCAGGCCGGAGTGCAGTGTCACAATCACGGCTCCCAGGCTCAAGTAATCCTCTCATCTCAGCCTCCTGAGTAGCTGGGACCACAGGCTCATGCCACCATGCTGGGTTAGGTTTTTTAATGTTTAATTTTGTAGAGATGGGGTCTCCCTATGTTACTCTGGCTGGTCTCAAACTCCTGGGCTCAAGTGATCCTCCTGCTTCAGCCTCCCAAAGTGCTGGGATTAAGGCATGAGCCACCACACCCGGCTCCCCCAAATCTTGTCCCTTGTCTTTTCTCTGAGGTTCTGAGAGGGTAAGTAAATAGCACAGCCAAATAAATAACCAAATAACCAAATAAATAAGAACCCAGTCCTCTGTGACTCCATAGTCTCTATTTCGTATTAAAAATAAACATATATATTTAAAAAATTCATGTTAAGAAAAATGGGTGACCACCTGGAGAAAAAATGAAATTGGATTTATATCTCCCAGTGCATCCCAGTATCAATGCAAATGGACTGGAGATTTCAATTTGAAAAATGAATCTATAAAAGTACTGGAAGAAACAGGCAAATTCCTTCATGACACTGGAGTGGAGACTGGGCTTGGTGGCTTCCTCCTATGATCCCAGCCCTTTGGGAGGCTGAGGTGGGAGGATCGCTTGAGCCCAGGTGTTGGAGACCAGCCTGGGCAACATGCTGAAACCACGTCTCTACAATAGCTGGGCTTGGATGTGCCAGTTGATACAAAAGTGCCCCAGTTGATACAATAAGTTGCATACTCTACAAACTATTCTGCATTTTGCTTTTTCACTTGAAAATACGTCTTGGAGAGCTTTCCATGTCAATAAGAGCAGAGCTTCCACTTTTTCATCTGCATATTCTAATGTTGTAGGAATAAGTTACAGTTTATTTAATTAGTCCCGTGTTCATAGATATTTGTGCTGGTTCTAGTTATTTGCTCTTACAAACAATGTAGCTGTGCTTATATTATTTCTCACATGTGCAAGTTCACCATTTATTTATTTTTATTTTTTGAGACAGAGTCTTGCTCTGTCACCCAGGCTGGAGTGCAGTGATGTGATCTCTGCTAACTGCAACCTCTGCCTCCCGGGTTCAAACGATTCTCCTGGCTCAGCCTCCCGAGTAGCTGGGATTACAGGCACGCTCCACTGCGCCTGACTAATTTTTGTATTTTTAGTAGAGACAGAGTTTCACCTTGTTGGCCAGGCTGGTCTTGAACTCCTGACCTCAGGTGAGCCTCCTGCCTCGGCCTCCCAAAGTGCTGGGATTACAGGTGTGAGCCACCGTGTCTGGCTCTATTTATTTATTTTTGATACAGGGTCTCATTCTGTCACACAAGCTGGAGTGCAGTGCCACCATCATAGCTCACTGCAGCCTCAAACTCCTGGGCTCACGTGATCCTCTCACCTCAGCATCCCAAGCAGCTGAAACTACTGGGTGCATGGCACCATGCTCAGCTAATGTTTCTGATTTTTAGTAGAGACAAGATCTTGCTATGTTGCTTAGGCTGGTCTCGAATTCCTGAGCTCAAATGATCCTCCTGCCTCAGCCTACCAAAGCGCTGAGATTACAGGTATGAGCTACCACGCCCCGCCATTTGCCCATTTTTATATTGGGTTAGACTTTTCCTTATCAATTTCTAGAAACTTTTACATAATGGGAAAATCAGCTCTTGTCTATTGTACATATATAAAACTATTACATGCAAATATTTTTCCTAATTTGTCACTTGTCTTTTAACATTACATATGGCCTTCTTTTGGCCAGGTAGAAGTGTCTTTTTAAATAATTTTTATGTAATAAAATGTATCTGTATTTTCTCTTTTGGCTTCTGGATTTTGAGTCATAGCTAGAAAAACCTTCCCCACTCCAGTGTTTTCTTATTTGGTTTCTGTTTTTTGTTTTTGAGACAGGGTTTTGATCTGTCACCCAGGCTGGAGTGCAGTGGCACAATCATAGCTCACTGCAGCCTCAACCTCCCGGGCTCAAGTGATCCTCCCACCTCAGCCTCCCAAGTAGCTGGGACTACAGGTGTGCGCCACCATGCCCAGCTAATATTTTGTAGAGATGGGGGTCTTGCTGTGTTGCCCAGGGTGGTCTCCATCTCCTGGGCTCAAGTGATCCTCCTGCCTTGGCCTCCCAAAGTGCTGGGATTACAGGTGTGAGCCACTGCACCTGGCCTGTCCAGATTTTGCATGTAATAAAATATATGGATTTTTTTTCAAGAATGGGATTAGGTTGTTTTGCAATGTGCTTTCTGTCTTTCATGAGCAATATGCCACTATTATTTCTTCCATATTGATAGTCATTTGGAGCATTTAAAAATCCTATTAAAATATTTGTGTTTTTTTTGTTGTTGTCATGAAGGTAATATGTTTGTTGTAGAAAATTTAAACAATACAGAAAATATAAAAGGAAGTTTTGAAAACACCTCTCCCCTCAAAAAAGCATTATTAACATTTTGGTGGCCACCCTTCTAGAGCTCCCAATATGCTTCAGCATGCATACAAACATAATTTTTCATAAATGAGATTATGTGTGTTATTTTCAACCTGTCCTTTCCACTCAGTGATATGCTGTGCTCTTCTTTTACATGGCTTTGTTTTTTGTTTGTTTTTGGTTTTGTTTTTTTTGAGACGGAGTCTCGCTCTGTGGCCAGGCTGGAGTGCAGTGGCGCGATCTCGGCTCACTGCAACCTCCGCCTACTGGGTTCAAGCGATTCTCCTGCCTCAGCCTCCTGAGTAGCTGGGATTACAGGCGCCTGCCACCAAACCCAGCTAATTTTTTTGTATTTTTAGTAGAGACGCGGTTTCATCATGTTGACCAGGATGGTCTCAATCTCCTGACCTTGTGATCCGCGCCTGCCTCGGCCTCCCAGAGTGCTGGGATTACAGGCGTGAGCCACTGCGCCCAGCCTGTTTTTTGTTTTTTGTTTTTGGAGAAGAGTCTCACTCTGTCATCCTGGCTGGAGTGCAGAGGTGCCATCATAGCTCACTGAAGCATTGAACTCCTGGACTCAAGCAGTCCTCTTGCCTCAGCCTCCTGAGTAGCTAGGATTACACGTGTGCCAACACGCCTGGCTAATTTTTATATTTTTAGTAGAGATGGGGTTTTTCCATGTTGCCCAGGCTGGTCTTGAACTCCTGACCTCAAGTGATTTGCCCACCTAGGCCTCCCAGCGTGCTGGGATTACAGGTATGAGCCACCACGCCTGGCCTCAAAATATTTTTTAGAGAAAGGGTCTCACTATGTTGCCTAGGCTGGTCTTGAACTCCTGGCCTCAAGCGATTCTCCTGCCTTAGTTTAGGATTACAGGTGCAAACCATGGTGCCTGGCTATACACATCTTTTTTTTTTTTTTTTTAAAGAATACACATAATTCTTAATAGTGAAATGACAATCTGTTGCATATTTTAACTTTTAATTTTGAGAAAATTATAAATGCACAGAAGGTTGCAAAAAATAGTACAGAACGTTTTGTATACCCTTCACTTATTCTCCAGTAGTAACATCTTGCATGCCTATAGTATAATATCAAAGCCAGGAAATTGTCTTTGGTATAGTTCACAGACTTCATTCTGTATTATACTCACTCATTTATGTATGCCGGTTCTTTGGTAAGTATATTTTAACTTTATAAGAAACTGCCAAATGGTTTTCCTTGCAATTTTATGACATGATAAAATAAAAGATTCCTGTAAACAACACCACGATCAAGACACAGAACTGTTCCATCGCCACAAGGATCCCTTGTGCGAGACCTTTAAAGAAACACACTCCCCCTCCCTAACCCTTTGCAACCACTAATCTGTTCTCCATCTTTATCATTTTGTCATTTCAAGACTGTTAAATAAATTGAATCACACAGCATGCAACATTTTGAGATTGGCTTTTTTTTTTTTTTTTTTGGCTCATGATAATTCCTTTAAGATCCATCCAAGTTGTGTGTGTCAGTAGCTTTTTTTTAGAAATTCATTTTTTTAACTGCTGAGAATTGTATTTCAGAGTGTAAAGGTATCACCATTTAACCATTTTCACCCACTTTGAGGCTATCATGAATAAAGCTGCTATGACTCTTCATATACAGGTTTTTGTGTGAACACGAGGTTTCATTTCTCTGGGATAAAAGCCCAAGAGTGCAATTATTGGGTCATATGATAGGTACATGTTTAGTTTTATAAGAAACTGTCGAACTGTTTTCCAGAATGGCATTGGAGTGTAATTTATTTATTCCTCTATTGATAGACATTCACATAGCTTTCAACTTTTCTTTATTAACAATACTATTCTAAATATTCTTGTATGTGTATAATCCTGGCTTGCCCTATTCTTTCCATAGGATAAATTCATAAGAATGAGTTTCCTGGCTTAAAGGATATTCAGAACGTAAAGTTCGAATGTGTTGCTAAGCCGTCCCCTTGCAGATGAGGCTCAGATCTTAGACAGAGAGTGCAGGAATGTGCCTGTCCCTACAGACTCACTGGGTGCTATCATATTTCAGATCTTTGCAGATCCAATGGTGGAAAAATGAGAACTCATGTTCTTAACTACTTTCCTCTGCCACTACCATCAAACACATATTTTGAGTTTTGTGGCTCTCCCTCTTGAAGCCTTGCAAGTTTTTGTTGACTTCCTTTCTCTAAGAGGAGGATCATCAGTTCTCTTGCCCTCCCTCCCCTATTTCCTCTTCTTCATCCTCTTAATATGTTTTTTGATTGGATTTCTAAAGTCTTGTCTATAGAGGTATACATACAATAAAATTCACCCTTTTGGAGAGGAGTTTTTGCATTTTGACAGATGTGTACAGTCATGTATACATGTATATTACAATCAAAATATAGAACATTGCTGTCCCCTGAAAAGTTGTCTCAGGCCCTTTTGTAGTTAATATCTTTTCCCTACTCCCTGGCAACTACTGATTTGTTCTCTGATCCAATAGTTTTGACTTTTCTAGATTCCACTTCCATGTTACATTCCCTCCAGAAATGAATGAGGCTTCCAGCTGTTCTATATCCTCATAATACTTTGTATTACCATTTTAATCCTAGTCATTCTAGAAGGTGTGTAGTGATATCTGATTGTGGTTTTTATATGCATTTCTCTAATGACTAATGATATTGAGTGTTTCTCATGTGCTTATTTGCATCTATACATTTTTTTTTTTAACATGTAGTTCCAGCTCTGTCACCCAGGCTGAAATGCAGTGGCATGATCTCAGCTCACTGCAGCCTCCTCCTCCTGGGTTGAAGCAATTCTCCTGCCTTAGACTCTTGAGCAGCTAGGATTACAGGCACATGCTACCACACCTGGCTAATTGTTGTATTTTTAGTAGAGACAGGGGTTTCACCATGTTGGCCAGGCTGGTTTCAAACTCCTGACCTTGGGTGACCCACCCGCCTCGGCCTCCCAAAGTGCTGGGATTACAGGCATGAGCCACCGCGCCCGGCCCATCTATATACATCTTCATTGGTATAGTGATTGTTCAAATCTTTTCCTATATTTATTGGGTTGTTTGTCCTCTTATTAGTTGTGTAAGAGTTCTTTATGTAGTCCAGATACAATTTTTTAAAAACATCAGATATGTGTTTGTAAATATTTTCTCCCAGTCTGTGGCTTATCTTCTCGTTTTGCTAACCATGACTTTCAAAAAGCAGAAGTTTTAATTTTGATGAAATTCAACTTATCAGTTTTTTGTTGTTGTTGTTGCCATGGATCACGTTTTTGGTGTTGTTTCTAAGAAATCTTTGCATAACCTAAGTCAGAAGGATTTTCTTTTTTGTTTTTTCCAAGGAGTTTTACAGGCATATCTTGGAGATATTGTGGGTTTGGTTTTAGACCACCACAGTAAAGCAAATATGGTAATAAAGTGAGTCACACAAATTGTTTGGTTTCCCAGTGCATATAAAAGTGATGCTTACGGCCAGGCACGGTGGCTCATGTCTGTAATCCCAGCACTTTGGGAGGCCGAGGCGGGCGGATCATGAGGTCAGGAGATCGAGACCATCCTGGCCAACATGGTGAAACCCCATCTCTACTAAAAATACAAAAATTAGCCGAGCATGGTGGTGTGTGCCTGTAATCCCATCTACTTGGGAGGCTGAGGCAGGAGAATCACTTGAACCTGTGAGGTGGAGGCGGAGGTTGCAGTGAGCTGAGATCGCACCACTGCATTCCAGCCTGGGCAACAGAGCGAGACTGTCTCACACATGAAAAAAGTTATGTTTACATTATACTGTAGTCTATTTAGTGTACAAAAGCATTATGTCTAAAAATGTACATACCTTAGTTAAAGGACACTTTATTGCTAAAAAGTACTAGCAATCTATCTGAGCCTTCAACAAATCACACGCTTTTTTGCTGGTGGAAAGTCTTGCCTTGATGCTGATCAAGGTGGTGGTGGTTGAAGGTTGGGGTGGCTGGCTGTTTCTTAAGACAGCAGTGAAGTTTGCCACATCAGTTGACTCTTCCTTTCATAAGATGTTTTTCTGTAGCATGTGATGCTGTTTGATAGTATTTTACTCACGGTAGAGCTTCATTCAAAATTGGAGTCCGTCCTCTCAAACCCTGCAGGGGCTTTATCCACTACATTTATTTAATATTCTAAATCTTTTGTTGTCATTTCCACAGTGTTCACCATATCTTCACCAGGAGTAGATTCCATTTCAAAAAACCACTCATTGTTCATCTATGAGAAGCGACTCCCCATCCATTCAAGTTTGATCATGAGACTGCAGCAATTCAGTCACATCTTCAGGATCCACTACTAATTCTAGTTCTCTTGCTATTCTAATCACATCTGTAATTACTTTCCCCACTGAAGTTTTGAACCCCTCAAAGTCGTCCATGAAGCATGGAATCAACCTCTTCCAAACTCCTGTTAATGTTGATATTTTGACTTCTTCCCATGAATCACAATCACATGTTCTTGCAGCATCTAGAAGGGTGAATCTTTTCCAGATTTTCAATTTACTTTGCCCTGATCCATCAGAGAAATCACTATCTATGACAGCTATAGCCTTATGAAATTTGTTTCCTAAATAATAAGACTTGAAGGTCGAAATGACTCCTTGATCCATGGGCTGCAGAATGGATGTTGTGTTAGCAGCACGAGAACAACATTGATCTCCTTGTGCATCTCCATCAGAGCTCTTGGGTGACTAGGTACATTGTCGATGAGCAGAAATATTTTGAAATAAATCTTTTTTTTTTTTTGAGTAGTAGGTCTTAACAGTGGGTTTAAAATATTCAGGAAACTATGCTATAAATAGATTGCTATCATCCAGGCTTTGTTATTCCATTTGTAGAGCACAGGCAGAATAGATTTAGCATAACTCTTAAGAGACCTAGGATTTTCAGGATGTTAAATGAGTATTGGCTTCCATTGAAAGTCACCAGCTGCATTACCCGCTAACAAGGGAGTTAGCCTGTCCTTTGAAGCTTTGAAACCAGGCATTGATTTCTTCTCTCTGGCTATGAAACTCTTAGATGGCATCCGCTTCCAATATGAGGCTCTTTCATCTACACTGAAATTCTGTTGTTTAATGTGGCCACCCTCATGCATGATGTTAGCTAGTTCTTGTGGATAACTTGCTTCTCCATCAGCACTTGCTGTTTCACTTTGTACTGCTATGTCATGGAGATGGCTTTTTTCCTGAAACCTCATGAACCAACCTCTGCTAGCTTCCACGTTTTTTCAGCTTCCTCACCCACCTTGGCCTTCATAGAATTGAAGAGTTAGGGCCTTGCTCTGAACTAGGCTTTGGCTTAAGGGAACGTTGGCCGGGGGCTGGTTTGATCTTCTATCCAGATCACTGAAGCTTTCTCCATATCAGCAATAAGGTTGTTTTGCTTCATGTGTTCACTGGAGTAGCACTTTAAATTTTCTTTAAGAGCTTTTCCTTTGCATTCATAACTTTGTGAACTGTTCGGTGCAGGATGCCTCGCTTTTGGCTTATCTGGGTTTTCACGTGTCTTCCTCACTGAGCTTAAAATTTCTAGCTTTTGATTTAAAATGAGAGATGTGTGACTCTTTCTTCTACTTGAACACTTAAGAGGCCATTGTAGAGTTATTCATTGTTCTGATTTCGATATTGTTGTGTCCTAGAGAATAGGGAGGCCCAAGAAGAGGGAGGGAGACAGGGGAACAGCTAGTTGGTGGAGCAGTCAAAACACATACATTTATTGGTTAAGTTTGCCATCTTATATGGGCGCAGTTTGTGGTACTCCAAAACAATTACAATAGTAACATCAAAGATCTCTGTTCACAGATCACCACAGCAGGTATAATAATAATGAAAAAGTTTGAAATATTATGAGAATTACCAAAACAGGACCCAGCCATTAAGTGAACACTTACTATTGGAAAAATGGTGCAGATAGACTTCCTTGATGCAGGGTTGCTGCAATCTTCAATTTGTAAAAAAAACCCACAAGATTTGCAAAATGCAATAAAGCCAGGTATACCTGTACAGTTTTAGTCTTGTTATTTGCATCTGTGATCCATTCTGAGTTAAATTTTGTATGTGCTTCAAGATATGGATTCAAGATGGCTTTTTTGTTGGCATGAGATATCCAATTGTTCCATCACTAATTGTTGAATCAATTATCCTTTCTCTATTGAATTATCTTTGCATCTTTGTCAAAAATTAATCGACAAAAATCAATATATGAACAAATTTTTGGACTCTCTATTCTGTTCTATTCATCTCTATATCTGTCCTTATGCCAGTAACACACTGTCTTGATTATTGTAGCTTTATAGTGAGCCTTGAAATCAGGTAGTGTGACTCCTCCAACTTCATTCTTCTTTATCAAAATTGTTTTGTCAATTCAAGATCCTTTGTTTTTACATATAAATTTTACAGTCAGCTTGTCATTTTCTAAAAAATATCCTGTAGTGATTTTAACTGGAATTGGATCTATATTCATGAGGGGTGTTGGTCTGTAGTTACCTTGTAATGTCTGTGGCTAGTTTTGGTATACAGTAATATTAGCCTCCTAAAATGAATTTGGAAGCATTTTCCCTTCTATTTTCTAAAGGAATACATTTAGGATTGTTATCATTACTTATTTTGTCTTCCATTTTTTTCTAAGAGTTTCTGTAGAATTGATATTATAACTTTTTTAAATGTTTGGAAGAATTAATCAGTGAGGCCATCTGGGCCTAGTGTTTCTTTGTGGGAAGATTTTTAAATTACAAATTCAATTCCTTTAATCAATGAAGGACTATTCCTATTTTCTATTTTTTCTTGAGTAAGCATTGGTAGTTTGTGTATTTCAAGGAATTTTTTTTCATTTCACCTAAGTTATGTAATTTATTGCCATAAATTGTTAATATTATTCTCCTATTTTTTAATATCTGCAGGTTCTGTAGTGATAGCCCCTCTTTTATTGCTGATAACTGG
This sequence comes from Homo sapiens, assembly GCF_000001405.40. Lineage (NCBI taxonomy): Eukaryota > Metazoa > Chordata > Mammalia > Primates > Hominidae > Homo > Homo sapiens. The sequence continues at coordinate 57,554,234 of NC_000016.10, forward strand.
TCATTGTACTTTGTCCTTTTTTCCCCTTTATCATTCTGCCTAGAGACTTATCAATATTATTGAGGTTTTCAAATAACCAGCTTTTGGTTTCATTAATTTTTCTCTACTCCATTTTCTATTTTATTGATTTATAATTTTATCTTTTTTTTTTTTCTTTTTTCGAGACGGAGTCTTGCTCTGTTGCCCAGGTTGGAGTGCAGTGGCGCAATCTCAGCTCACTGCAAGCTCTGCCTCCCAGGTTCACGCCATTCTCCTGCTTCAGCCTCCCGAATAGCTGGGACTACAGGCACCTGCCACCATGCCCGGCTAACTTTTTGTATTTTTAGTAGAGATGGGGTTTCACCGTGTTAGCCAGGATGGTCTCAATCTCCTGACTTTGTGATCCGCCCACCTTGGCCTCCCAAAGTGCTGGGATTACAGGTGTGAGCCACCACGCTCGGCCATAATTTTATCTTTATTATTTTTCCTTCTGCTTATTTTATGCTTAGTTTGCTCTTCTTTTTATATTTATTAAGGTGGAAGCATAGATCACTGACTTGAAATCCTTCATCTTTCCTAATGTAAGCGTTTAATGCTATAAATTTTTCTCTAAGCACTGCTTTAGCTGCATCCCATAAATATTATGTTGTGTTTTCATTTTTATTCAGTTGAATATATTTTATAATTTCCCTTGTGATTTTGTCTCTGACTCATGGGTTACTTAATAGTGTATTATTTAATTTCCAAATATTTGGAGGATTTTTTGAGGCCTCTTTATGTTTTTTAATTCTAGTTTAAGTTCCTGGTGGTTACAGAACTTACTTTGTGTGCTTTTAATCCTTTTATATTTATTGAGATTTATTTTATGGCCCAGAATATGGTCTATTTTTGTGAATGTTTCCTGTTGTAATTGAAAAGAATATGTATTTTGCGTAATTAGGAGAGTGTTCTATAAATATAAAGAAGATAGTTAATAGTGTTGTTCATGTCTTCTGATATGGTTTGGCTGCATCCCCACCAAAATCTCATCTTGAATTGTAGTTCCCATAATCTCCATGTGTCATGGGAGGGACTGATGGGAAGTGATTGGATCATGGGGGCAGTTTCCCCCATACTGCTCTCGTGATAGTGAGTGAGTTCTCATGAGATCTGATGGTTTTATAAGCATCTGGTTTTTCCCCTGCTAGCCATTCTCTCTCCTGCCACCCTTTGAAGAGGTGCCTTCCTCCATGATTATATACCCAGTCTTGGGTATTTCTTCATAGCAGCATGAGAATGGACTGATATATCTTCTATATCAATTTTTGTCTACTTCTAGCAATTACTCAGAGACAAATATTGCATTTTGCAACTATAAGTGTTGGTTTGTCAATTTCTCCTTTTAGTGTTATCAATTTTTGCTTTATTTTTCAAAACTCTGTTATTAGGTGCACACACATTAAAGATTGTTACATTTTCTTGACGAATTAGTCTTTAGCATTATATAATCTTTATCCCTGGTAAAATTCCTTATCCTGAAGTTTACTTTTTCAGATATTAATATAGCTATTCCCTCTTACTTATTGATATGGTTTGGCTCTGGGTCCCCATGCAAATCTCATGTTGAACTGTAATTTTTCAATGTTGGAGAGGGACCTGGTGGAAGGTGTTTGGATCATGGGGACAGATTTCCCCCTTGCTGTTCTCCTGATAGTGAGTGAGTTCTCAGAAGATCTGATGGTTTAAAAGTGTGTAGCACTTCCCCCTTCTCTCTCTCTCTCCCCTGCTGCCATGTGAAGACATGCTTGCTTCCCCTTCGCCTCCCGCCATGATTGTAAGTTTCCTAAGGTCTCCCCAGCCATGCCTGTGGAACTGTGACTCAAACCTCTTTTCTTTATAAATTACTCAGTCTTTGATGGCTCTTTATAGCAGTGTGAAACTATACTAATACACTTATGATTGGTATATCTTTTTTCCATCATTTTACATGTAATTTATTGGTGTCTTTATATTTGGTACGTGTTTCTTGAAGACAGTATGTAGTTAGGTTTTGCTTTTATAATCCAGTCAGACAATTTTTGCCTTTTAATTGGAGCATTTGGACTATGCTTAATGTAATTATTTATATGATTGGGTTTATATCTACCATCTTGCTATTTGTTTTCTCTGTATTCCATCTGTTCTTTGTTTCTTTTTCTTCTTGTCCTGTCTTATTTTGGATTGAGCAGTTTTCATAATATTATTTTATCTCTAGTATTGCCTTACTAGCTGTATCTTATAATTTTCTCTTTTTTGTGATGGCATTGTAGGATTTAAATACACATATTTAACTTTCCACAATTTACCTTCGAATAACATTACAATACTTAAAATGTAGTTTAAGAACCTCACAACCAAATACTTCCATTTCCTCTCTCCTGCCTGTCGTGCTATTTTTGTGGTACACTTCTACTTCTACAGACACTGTGATCCCCACAATGCATTGTTACTGTTTTTACATTAAACAGATATTAAAACCAAGGTAATTTATTTTATATTTGACACATTTTTGCCAGTTTCAATACTCTTCATTTCTTGGTTTAAGTCCAAATTTCCAACTGGCATAATTTTTCTTCTGCCCTAAGAATTTTCTTCAATATTTATTTTAGTGCCAATCTGCTGGCAATGAATTCTCAAACTCCTTGCTCATCTGAAGAAGTTCTTATTTTGCCTTCTTCTTTTTTTTTTTTTTTTTTTGAGACAGGGTCTTGCTCTGTCACCCAGGCTGGAGTGCAATGGCATGATCATGGCTCACTGCAATCTTGACCTCCTGGACTCAAGTGATCCTCCAGCGTTAGCCTCCTGAATAGCTGGGACTACAGGTGCATGCCACCATGCCTGACTAAGTTTTGTATATTTTCTAGAGACGGGTTTTTGCCATGTTGGCCAGGCTGGTTTCGAACCCCTGGGCTCAAGCGATCTACCCACCTCAGCCTCCCAAAGTGCAGGGATTACAGGTGTGAGCCACTGCACCCGACCTTGTCTTCGTTTTTGAAAGATATTTTCACTGGGCATGGAGTTTTAGAATGACAGATTTTTATTGAAAGATATGGCTGCATTATCATCTGGTTTTGATAGTTTCTGATAAGAAGTCTCTTGTAGTTCGTATCTTTTATCTTCTGTGTACAATGGCTCTTTTCTCTGGCTGACTTCAAGATTTTATCTTCGGTTCTGCAGCAGTTTGACTAGGATGTATCTAGATGTGTTTTTCTTTGCATTTATTCCATTGGGTTTTGCAGAGCTTCTTGGATCTGTGGTTTGTTGTCTTTTATTAATTTTGGAAAAAAATTGGCCATTTTTTAATTTTCAATTTTCTTTTCTTTCTGTTTCTATTTATTCTTCTCTGTTCTCTCTCCTTTAGCTAGGATTCCAGTTACATATATACAGACCATTTGCACAGTTCTTGGGTAATCTGTTAATTTTTATTTTCACTCTTCTTACTCTTTATATTTCAATTTGGATAATTTATATTACACTATCATCAAGTTCAAGGATTGTTTACTTTGCTGTGTCCAGTTTGCTAATAAACCCATTAAAGGAATTCTTCATCACTGATATCGAGTTTTTTATTTCTAACATTTCTACTTGACTAGCCTTAATAGTTTCCATTGTTCTGCTGAAATTTCCCGTCTGTTCTTAGAGGTTTACCTTTTCCACTACACCCTTTAACATATTTATCAGAGCTATCTTGTCTCTATATGATAGTTCCAACATTTTGGCCATCTCTAAGATCTGGTTCTGTATGTCTTAAAATCTTTGACTAACTACCAGGCGTTGTGTGTAATGGAACAGTAGTAAAGTAAATGATATTTATGCCTAGAAATTGGAATATTTCTTATGTCGTGGCTGTAGTATAGGCCTCAAGTCAATATAATCTGTAGTTGATTTAGGTTTAAGTTTTATTTATTTATCTGTTTATTTAGAGATGGAGTCTCACTATGTTGCCCAGGCCAATCTTGAACTCTTGGGCTCAAATGATCCTCCTGCCTTGGCCTCCCAAAGTGCTGGGATTACAGGCATGAGCCACAGTGCCCAGCTGGATTTAGGTTTTGTTGTTGCTATAGTTACCTTCTGTATACTACAGGCTCCAAATTTCTCCAGTGGTGGACCGTCCCTACATTGTGTTCAGCATGAGGACTTGAGTCCCACAGGAATTTTCCCAGTGTCCCCACTCCGCGCTCAGCATTGCATGCATGCAACACAGAGGAAATCTCTCTTCGTGTTCTAGTCCCTTCTCCAGCAGTAGACTGCTATTACTTGTTGCTTGGTGCAAGGCTTGTGGTGGAGGCAGTGAATTCTTGATTCTCCTGCTCTAGCTTCAGCCTTAGACAGTCTTGAGCCCCAGGAGTAGGGCTTTCTAAGTGTTCCTGTTTCTCCTCCAGTTTTTGACAACCTCTGCTTCTTATTCAGTGCAGGTACTAGAGTGCAGGCAGACTTCTTCCCCTTCATCCCCATGGGAACCAATCTCTGCCTTATTGGTTGGGGGATCTTGAGTGGAAGTGAGATTCCTGTTCGTTTCCCAGTAGTAGCAGCAGCCCTCTGTTTTATATCAGTGCAAAATCCTGGACACTAATGGGTTGCCTCTTCCTTGCCAGTGTCCAGTGGCTTTTTTTTTTTTTTTGGTTTTCTTTTGAGACAGGGTCTCACTCTGTTGCCCAGGATGGAGTACAGTGGTGCTATCACGGCTCACTGCAGCCTCCAACTTCCCAGGCTCAGGTGATCCTCACACCTCAGCCTCCTGAGTAGCTGGGACTACAGGTGTACACCACCACATCTGCCTAATTTTTTTTTTTTTTTTTTTAAGAGACAGAGTTTTGCCATGTTGCCCAGGCTGGTCTCGAACCCCTAGGCTCAAGCAATTTGCCTACCTCGGCCACCCAAAGTGTTGGGATTACAGGCATGAGCCAAGGCGCCCAGCACTGATGTCTTTTGCTTAGTGTCACTGCAACATTGTGGTGGGAGGGTCTTCTACTCCTGCAGCAGCAGCAGTCAACATTTGCTTTATAGCAGGTCAGGGACCTGTGGGATGGGCATCTTAAATCAAAGCAAAGCCAGGGTGCAGGTGTTTATCTCTCGGCAGCAGCCAATTACCACCTTGCACTCATGCAGGGCCCAGAGTGCAGATGGGCTTCTCCAGGTAATCCTGCTCCACCCTCAACCCTTGGCATGTCCTGCATGGCTATGTTACCATGGGGCCTCTCTCAGGCCCTGTCCCACTCCACATCATTCTCATGAGCATCCAGTGGAGGACTGTAGGAAGAAACTGAGGGTACAGGTTACCCTTGTGTCTGGGGCTCCCAGTAAACTGCCACTCTAGCTAATGCTCAGCCATTAAGATTTCATTAAGATACTAGTCATTTTCTCCTTATCTACTTTTGCGGCAACTACCTATTCCTCTGTGCTCTGTCAAACATGAAACAGATCATGTGTTTCATCCATCAAAGATAATGTGTTCTAGTTACCTCCAGAAACCAGTTTGCTTGGTGGCCTGTGACCCCAGCTCTCCAGTAGGCTAAAAAAAAAAAAGATTTTGTATATTATTTGGCTTTCCCATTGTTATGATGGGAACAATACTCCCATCTGACTCTCTACTTTCTAGGTGGAAATCGAAATCATCTTAATATGGTTTTTACACAATTAAAAAAACTCCTGTTCAATGTTTCTATTATGACTATATGCATTACATTCCATATTAAATCATGTAGCGGCATTTCGTTTTCTTGTACAACTTGGTTTTCTTGAAATTAATTGCTTCTTTTTATTTTTGCATTTATAAACTTCGGTAAGACATCTCAAAAAACAATTTTTCTAGATGTTCAAACCTATTCGATAGTCTATCTACTCTCCTTTTCCTCTTCCTTATTTTTTTCTTGAAGACCTCCCTCCCAGGGCATTCTTTTCTCCTGCTCCCTCCGGATGGGAAATGCCCTAGTCCTGCTGTTCAGCATCAACCCGGGCCTTCCCTTCACACATTTTCTGGGGAGTAGCTTTACCTCTCCCATGGTAGGATACAGGGTTTCCTGTACCCTGTGTCTTCCTTCATGATATACTTTCTCATTTTGTTGGAGCACATCCTCCAGCAGCTTCTCAAGAAAGGATGTGTGTTTTGAAATTCTCAGTAATCCTTGGTTGACCATTCAAGAGAGGAGCACTAAAAACCTAATTGCTTGGCAGAGCTTGGTGACTGGTGAAATTTCACTGTAAGTTAGGTCTTGGCCATAACATTGAGGAACACAAAAATGGAAGTAGCTATAGGATACTATTCTTGGAATGGTTAGCTCCTCAGAGACTTTTCTCCTGCCTTGGGGCATAACCCTGGTTGCTGCAGTCTTCTGGAATCTGAGTGGGGGAGGATGTGGGGAGGGGATATTGCTTAATTCCCCCTTCTGTTCTGATTATGGTGCATCCTCTCTCCAGAGAGTAAACTTTGTGTGGAGCAGGATTGGGGATGGTAGGATGGTGAGGAAACTCCTGAATACTGGAGGTGGCAGGGGAGATCTGGGGACTGAGTTGGGCATTTTAAAGACTCACAACCAACAAACTCTGTTTTTATTTTTATTTTTTATTTTTTTGAGACAAGGTCTCATTCTGTTGCCCAGGCTGGAGTGCAGTGGTATGATTTTGACTCACTGCAGCCTCCATCTCCTGGGCAGGATCCACCTCACCCACCTGAGTAGCTGGAGACACAAGTGCAGGCCACCATACCCAGCTAATTTTTGTTTTCTTTTTGTAGAATCAGGGTTTTGCCATGTTGCCCAGGCTGGTCTGGAACTCCTGGTCTCAAGCGATCCTCCTGCCTTGGCCTCCCAAAGAGTTGGGATCACAGGCATGAGCCGCCATGCCTGGCCAACAATCGCTGTTTTTAGCCTCTTCCTTCATCCCCTCTTCAGAGGTTACTGATGCCCCCAGTTCTCAAGTGCTTCCAAGGTTGTGAGGCTTCTCCTTGTCTCCTGCCAACACCACACCTCTCCCCACTGCAGGCACTTGGGTTCAACTTTTTTTGGTCTGCTAAACGTCTTACCAGGTGCCACCTACTTGTAGCCTCCAAAATTTAGCTGACATCTCCCATCTCTGCAGTTGTTTTCTTTCCCATTGTTCTGTCTTTGTGCCTGTTTTCTAAGGAGTAGCTTTACCTCTCCCATGGTAGGGTACAGGGTTTCCTGTACCCTGTGTCTTCTTTCATGATTTACTCTCTCATTTTGTTGGAGCACATCCTCCAGCAGCTTCCTGAGAGGCTTTGTGCCTCCTTTCTTCCCCATTGTACTGTTTTTCATGCCTCTTTTCTTTCCCATTGTTCTGTGGCTTTGTGCCTATTTTATTCATTCCCTCTCATTTTAGTGGGGCTTTAAGGGGCAGACATAAATTTGCTCTATTGAAGCAGAAGTTTATTAGTTCATTTTAAAATGGAGGAAAATGAGGGCAGAGGAGAGACAGATCCTACCCAAAGCCGCACGATGAGTTAATGGCAGGGCTGGATGGGGTTTACCTGTTGCTTTCTCCCAAACACCGTCCCCCTGGGTAGAGACTGGGATCCTGGGGAAGCCCCCAGAAAGACTGCTTTTTGGGAAGGGGAGTGTATCAGGCGGAGCTGCTAATGGCAGCCATTACTTGGTGGTCAAGGATTCTGGAGTCTTAGAGACCTGGCTTTAGGCAGGTTTAAGTAAAGCAAGACCCTTTGCCCTTCATCCTCAGCTTCCTCATCTGTGAAATGCAGGAGTGGTGAGTCAAATAAGATGCTGCATGTCCTACTCTTGGGACATGCCAGACACCTAGAAGTTAGAGGTTGCTCTTTTATCATCATGGTGATGGCATGCACCTTTTTCAGGGCCGGAGCCAGTTCTTGGAGGAGACTCTGCACAGGGCATGGATCACTGTGGTGCCCTTTTCCTGTGCCTGTGCCTTCTGACTTTGCAGAATGCAACAACAGGTAAGGGGGCTCTGCTGAACTGGGGGCAGCCCTAGCCCAGTCGTGGGACTGTGATGCAAAAGGGGGAGGCGTCAAACCATGGGAGATTGAAAAGGGCCACTTAGGCTTCCTGGGGGCAGCAGGAGCTGCTTGTGAACTAGACTCTCAGGGTGGGATGGAAAGCCCAGAGGTTGTGGGGCCAGAGGGCAGTTGAGACACAAACTGAGGGGGAGGTGTGTCCCCACAGAGACATGGGAAGAACTCCTGAGCTACATGGAGAATATGCAGGTGTCCAGGGGCCGGAGCTCAGTTTTTTCCTCTCGGTGAGTTGGATGTGCCTCCCACCCCAAGCCTGCACCTTGAATCAGTGGGTCAGGGTTAGTCTAATGTAGACTCTTAACTGTGCATTTCTTCAGCACTTTTATTGAGCACCTACTGCATGCCTGACACTAGGCTCTGGGGATGCAGGATGGGCATGTCACTGCCCTCATGAAGTTTATCATCGAGGAATGGGGGCCCTTAATCATAGATGTCATGACACTAAGTGCAGAATTATGGGTCTCCATGCATTTTCCTGGGAAGGGGGTCTAAGATTCTGGCTGGGCTCTCCAGGGTCTATGACCCAAAGACTGAGCAGCTCTAGGTGAGCGGCCAATGCTGAAGACTGGTCAGGGCTAAGAGTGGCTACTGGGAAGCTGTGAGGGAGCAGTCAGGGAAGGCTTCCTGGAGGAGGTGACAATAAACTGGGACCTGAACAGGAGTTAATCAAGAGGAGGGGATAGATGGGGTAGGGAGGTAACAGTGTGCCAAGGACACTGTGTGTGCAGTGGTCTGGAGGTGCGTGTGACAGAGGTGTGGGTGGGGAGGCCCTGCCCTCCCAGGCTGTCTACAGCCCCCTCTCACCCTTACCCCACTCCGGGCTCTGGCCTCCCTGGCCATCTCTCTGGGCTGCAGTCAACTCCACCAGCTGGAGCAGATGCTACTGAACACCAGCTTCCCAGGCTACAACCTGACCTTGCAGACACCCACCATCCAGTCTCTGGCCTTCAAGCTGAGCTGTGACTTCTCTGGCCTCTCGCTGACCAGTGCCACTCTGAAGCGGGTGCCCCAGGTCAGAGGCTGCGGGTTGGGGGGTGTGGCCAGCTGCCCCGCCCTAGAAGTCCTCCAGGCATTTAAGGTCTGGACTTTCTTTAGGCTCCACTGTCTTCCTCCCCACACCCCACAGTCCAGGCTCTGCCCTAACTGGCAGTGAGTTGCCTCCTCTGTAAAATGGGGCTCATACTCGCTGTGTGAACTGTGGAAAGGGAGGTGCTTTATTGCCCCTGCAGGGCAGAATCTTCTTCCTGCTTTGGCTGGAGGCTGCCCGCTGCGGGAGGCGCTGTGGGAGAGGCCAGAAACCCTGGCTCCTTTTAGGACCCTGGGGTGATCAGCTGGATCCCTGGCAGGGGCTGGGGCTGGTGCTGGGGCTGGGTGCTGAGGTAGCTCCATCTTCAGGGGTTCAGTGGGTCAGGTAAACATCCAAAACTCAGGAACAGCATGGAGGGAAGGCCTGGGATCTTGGGAAGTTTGGGAGGAGATGCAGCCTGGGGGGAGAAGGTTCTGTGGGTGGAAACCCCAAGGAAGGTTTCACGGGGAGTGGGAGGCAGTGAAGGTGTTGGGGTCAGGTCTCCAGGTCCTGGTTGCCAAACAGCCTGTTTGCGACCCTCTGCAGGCAGGAGGTCAGCATGCCCGGGGTCAGCACGCCATGCAGTTCCCCGCCGAGCTGACCCGGGACGCCTGCAAGACCCGCCCCAGGGAGCTGCGGCTCATCTGTATCTACTTCTCCAACACCCACTTTTTCAAGGTCAGTGTGATGGCGGGCCAAGGAGGGTGGGTGCCGGCCCCTTCTTGGGATCCACTGCAGGTGCCCATGTCACTGCCTGGCCTCTGGGTGACCAGCACTGAGTGAGACCAACCAGCCATCTGTGCAATCCAAGCCAGCAATTGTCCCTCTCTGGGCCTCAGTTTCCCTGCCAACTTTAGCAGAATGGTAGGAAGGTATAATTACAATCTGCAAATAAGACCTAAGAAACCTACGATGTGCCTGTCGGTAGGCGGGAGACAGACAAGAAGGCACTTATTATTCCCTGCCCTCAGATAACTCTCTGTCTTGATGCCTAGACTAAGACCTTACAGATTTTTTTTTTTTTTTTTGGCAGAGTCTCGCTCTGTTGCCCAGGCTGGAGTGCAGTGGCATGATCTCGGCTCACTGCAACCTCTGCCTCCTGGGTTCAAGCAATTCCCCTGCCTCAGCCTCCTGGGATTACAGGCGTGTGCCATCATGCCCAGCTAATTTTCGTATTTTTAGTAGAGACCGGGTTTAACCACGTTGGCCAGGCTGATCTTGAACTCCTGGCCTCAAGTGATCCGCCTGCCTTGGCCTCCCAAAATGCTAGGATTATAGGCGTGAGCCACTGAGCCTGGCCTGATCTTAGAGATTTAATGTCAGCAGAAGGTTGATTATAGCCATAGAGATCCAGAGTGATGGATGAGTCAGGGTGGGGTTGGGGCTCTTCCCAGTGGGCAGTCCAGGGGAGTTTCTGGGGAAGGTGCCTTTCAACCTTGGCTTTGAAAGTGAGTGAGGATAGTGGTGAGGTGGAGGGCGTGAGGCTGGAATGCATTAAACGAATGGGAGGTGGAGCAGGGGGTGGTGAGAGGACAGCTTTCCACAGGGCAGAAACAGCACATGCAAAGGCTGGGAGGCTGGGAAGGCTGGGAGGCTGGGAGGCTGAGAAAGCTTTCACGCTGCACACGTGAAAGTCTTGCTGCTTGTTCTCATCCAGGGAAGCGGAGCTCAGACCTTACCCAGGGCCTCCCCATTTCCCCTCCACTCAGCCCTTCTCCTGCTGCCCTTCCAGGATGAAAACAACTCATCTCTGCTGAATAACTACGTCCTGGGGGCCCAGCTGAGTCATGGGCACGTGAACAACCTCAGGGATCCTGTGAACATCAGCTTCTGGCACAACCAAAGCCTGGTACTGCTGGGGGCGCCCCCGTTTCCACTGCACCCCTGCCCCTCTGTGACTCTCCTGTTGAACACTGGTTTGACTAGACCCAAACCTGTGGAACCATCTTGGAAATCCATCACACTTTGAAAATTCCTGCTCAAGAAATAAGAGAGAGAGAAGTTTTTACTCATGCATTTGTCAGAATTCTTTCAGTTGCAAGTAAGAAAAGACCACTTCAAGCCAGCTTGAGCACAGAGGGAACTGATTGGCACACATCCATGAAATGTCTAGAGGTGATCCACCAGCTTCAGACATAGCTGGATCCAGGGATGGATCTGATGCCCTTGTGGCTCAGTCTCTCTCCGTCTCAGCAATGGTCTCCTGTCTTGGCTGTCCATTCTGTGGCATGATGGATGCTGGAGAGCCAGACTTCCTTTCCCTCTTCCCATCAGGCTCTTCCCCCGACTCCCCACCCACAACCTGCCCCAGTGCAGATCAGGGTCTCAGGATCTTAAAGGTTCAGCTGGGTCACACATGTCCATCCCTGCACCTGTCACTGTGCCCAGGGGGATGGAATGTGTGGATTGGCCAGGCCTGGGTCACACGGCCCAGGGACTGGGGTGAAGGAGTGAGCTCCTAGGGTAAGTGCAGATGCTGATCCTGGAACAGAGACAGGGCTGCTTGTTGGGGGTGGGGGCAGAGTGGGGTGGTTCACAAGCCTCAGTGCCTCCATTTCTGGTTCCTGGCATTCCTGAAAAGCCCGGAGCCTCTGCTTTCTGGCTTCATCTTCCCTTCAGCTTCACCAGGACTGCCCTGCACTCTAAATTTCACCATCATCCTTTCCTTTCAGCTCTGGGCTTTTGCCACTATGGTTCCCTCCACCTGGAATGCCCTTGCCCTACTCGTGTTGAAATCCAACACGTCCTCTAAGGGTTCAGGGCCCCCACCTCCCCTTCTCCCTTTGGGTCAGCTCTGCCTACCCTCCATGGTCTTCCGTGACTACCTGTGTCATTTCCTCCACTTCTCCACCCACGTGGCTTGGCATTAGGGTTGTCTGTGGATGAGTCTCCCCCAACCAGGCGTGGGTCTGAGCACATTGCTGTTCCCCATGGGGAGGAAGGGAAGGGATCAGCTGGTTATGGAGCGCCTACTGTATAAAAGGCCAGAGCTGGACACTCAAGATTCCGTGTTGCCCTTTGTTTTTCCACCATTGTTGTAACATGGGTACGAATGATCCTATTCTGTAGATGACTAAACTGAGGCTCAGAGCAACTTGGTGTCTTGCCTGGGTCACTCTGAGAGCCCACAGTGGAGGTGGGACAGGAATCTGAGACTGTCTGAAGCCAAAGGCCAGCCAGTGCCTGGTAAAATGTTGGCAAATGTGCAGTTGAGTCACCGTTGGCCCCCAGGACTCCCAGACACTGATCTGCAGCCTTTCCTCTGCACCCTATGACTGACCCAGCATCTCCACCCAGGAAGGCTACACCCTGACCTGTGTCTTCTGGAAGGAGGGAGCCAGGAAACAGCCCTGGGGGGGCTGGAGCCCTGAGGGCTGTCGTACAGAGCAGCCCTCCCACTCTCAGGTGCTCTGCCGCTGCAACCACCTCACCTACTTTGCTGTTCTCATGGTATGTATGCATCCTGAGTGGGGCTCAGAGCTACAGAGGGCCCTGTGTCTGTGGCAGAGGAGCAAGGCAAAAGCTGGTGCAAGGGACAGAAAGTCCAACTGAAATGGGCTTAAGCAAAAAACAAAAAAAACTTTATGGACTCATGTTTCTGGAAAGGCTGGGTTAGGCTTCAGGCATGGCTTGATCCACGGGCTGATCACTAAGATCACTAAGATAGCACTCTATCTTTGTCCCTCAACTGTGCTTGCTCTGTGCTGGCTTAGCCCTCAAATAGGATCTCCTTATGAGATAATAATATAGCTGGCAGCAGTTCCAGGCTCATGCCCTGCTAGCTTTCAGGCCAGTGGAATAAAATCTTCTTTTACCCAGTTCTGCCAGCCATGTGCTCATCCCTGACCCAATCGCTATAGGCAGAAGGAGGGAGGGCCCTGCTTGACCAGGCCTGGCACCCCTTTCTGCACAAAGAGGGCAAAGTGGTGGAACCCCACAGGTGCATAGGGAGTGGGAGAAGGGAGGCACTCATAGAAGAAGAGGGAGATGGGAGATGTGGAGGGGGCAAAACTGACTGTATCTGCCATGGCCTTGTTCAAGCCAGGTCCATGGCTAGGCTTGTGGGGAAGGGGACTTGGAGAGGAGGCCTCAGGAGGTCCCTCTGACTGAGGCTGGGAGGAAGGGCGATACTATGCTTCTGGCCTCCAGCCCCTCTTCCCTCCTGCAGCAACTCTCCCCAGCCCTGGTCCCTGCAGAGTTGCTGGCACCTCTTACGTACATCTCCCTCGTGGGCTGCAGCATCTCCATCGTGGCCTCGCTGATCACAGTCCTGCTGCACTTCCATTTCAGGTATTCCGCTGCCACAGTGCTGGGCCTGCCCTGCACTGTGGCACATCACGCTTCCTTGTGTCCCATTTAGTCCACTAGAACTGGGTGTGCTTCTCCAGAGGGTGGGGACCAGGAGGCGGGAGACCAGCCTTGTGGTGCGACTGCTGTGGGATCCCTGCCCCTTCTTCGCCTCAGTTTCCCTGTCGGCATGCACCTATGCACCCAGTGGGTAGTGCTGCCTGGGTGATGTCCCTGGGCCATGGAGGACCATTCTCTCACCTGCAGGAAGCAGAGTGACTCCTTAACACGCATCCACATGAACCTGCATGCCTCCGTGCTGCTCCTGAACATCGCCTTCCTGCTGAGCCCCGCATTCGCAATGTCTCCTGTGCCCGGGTCAGCATGCACGGCTCTGGCCGCTGCCCTGCACTACGCGCTGCTCAGCTGCCTCACCTGGATGGCCATCGAGGGCTTCAACCTCTACCTCCTCCTCGGGCGTGTCTACAACATCTACATCCGCAGATATGTGTTCAAGCTTGGTGTGCTAGGCTGGGGTAAGCACATCATCTCTCCTCGCCTCCTCAGACTTCCAGGTGGGCAGGGTATTGATCCCCTTTAGTCCTTTCTTTCCCCTCCTCCTCATCGTCATAGTGGCCATTACATGACCACCAGCTGTGAACTCTGTCTACACCCACCTCTACTTTCTATGTTACTAATTTTATCACCTCTTCCACCTCCATCATCATCATCGTCACCTCCTCCACCACCATTATCACCTCCTCCACCTTCATTATCACCATCACCTCCTCCACCTCCTCCACCACCATTATCACCTCCTCCACCTTCATTATCACCATCACCTCCTCCACCTCCATCACCACCATCATCATCTCATCCACCTCTGTTATCGCCATCACCTCCTCCACCTTCATCACCACCATCGTCACCTCCTCCACGTACATCACCACCTTCTTCACCACCATGATCACCTCCTCCACCTCCATCACCACCTCCTCCACCATCATCACCATCATCATCACCTCCTCCACCTCCACCACCTCTTCCACCTCCTTCACCACCACCATCATCTCCTTCACCTCCACCACCACCTCCTCCACCTCCATCACCTCCATCATCACCTCCTCAACCTCCATCATCACCTCTTCCACCTCCATCACCTCCATCACCACCACCTCCACCTCTGTCACCTCCATCACTACCTCCTCCACCTCCATCACCTCCATCACCACCTCCTCCACCTCCATCACCTCCATCACCACCTCCTCCACCATCATCACCTCCATCACCACCTCCTCCACCTCTATCACCTCCGTGATCACCTCCTCCACCTCCGTCATCACCATCATCACCTGCTCCATCTCCTCCACCTCTATCACCACCATCATCACCTCCTCCACCTTCATCATCACCATCACCTCCTCCACCTCCATCACCACCATCACCATCTCCTCCACCTCCGTTATCGCCATCACCTCCTCCACCTTCATCACCACCATCATCACCTCCTCCACGTACATCACCACCTTCTTCACCACCATGATCACCTCCTCCACCTCCATCACCACCTCCTCCACCTTCATCACCATCGTCATCACCTCCTCCACCTCCACCACCTCCTCCACTTCCTTCACCACCACCATCATCTCCTTCACCTCCACCACCACCTCCTCCACCTCCATCACCTCCATCATCACCTCCTCCACCTCCATCATCATCACCTCCACCTCCATCATCTCCATCACCACCACCTCCACCTCCATCACCTCCATCACCACCTCCTCCACCTCCATCAACTCCATCACCACCTCCTCCACCTCTATCACCTCCATGATCACCTCCTCCACTTCCGTCATCACTATCATCACCTGCTCCATCTCCTCCACCTCTATCACCACCATCATCACCTCCTCCACCTCCATCATCACCATCACTTCCTCCATCTCCTCCACCTCTATCATCACCATTATCACCTCCTCTACCTCCATCATCACCATCGCCTCCTCCATCTCCTCCACCTCTATCATCGCCATCATCACCTCCTCCACCTTCATCATCACCATCATCACCTCCTCCATCTCCTCCACCTCTGTCACCACCATCATCACCTCCTCCACCTCTATCACCATCGTCATCACATCCTCCATCTCCTCCACCTCTGTCATCACCATCGTCACCTCCTCCACCTCCATCATCACCATCACCTC
This sequence comes from Homo sapiens, assembly GCF_000001405.40. NCBI lineage: Eukaryota > Metazoa > Chordata > Mammalia > Primates > Hominidae > Homo > Homo sapiens. Next base: position 57,569,796 of record NC_000016.10, read on the forward strand.
CTCCATCTCCTCCACCTCTATCATCATCATTACCTCCTCCACGTCTATCATCACCGTCACCTCCTCCATCTTCTCCACCTCTGTCATCACCATCATCTCCTCCACCTGCACTATCACCATCATCACCTCCATCTCCTCCACCTCCATCAGCACCATCATCACCTCCTCTACCTCCATTACCGCCTTCATTTTCTCTACCTCCTTCACCACCATCACCACCTACTCCACCTCCATCTCCACCATCATCACTTCCTCCACCTTCTCTATCTCCAGCAGCACCATCACTGGTACCTTCATCACCGTCCTTGCCCCTTTCTTGCTTATTTCTATTTCCTCAGCAGTTCCCCAGTCCTCCCTCCCATTTGCTCCCCACCACCACCTTCCCAGTGTGACCACTCCTCCCTCCACCACTGTTCCATCGTAGAGCCGTCACTAACATCATCTTGGAGGAGAGCTTCCTCCAAACCACCAGGCTCATTGCTCTGAAGTTGGGGGCTCACAACAGTCTCCTCTCAGTTGTCCCTTGACCAGTGAAATTCTGTGTCAGCAGCCCCAGGGACCGCCCCAGGGACCGAGGGTCAGCCCTCTCCCACATCTCCTGAGCCTTTGTCCCACCCCTCAGGGGCCCCAGCCCTCCTGGTGCTGCTTTCCCTCTCTGTCAAGAGCTCGGTATACGGACCCTGCACAATCCCCGTCTTCGACAGCTGGGAGAATGGCACAGGCTTCCAGAACATGTCCATGTGAGTGCCCTCAGGGCTGCAGTGGGCTCCCTGGCTCTGGCAGAAGGGCCACATGGGCCTGGGGCTCCAAATGGAATATCCTGTAGGCAAAGCACTGGCTGTGGGGCAGAGAGGGAGCTGGGGCTTAGACAGGGGAGTTTGCAGGGGGCTCCACCACATCCCTTCCATGGATCCAGGTCTCCTGCAGAGGCAGCCTTGTGTTCTATGCTGGTGAAGTCTACGAAGCCAGCGTCTGCTCGCCAACCTGCCAGGGCAGCCGGGCCTCCCGCCTCCTCTGTCCTGCCCTGCCCTCCAGTGCCCAGGCCCTGAGGGTCTGGCTCAGCCTGCACTTGACTCTGTTCCCCTGCAGACCACCTTGCTGCACCTACCCAGGCTCCAACTCCTCCCGACCTGCCCTGGGCACTGCCAGGCCTCTCAAGTCCTCCTAGTCGGACAAGAGTGCTGTGGGGGCTGGGCTTGGGGGAGACAAAGAGAGGCAGCGAGGTGGGCCTTTAGGGGCCGGGGGACACGCTGCTGCTTTTTTTTTAATAGCCCCTCCCTGCAGGCGAGGACGTTAAGCTTTTTATTATTATGCAACATTTCTAATAGCCAGACATAGACTAGCCTAAGGAACCCCCGCGCGCCCATCACTCACTTGCAGTTGGCTGTGGAACCTTTTTCCTTCTTGGCTGATGCAGGCTCAGGATGGGGGCTGATTCTGTGGCAGGCCTTGGGTATCAGCTGGCTTCGTTTTCACAAGGGCAAGGGCCGGGTCCTGTTGCCAGCCCTATTTTACAGTTAGGGCACCTGAGAAACAGGCAGCTTAAGAACTCTACCTGAGGAGCCCTAGCCAGTCAGTGGCAGAGCTGGGGCTTGGTCTCCGGCAGGCTGGTCCAGAGCCTGGCCCCCAGCCCCTGAAGCAGGGCCGGGGGACTGCGTGCTACATAGGTGGGGCTGATCCCTCTCACATTGAGGCTCGGGTGTATCAGAGGACATGTGACTTCAATTTACATGAATTGTTCTCTGCAATCTCCATGACAACCCATAAGGCAAGTACATAATCATCCCCAACCTACAGATGAGGAAATAGAGGCTCTGGCCTCAGTTTACATACTCTCTGAAGATGTATTTTCTTTTTTTTCTTTTTTTTTTTTTTTTGAGATGGAGTTTCGCTCTTGTTGCCCAGGCTGGAGTGCAATGGTGTGATCTCGGCTCACTGCAACCTCTGCCTCCTGGGTTCAAGCGATTCTCCTGTGAGTAGCTGGGATTACAGGCGCGTGCCACCACGCTCAGTTAATTTTTGTATTTTTAGTAGAGACAGAGTTTCAGCATGTTGGCCAGACTGGTCTCAACTTCTGACCTCAGGTGATCCGTCTGCCTTGACCTCCCAAAGTGCTGGGATTACAGGCGTGAACACTATGCCCAGCCTATTTTCTTATATAATAATATGATGAGGACAAAGGAGCTTTAGTGACACGTCCACAGGACCCACTAATGCACAGATGTTAGAGAACACCCACCTACGAGCCAGCTTCTCCCTGGGTCTTCCTCACTCTGCCCTCTCCTCTCAGGAAACAATTACCTTGGGGTTTGTGACTTTTTTTTTTTTTAATTTAAAACATCTCTTACTATGTATATACACATTCCTAAACCCAAACATCAGTTAAAAACCAAAAACAGGCCAGGCGTGGTGGCTCACGCCTGTAATCCCAGCACTTTGAGAGGCTGAGGTAGGCAGATCATGAGGTCAGGAGATCAAGACCATCCTGGCTAACACAGTGAAACCCCGTCTCTATTAAAAATACAAAAAATTAGCTGGGCGTGGTGGCAGGCACCTGTAGTCCCAGTTACTCGGGAGGCTGAGGCAGGAGAATGGCGTGAACCTGGGAGGTGGAGCTTGCAGTGAGCTGAGATCGCCACTGCACTCCAGCCTGGGCGACAGCGAGACTCTGACTCAAACAAACAAACAAATAAAAAACACATCCTGGCCAACATGGAGAAATCCCATCTTTACTAAAAATACAAAAATTAGCCAGACATGGTAGCGGGTGCCTGTAATCCCAGCTACTCAGGAGGCTGAGTCAGGAGAATCGCTTGAACCCGGGAGGTGGAGATTGCAGTGAGCCGAGATTGCGGCACTGCACTCCAGCCTGGAGACAGAGCGAGACTCCGTCTCAAAAAACAAAACAAAACAAATACAACCCTTGAAAATCATTCAGATGTCCACTGACGGGATGCTGGATGAATGGACTGCAGTAGAGCTGCCCCCGTGGGGATATTCCCTAGCGGTGAAAGTGAGTGGTCGCCTACCACACTCATCAACTTGGAGGAATCCCAAAATAATGTCCTGGGACCCTTGTGACTGTAGGGGCAGGAGCCACAAAGTGAACCTCAGCAGGGGATTGTGACAGTTAGGGGCTCAGGCTCTGGGCCTGGGGCTTCAGGATCCAGCTTTGCCTCTAACTGGACTGTGTTCCTGAGCTAGAGCCTGAGTTTCCTCATCTGCAGGATGAGGACGATTATGTACTTGCCTTATGGGTTGTCATGGGGATTGCAGGGGACAAGTCACATAAAGCACATCGTTACTGGTGGAGGGTGTCCAGGTTCTTGGCGTCTTGAACCAAGAATTGGACAAGCCTGGGCATGGTGGCTCGTGCCTGTAATCCCAGGACTTTGGAAGGCCGAGGCAGGTGGATCAACTGAGGTCAGGAGTTCGAGATCAACCTGGACAACACGGTGAAACCCTGTCTTTACTAAAAATACACAAAAATTAGCTGGGCGTGGTGTCAGGATTCTGTAGTTCCAGCTACTCAGGAGGCTGAGAGAGGAGAATTGCTTGAACCTGGGAGGCGGAGGTTGCAGTGAGCCAAGATCACATCACTGCACTCCAGCCTGGTGACAGAGACTCCCTCTCAAAAAAAAAAAAAAAAAAAGGAAAGAGTGAGGCATGAATTAAGCAAGAAAAGCAGAGATTGATTGAAAATGAAAGTACACGCTACAGTGTGGGAGTGGGCCAGAGCATAGGGCCTCAAGAGCCCTATTACAGAATTTGTGGAGATTTAAATATGCTCTAGAGGTTTCCATTGGTTACTTGATGTACACCCTCTGTAAATGAGGAGGATGAAGTAAAGTTACAAAGTCATTTGGCATATGCCCTATGTAAATGGAGAGGATATTTTCTGTCATAGCTGAAGTGTTTCCATTTGATTTATTTTTATTTATTTTGAGATGGAATCTCGCTCTGTCACCCAGGCTAGAGTGCAGTGGTGCGATCTCGGCTCACTGCAACCTCTGCCTCTCGGGTTCAAGTGATTCTCCTGCCTCAGCCTCCCGAGCAGCTGGGATTACAGGCACCTGCCACCACGCCCAGCTAATTTTTGTATTTTTAGTACAGACGGGGTTTCACCATGTTGGCCAGGATGGTCTCCAACTCCTGACCTCAAGTGATTCGCCCACCTCGGCCTCCCAAAGTGCTGAGATTACAGGCATGAGCCACCGCGCCTGGCCTCCATTTGATTTAGTTCTAGGAAGTCCTTACATTTCCCTGTCTCTAAACCCTTTTCTCCTGCCTCAGCATGACATTGTGTCCGACTAAAAGGTGGCATCTGTCTTGAAGGTGTCTTGGGGAGGCAAAGGGCAGAGGCCTCCGGGAGGGCGTGGGACCGGGGCTGGCTTCGGTTAGTTCTCCATGGCTCTCTGCTCAGCCCTCAGTGGGCTCTCCTGCGGCTCTGTGTGCTCTCAGGTTGACACTTGGAGGGTCCCTGTCCACCAAGCCACAGGTTGGCAGCCCGCCCACTCTCCAGCGCAGGCCTTGGTGGCCCCGTCTAGGTGGGGAGTGGCTCCTGGGGAGGGGCGTCCCACTGCAGAGATGGTGATGAGGTGGTGACAACCATGTAGTGGGGTGGAAGGGGAAGTTTCCAGGAAAGAGGGCTCCGGGCCAAGGATCCAATAGAAGATGGGGCATGCCGGCCTTGGGCTGGCCATGGAAGCAGAGAGGAGTGAGATGTGGAAAGGAGAGAGGAAGAATTTTCAGGGGGGTGAAGACATGGGGACGTGAGAGAAACCACTGTGGCTGGAAAGGTGGGCATGAGGGAGCTTCAGATTGTTGACCAAGGAGGCAGATGTGTCCTCTGATGGTGGCCTGGCTGGAAAGCCGGGTGAGGGGTTTCACTGTGTGTTCAGTCAGGCAAGAAACAATAGGGCCTGAGCCAGGAGACCGAGTGGGGCTTCAGGGAGTGATGCTGGCCTCCCCGCGGGCCTGGGAGCCACTGTGAGCCTGACACGTCACCCTCCCCTGCAGATGCTGGGTGCGGAGCCCCGTGGTGCACAGTGTCCTGGTCATGGGCTACGGCGGCCTCACGTCCCTCTTCAACCTGGTGGTGCTGGCCTGGGCGCTGTGGACCCTGCGCAGGCTGCGGGAGCGGGCGGATGCACCAAGTGTCAGGGCCTGCCATGACACTGTCACTGTGCTGGGCCTCACCGTGCTGCTGGGAACCACCTGGGCCTTGGCCTTCTTTTCTTTTGGCGTCTTCCTGCTGCCCCAGCTGTTCCTCTTCACCATCTTAAACTCGCTCTACGGTAGGGCTGGAGGGCGGCCTGGAGGAAGCTACCTGGCAGGGGGTGTATGGCTGGTGGGATGTTCACTGCTAAAGGGGTTCAGGTGAAGGGGGCGAGTGGGGGACTAACATCCAGCCCACAGCTCCACTAGCTAAGCTGGTGGGGGCTACATCTGCATGAAGGTACCCTATGGACTGGCCACAGCAGCTCTTCCAGCTCTGAGGCTCTGCCCCTCTGGCCTCCTACAGTAAGAGATTCTGGGAGTTGCCCATGGGCCCCAGGGAGGCCAGCTCGCTGCAGCCAAGGAGACCCTGGCCTTTGGGGAAGCCCATGCTGCCCCGTGGAACTCCCGCCTTTCTCTTGCAGGTTTCTTCCTTTTCCTGTGGTTCTGCTCCCAGCGGTGCCGCTCAGAAGCAGAGGCCAAGGCACAGATAGAGGCCTTCAGCTCCTCCCAAACAACACAGTAGTCCGGGCCTCCTGGCCTGGAATCCTCAGCCTCTCTGGCCGCCAGTAGCCTGAGGCTACGGCTCCTGCTAGAGAGGGTGGCAGGCCTGCTGCTGGACCCCAGAGGCCACTGTGACCGCCAAGGGGCCTTTTCCACTTCCACGGCCTCTCCAGGCACTGAGGGGAAGGCATTGCTCTACCTCTCCCTGACATTTTGCTCCGGGGCAGATCCAACCTTACCTGGGGCAGCAAACTTTGTCCTGGTACCTGGGCCCAGCTCGCCAGGGATGTGGGCAGAGCACCAGCCTGGGCATCAGGAAGCCAAGTTTCAAGGACTGTCTTTGAGTCTGTCTGTATGACCTTGGGCCTGCCACTTCTCACAGACCCTAGGTATCCACAGCTGTGACATGGGGGCAAGCGGCTTTGTTTCAGCCTAACCCAGGAGCTTAGTAAAAATTGCATAAGACCAGGGGGAAGAGTGTCAGCGTGGGGTGGGAATTCCCGCGGCCTCCACCTGCTTGCTAGGGGCAGGATCTCATTCAGGCTGCCCTGGAAGCACCTGCTTGGCCCTGCCACCTTCCTCCAGGGGAGGGCCAGATGGCATCCTGGCTTGGGGCGGGTGGGACCTACCCAGGCTCTGAGACTTTACTGGCCTATGCCTGAGGCCTCTTTTCCTTTAACTCCCTAAATTATGATGACTCCAAGTCCAAGCCCACCCTTCCCAAAGATTGGGAGGTTCCGCCGTTCCCAGAGGCTCCTCCTGCGGTGCTCCCAAGACTTCCATAGACCATCTGGACCAGTAGCCCATCCCGCAGTTTTCTTGGGGGCAGAGGAAAACGCTTCTTTCTCCTCCAGCTGAATCAGCTGGATCCCAGTGTCCTGGCTGTTTGGTGATTGGGCAAGATTGAATTTGCCCAGGTAGGCGTGAGAGTGTGGGTTTTAAATTCGAAGCTCAGGCCATAGTTTCAGAGAATCACCCTTACCCCAGACCTTCATGAGACAGTGCTCATGAAGCCAGTGCGTTTCCCAGAACGAACACTAGGCGGCACCGTTGGTCCACACTCAGAGGCCCTTGGCGCCAAGACTGCATCTAGAATCGCTCAAACACCTGTTTGCAGACCCCATGCACCAGCTGGAGGGGCCGTAACTGCAGGACTGCGCCTACTGAGTGACCCATTTCCTCCAGGAGGAAAGGCAAGACACGCTTACACGGCCATTTGTCTCTTTTCCCAATGCGGCGGTGCACTTTCGCTCTTGGGGGCTGCACCCCAGACATAGCTGGCACCAGAGCAGGGTGCTCAGGTGGTGGGTGCTCAGGGCCCTGCCCCAGGCCACTGGGCCGTTTTGATGACCTCGAAGGTCACAGGCAGAAAATAGGAGCAGGATTTCCCCTGGGGAAAAGTTCTCCTGGGACATCTTCTGCTCTTCTGTACATTTCTAGATGCAAATAACTCCTTCACCAGGCAGTGAGTGGCGTAGGCTCTGGAGCCAGGCTGCCTGGGCTCCAATGCCAGCTCTGCCACTTGCTAGCTGTGAGACTGTGGACAAACCACTCAGCCTCTGTGTGCCTCAGTTTTCCTATTTGTAAAATAGAGGCCATAGTGGTACCTATTTTGAAGACTAAGTAAAAGAATTCAAATAAAGAGACTTGGCACAGAGTAAGTGCTCAGTAAATGGTTACTGGTATTATCATTAGTATTTTTGCTATTATTGTTAACAGTGTTAACTGAGTTTCAGAGGCCAGCCTGTCTAAGCCCCAGGCCCAGCTCTGCTCAACCTTGTAGGCACAACCCCTTCTTAGGCACATCTCACCATGCCTCAGTTTCTTTCCCCAGACGGGTCTCTACTCCCACCTCGCTGACTTTCTGCTGTTCTAGGAATAGTCCCCACACAGTGCAGCCTCCAGGCCATGCCACATGTCCCCCGACCTCCCAGTTCCCCAATCTTCCGGTCTATAGAAATTCCTGGTGGTCATTTATCACATCTACAAAATTGCCCCAGCGGTGCCTAGAGAAGGCCTCTTTCCCACGCTAACTCCAGGCAGATTCTCCCCACCCCTGCCACCATCTGGGTGATGTGAGCACCCATCCAAGCTCCCATGGTTAAGCCCAGGCTCTCCAGGCCTTGGGGCAGGGGGTCCCCTTGCTAATGAGGGTCCCGAGGAATTATGGGAACCTTTAGCCCTTCTCTTGGGCAGCCCCAGGGAGTGGGGACACAGGCTCCTGCTGTGGCTGGGTCTGCATAGAGCCCCCCAGCCCAGGACCCAGCCTCTCAGACCCCACCAAGCCCAGGGCTTGCCCGAGGGAGGATGTGGCCACAGCGACACGGGAGGAGACTGGCAGTTCCAGGAAGCAGCCCCAAGCTTGTGGCCCTGAGCCCCACTGGGGTCCAGGCCCTGGGCAGGGACCACTTCCTGGAAATGTCTCACTGGGTGTGGGGGAGGGACTGAGGGAGATAGTGTGGAGCCAGGCAGGGCCCCTCTTCCCCCTTCCTCTCTCTCCCAGCAGAGCCCAGATGGGGCCCTGGGGCCAGCTCTTGGGAGCTTCCAGACTTAGCAGGAGGATGGAATGGGGTGGAGTCTGGGGGCTGTTGTTCAGGGCCAGGGACTCAGAGCAGGCACTTGGTGAACGGATGCCATGTAAATGTCAACAGGACCACAGATTAGGAGATTTCTGTGTGTGGTTTTGTTAGTGTTATTTCAGAAAAGGGTGTGTGCATGTGTGTGTATGGGGGGGCTATTGAAAATAGGGTTGCCAGATAAAATATCAGATGCCCAATTTGGGAGACGTACTAAAACATTATTCATTGTTTACCTGGATTCACATGTAGCAGGGTATCCTATTATTGATGTATTTTGATTTTGCTAAACCTGGAAGCTCTAATGAGAAGAGCATTGGCTCAGGAGTCCGGGGTGTGGACTCTTCACTCTCTAAATCCACCCAGGCTGTGCTGAGGGGGAAGCCCCTCTGCCCACTGGATGAGTCCCCCTCATTCACAGCCCACTCAGCTTGAGGTGTTCCTATTGCCAGCCAAAGCCACCACCAGAAATCCCAAGGGGTCTGCCTTGGGTGTCCCCACCCCTGCTGTCAGCCCTGGCGCAGACCTAGCCCCCATCCCCTGTAGAGGCGCCATGGACCTCCCTGCCTCCCCACTCCCAATTCCAAATTCACCCAGAAGCCAGAGGGTGTTTTCCATCCTGCAGCCTGCCCGTGTCCACCCCTGCGGAAGCCCTTCCACAGCACCCCCTCTTCATTGCCACACTCCCCAGTGGAACTTGAAAGGCCCACGGTCCGGCTTGTGTCCCCCTCTCCAGCCGTGTCTTACCACTCCTTCCCCCTCCTCCTCGGTGCTGCCACACTGAACAGCTTTCGGTTCCCTGAACAGGTTCTTTCTCATCTCTGGGCTGTTCTCTGTCTGGAAGGCTCTCCCTGTGTGTCTCATTTGTGGAGTGATGGCGACACATCCTTCAAATCTCAGCCTTGCACATCCTCATTCCCCTCAATGCAGACTTCAAATCTAGGGTGGGGCCTCCTTTCAGCCCCACCACTCCCGCCCTTCCCCCATGACAGACGTTATTTCTTTGTATTATGACTGTCCCCATCTGTCTCAGCTGCCAGACCGAGGGCATTTTGGAGACAGGTGCTGTGTCTCATTGGCTCATTCATTCACCCATCATGTAATTGTTAAACACTTGTTATATTCCAGGCACTGTACTAGTTGCTGAGGATATATAAATGAACAAGTCATCACATTCTTGTGGGGGAGGAATGTCTCACACTAAACAGTTTAACAAATAGACATAAGATATGACAGGTGGCGACAAGTGCTGAGAAGAAAAATTGAGGAGGGTGAGGGAGTAGAGTGGCCAAGAGCCTGGGTTTCAGCAGAGGGAGCTGGAGAATGAACCCAGGGGCGCTGGAGCTGGGGGCGTGGGAGAGTGTCAGAGAGCTGGCATGAACTGGCAGGTTGCCTGGAGGGGAGGGCTGGTTCCAAAGCCAGTCTTATAGCAATTTTTCCATTTCTTGATAGTGAACTTTGGAAGAGCTAGGGGTGGGGAAGATGGGAAGTTGAACCACCTCTGAGATAAAACTCTCTGAGGGGGCTGAGGTGGTCCTGGGTTGGGGTGCCCCCTGCTACTGGCAAGAGAGAAGCAAACTCAATATGGAGGTAAGCTTCCCTTGGTTAGGCCAGGAGGATGCCCAGAGTGAGACGAAGCAATGGGCTTCAATATAAAACTTACCCAAATCACAAAGTAAGCCACCGAGTGAGAGTCGGCAGAAAAGAAGGAAGCAACAGATTTTAGACCCCAGGGACGGAATACAGAATAGCCATATATGACACGTTTAAAGAAACACAAGATGCAATCGCAAAGATGAGCATATAAACGAATAGAAATGAAGAGAGACAGAGAGATTTGGGGGAAAACAAATGGAACTTCAAGAAATAAAAAGTATTATCTCAAGTTGGATGTGGTGGCTCATGCCTTTAATCCTAGTGACTCAAGAGGCTGAGGCGGGAGGATCACTTGAGGCCAGGAGTTTGAGACCACCCTGGGCAACATAGCAAGACCCCTGTCTCTATAAAAATCAAAAAAATTAGCCAGGCATGGTGGGGCACACCTGTAGTTCCAGCTACTTGGGAGGCTGAGGCGGGAGGATTGCTTGAGCCCAGGCGTTTGCGGCTGCAGTGAGCCGTAGTCACTCCACTGCACTCAAGCCTGAGTGGCAGAGCAAGACCTTGTCTCTACTAAAAAAAAAAACATAAAAAACTCTCAAAATCTAAAATTCAACAAACAAACAGTTGAATAGAGAATTAATTAGCCCAGCGTGGTGGCATGTGCCTGTAGTCCCAGCTACTCAGGAAGCTAAGGTGGGAGGATGGTTTGAGCCTGGGAGGCAGAGTTTGCAGTGAGCCGAGATTGCACCACTGCACCCCAGCCTGGGTGATAGGGCCAGGCCTTGTCTTAACAACAACAACAGAAAAAAAAAAAAAAGAGAGAGAGAGACAATTAATAAGCCTGGACTTATATACATAAAGCATGCAACAGAGATAAGAAGATGGATAACATGAAAAGAGATTAAGAGATATAGAGAATAAGAATGAGAAGATCTTATATATTGGAGTCCCAAAAGAAGAAAATAAAGGGAATGGGAAAGAGGTGGTATTTGAAGATGAAATGGCTGCAGGTTTTCCAGAAGCGATGGAAAAACACAGTCTCAGAACCAGGAAACACGAAATATCTCAAGCATAATACATAAATCCATGCTTATACACATTTTATTGAAACTACAGAATGTCAGAGGGAGAGAAACGATGAAAGCAGGCAAAGAGAAAGGACAGATTGCCTACCAACGACCACAGAACGTGAGCTGGCTCCTCAACCACCGTGACAGAAGCTAGGAGGCAGCAGTAATAGCTTTAAAGTGATGACAGCAAATAAATGTCCACTTAGAAGTGTGTCCAGCAGGGGCCAGGTGCTGTGGTTCACGCTTGTAATCCCAGCACTTTCGGAGGCCGAGGTGGGCAGATCACCTGAGGTCAAGAGTTTGAGACCAGCCTGGCCAACATGACGAAACCCCGTCTTTACTAAAAATACAAAATTAGCCAGGTGTGGTGGTGCACGCCTGTAATCCCAGCTACTTGGGAGGCTGAGGCAGGAGAATCGCTTGAACCTGGGAGGCAGAGGTTGCAGTGAGCCAAGATTGCGCCACTGCACTCCAGCCTGGGCGACAAGAGCAAAACTCCGTCTGAAAAAAAAAAAAAAAAAAAAAGAAGTGTCCAGCAAAACTGTTACTGGTGGAAGGTATCCGAGTTACCGTTGGTGAATCCGTCTGGATCTGCAGCAACCTCTTGCCTCCTCAGAAGAAAGAGTTTGACTGAGGGGTATAAGGCAGAAGGAGAGACTGAGGTAAGTTTCAGAGCAGGAGTCAAAGTTTATTGAAAAGCTTTAGGGCCGGGAGCAGTGGCTCACGCCTGTAATTCCAGCACTTTGGGAGGCCAAGGCGGGTGGATCACTTGAGGTCAGGAGTTTGAGACCCCCCTGGCCAAACATGGTGAAACCCCATCTCTACTAGTAAAAACACAAAAATTAGCTGGGCCTGGTGGTGGGCGCCTGTAATCCCAGCTACTCGGGAGGCTGAGGCAGGAGAATTGCTTGAACCCAGGAGGCAGAGGTTGCAGCGAGCAGAGATGGCGCCACTGCACTCCATCCAGCCTGGGCAACAGAGCGAGACTCTGTCTCAATAAACAAAACAAAACAAAGAGCTTTAGAACAGTAAGGAAAGGAAGGAGAAGAAAAGTACAATGTGGAAGAAGGCCAAGTGGTTGACCTGAGAAACCGAGTGCGCAGCTTGGCCTCTTGACTTGGGGTTTGATACCTTGGCATACTTCCAGGATCTTGGAAGTAAGCTGCTTCCCACTCCGGAGATCTTACTGGGAAGCTGCTGATCAGTTGCAGGTGTTTTCTATTAGGAGACTGCCTTTCCCCCGTACTGGCTGTGACCAATTACTAAACAGAAACAGTTAACAACCACTTGACCACCACCTGATGGTCACCCAGCACTCCTAGTGTGTGTGTGTGTGTGTGTGTGTGTGTGTGTGTGTGTGTGTGTGTGTGTGTGTGTTGGGGGGAAGTCCTTTCCTGCCCTGCTCATACCTAACTAGCTACCTACTGTAATAAAGCTACCATTCAGGAACCAAGACAAAAAGGAAAAAAATACATTTAACATTTACAGGTAAATAAAAGCTGAGAATGAGCCAAAGAAACTCCCGAAGGATGTACCTCAAGAAGGAAGATGATTCCAGGTCAGCCTAAGATGCAAGAAGAAGGAATGGTGAGGTTAGAAAATGGTAAAAGGCTGGGTACAGTGGCTCACACCCATAATCCCAGCACTTTGGGGGACCAAGGTGAGAGGAGAGCATGAGTCCAGGAGTTCAAGACCAGCCTGGGCAACATGGTAAAACCTCGTCTCTACTAAAAATACAAAAATTAGCCAGGCATGGTGGTGTACACCTGTAGTCCAGGCGACTTGGGAGGCTGAGATGGTAGGGTCACCTGAGCCCAGGGAGGTCAAGGCTACAGGGAGCGGTGATTGTGCCACTGCTCTCCAGCCTGGGTGACAGAGTGAGACCGTGTCTCAAAAATAAATAAATTTAAAAAATAGTTAAGTGTAGCTAAAGCCAATCCAAAAATCATCTGTATAAAATAATAATTTTATTTGTGATATTAAGAAGAAGGAATGTGAAATGTTGGAGAATAATAGTGTATAAATCAGGAAAAGTAAGACTGGAGTTACAGTGTCCTAAAGTGTTAGCTAGCATTTGTGCGGAGGGGTAGGGAGGGTGTTAAGATATTGTTTAATATGAGATATCATTAATTAAATACACGTGGTAAAACTTCAAGGGTTTAATTGCCTTTAGCTCAAAAAAAGCAATTTCAAGGGCAACAACTGAAAAAAAAAATAAAACTGGAATGTAGACATTTTATTCCAGTAGAGAGAAAAAAGTGGGGTAGATAAAACAATCAAATAAAACTCAAAGAAAAAGAAACAAAAAGTGGAACTAATAGAAATCCAAAAGTAAGATAATACAAACATACCCAAATATATCTATAATTATAATAAATATAAATGGACTAAATGGATCAGTTAAAAGGCAGGAGATATTAAGATTGAATGCAAAAACAAAACCCAGGTATATGCCATTCATAAGAAACGCAGCTCAAGTAAAAGGACATGGAAATGTTGAAAGTAAAAAGATGAATCAAGGCTGGGTGTAGTGGCTCACACCTATAATCCCAACACTTTGGGAGGTTGAGGAAGGAGGATCGCTTGAGCCTAGGCATTCATGACCAGCCTGGGTAACACAGTGAGACCTCATTTCTAAAAAAAAAAAAAAAAAAATTTGAAAATCAGCAATGCTTAGTGGTATGCACCTGTAGTCCCAGCCACTTTGGAGGCTGAGGCAGGAGGATCACTTGAGCCCTGGAAGTGAAGGCAGCAATGAGCTGTGATCATACCACTGCACTCCAGCCTGGGCAACACAGTAAGACTGTCTCAAAAAAAGAAGAAGAAAAAAAAAGATGAATCAAGATATGTGAAGGAAAAAATAACCAAATGAGAGACTGTGTAGCAATTTTGATATAAAACAAAATATGTTTTAAAGCACAATGCACTAATAGAGATGATCACAACATAATGATACAGTGTTTAATTCACCAAGAAGATATAATAAAGTAGCCTTAAAAGGTATAAGGCAAAAATTGGGCCGGGCGTGGTGGCTCACGCCTGTAATCCCAGCACTTTGGGAGGCTGAGGTGGGCAGATCACGAGGTCAGGAGATCAAGACCATCCTGGCTGAATGGTGAAACCCTGTCTCTACTAAAAATACAAAAAATTAGCCGGGCATGGTGGCACGTGCCTGTAGTCCCAGATACTCAGGAGGCTGAGGCAGGAAAATGGTGTGAACCCGGGAGGTGGAGGTTGCAGTGAGCTGAGATCACACCATTGTACTCCAGCCTGGGTGACAGAGTGAGACTCTGTCTAAAAAAAAAAAAAAAAAAAAAAAAAAGTATGAGGCAAAAATTGAAAGAAGTTTTTAAAACTCTACATAATTGGAGAGTTATGCCATATCTATGAATTGGAAGACTCAATATTGTTAAGTTGAAAGGATTCCCTAAACTGGGGAGATTCAATGATATCCCAAGCAAAATCACAACAGACTTTTTTCCCCACAAAGGCACAAAGGCAATTTAATGGAGGTAAAGGATAATCTTTTCAACAAATGGTACTGGAACAAATAAGCGTCTATACGCAAACAATATGAACCTCGACCCATATCTCATACCATGGACAAAAATTAAACGAATCATAGATCTAAACATAAAGTACAAAGCTATAATACCTCTAGAAGAAAACATAGGCAAAAATCACTGTGACTGTGGTTAGACAAACAAATCTTAGGACACAAAAGCAGGCAAAAATAGATAAACTAGACTTCATTCATAGAGAAACCAGACCTATTTATAAAAAATAGATAAACTAGACCTCACCTCTGCTTTTCAGAAGACACTCTTAAGGAGAAATAAAACAAAAAACTAGAAGAAAAGCTTTGCAAAAATACATATCTGACAAAGGACTTATATCCAGAATAAATAAGAACTCACATGCCAGGTGCGGTGGCTCACACCTGTAATCCTAGCACTTTGGGAGGCTGAGGTGGGCAGATCACCTGAGGTCAGGAGTTCAAGACCAGCCTGGCCAACATGGTGAAATCCCATCTCTACTAAAAATACAAAAATTAGCCAGGTGTGGTGGTGCATGCCAGTAATCCCAGCTACTTGGGAGGCTGAGGAAGGAGAATCGCTTGAACCCGGGAGGCAGAGGTTGTAGTGCACCAGATCGTGCCACTGCACTCCAGCCTGGGCGACAAGAGCGAAACTCTGTCTCAGAAAAAAAAAAAGGAAAAAAGAACTCTTACAACTAAAAAAAATATAATCAAATAAAAGATGGACAAAAGGCTTGAACAGACCTGTCACCAGTGAAGGGATATGAATGGAAAAGAAGCACATGAAAAGATGCTCAACATCTTTAATTATAAAGGAGATGCAAATTAAAGCCACAATGAGAATATGCTATACATCTATTAGTAAACTACATAAAAAACAAACACAAAACCCCAAATTGACTATACCAAGTGCTAACCAGGGTACAAAGCCGCTGGCACTGTCATACACTGCTGGTGGAAATACACATGGTACAGTCACTTTGGAAAACAGGTTGACAGTTTCTCACAAGTTAAATATACACCAACTTTATGCTCTAGCAATCCCACTCCTAGATATTTCTCCAGAGAAATAAAAACACGTCTGCACTGATACCTGTATGCAAACATTTAAAACATAACAGCTCTACTGAGACATAGTTCATATACCATAAAGTTAACCTTTAAAGTTTTCCATGTGGTGGTTGTGGTTATGAAACCATTACCACTGTCTAAGTTTGGAACTTTTTCATCATTCCAAAGAAAGACCTCACACTCGTTAGCAGTAACTCCTCACTTCTCTCTCCTCCCAGACCCTGGCAAACTATCTGCTTTCTATCTCTGTGAATTTGCCTATTCTGGACATTAATTATTCAATATAAATGGAATCACATATATCACAAGTAGAATATTTTGTTTGGAGCTTTTTTTCTTAGCATGATATTTTCAAGGTTCATTTATGTTGTAGAACATATCAGAATTTCGTTCATTTTTTGGCTGAGTAATATTCCACTGTGAATATACCACATTTTGTTTAACAATTCATCTGTTTTTTTTTTTTTTTTTTGAGACAGAGTCTTGCTCTGTTACCCAGGCTGGAGGGCAGTGATGCAAACACGGCTCACCGTAGCCTTGACTTCTTGGGTTCAAGTGATCTTTCCACCTCAGCCTCCCAAGCAGCTGGGACTACAGGCGCATGCCACCACGCCCAGCTAAATCTTTTATTTTTTGTAGTGACAAGCCAAACTACTGGCCTCAAGGAATCCCTCTGCCTTGGTGGCCCAAAGTGCTGGTATTACAGGTGTGAGCCACCAAACCCGGCCTGGGACTTTTTTTTTTTTTTTTTTTTTTTTTGAGATAGAGTCTTGTTCTGTCCCCCAAGCTGGAGAACAGTGACACAATCTCGGCTCACTGCACCCTATGCCTCCCAGTTTCATGTGATTCTCCTGCCTCAGCCTCCCCAAGTAGCTGGGACTACAGGTGTGTGCTACCATGCCCGGCTAATTTTTGTATTTTTAGTAGAGACGAGTTTTGCCATCTTAGTCAGTCTGGTCTTGAACTCCTTACCTCAGGTGATCCTCCCGCCTCAGTCTCCCAAAGTGCTGGGATTACAGGTATGAGCCATCACGCCTGGCTGGGACTTTTTAAGCTATTAAAAATATAATGTATTCTGAGAGTGGTGGTGATTGCATAACTGTATATATAAAAACTCACAGAACTGTTTAAAAAGTAAATTGTATTGTGTTTAAATTTACTCCAAAAAACTTGACTTTTAAAAGTTGATAGAGGCCGGGCCCAGTGGCTCATGCCTGTAATCCCAGCACTTTGGGAGACTGAAGCGGGCGGATCACGAGGTCAGGAGTTTGAGACCAGCCCAATCAACATGGTGAAACCCTGTCTCTACTAAAAACACGAAAATTAGCCGGGCGTGGTGGCACATGCCTGTAGTCCCAGCTACTCAGGAGGCTGAGGCAGGAGAATCGCTTGAACCTGGGAGGTGGAGGTTGCAGTGAGCTGAGATTGCACCATTGCGCTCCAGCCTGGGTGACACAGCGAGACTACATTTCAAAAAAGAAAAAAAATTGATAGAATAAGGAGAAACTGACAAATCTACCATCAGTGTGGCATATTTAAAATGCTCCTCTTAACTATTGATAGCAAAGCTGAAAAAAATAGCAAAGATTTGAACAACAGGAGTAACAAACTTGATCCAATGGACAGTGATTGAATCTCACCTTCCACAGTTAGGCGCTCCCCAAGCAATCATGGACCATTTACAAAAATTGATTGTATACCAGATTAGAAAGCAAGTTCCAAAGCATTTCAAAGAGGTACAGGTTGATTATCCCTTACCCAGAATGCTTGGGACCAGCAGTGCTTTGGATTTTGGATTTTCTTTTTTTGTATTTGGAATATTTGCATTATATACTTACTGGTTCAGCATCCCTAACCTGAAAAATTGAAATCCAAAAGGGTCCAATGAGCATTTCTTTTCTTTTCATTTTCTTTCTTTCCTTCCCTCCTTCCTTCCTTCATTCCCTCCCTCCCTCCCTCCCTTCCTTCCCCCTCTCTTTCTTTCCCTTTCCCTCTTTCCTTTTCTTTCTTTCTTTCTTTTTCTTTCTTTCTTTCTTTCTTTCTTTCTTTCTTTCTTTCTTTCTTTCTTTCTTTCTTTTTCTTTCTCTCTCTCTTTCTTTCTTTCTCTCTTTCCTCTCTTTCTCTTCTCTCTCTCTCTTCTCCTCCCATCCCCCCCTCTGTTTCTTTTTTTGAGACAGAGTCTTGATGTGTTGGCCAGGGTGGAGTACAGTGGCACTATCATAGCTCAACAAATCTACTGGGCTCAAGGGATCCTCCTACCTCATTCTCCTGAGTAACTGGGACTACAGGTGTGCGCCACCACACCTGACTAATTTTTAAAATTTTGCAGAGACAGGGTCTCACTATGTTGCCCAGGTTGGTCTTGAACTCCTGGGCTCAAGTGATCCTCTCACCTCAACATCTCAAAGTGCTGGGATTACAGGCGTGAGCTACTGTGTCCAACCCCAATGAGCATTTGAGTGTCATGTCTGTGCTTTAAAAGTTTTTAATTTTGGGCCGGGTGTGGTGTCTCACGCCTGTAATCGCAGCACTTTGGGAGGCTGAAGTGGGCAGCCTTGAGTGAACTCCTGAACTTGAGATCAGGAGTTCAAGACTAGCCTAGTCAACATGGCAAAACCCTGTTTCTACTAAAAATAGAAAAATTAGCTGGGCATGGTGGTGCACACCTGTGGTCCCAGCTACTCGGGAGGCTGAGGCAGGAGAATCACTTGAACCCAGGAGGCAGAGGTTGCAGTGAGCCAAGATTGTGCCACTGCACTCCAGCCTGGGTGACAAAGCGAGACCCTGTCTCAAAACAACAACAACAACAACAATCACAACAAACAAATAAAAAATAAAAGTTTTGAATTTTCGAGCATTTTGGATTTTGGATTTTCAGATTAGAGATACTTAGCCTGTATTTGATAGAGGACATTCTTTGATCATGATGCAATGAAGTTAGAGGGTAATAACAAAAATACAATTTAAAAAATCCCATATATTTAGGAATTTGTCACAGAGATCAACAAATTGACCAAAGAAACAGAGAAGAAAGCCCCGAGGCAGATGCAGGCATACGTGGAGCTCTGACCTATGCCAGTGGGAACATGTCAGATCAGTGTGCAAGAGGGACTATTCATTACTCAGAGTGGGTAAAATTGGTTGTTCACGTGAGGGGAAAGTGCAGTTGGATCACTACCTTACAGCATAACCGAGAATCAGTTCTAAATGGATTAATAATAGAGGTACAACTTTAACACAGTTTGGAGAAAACATAGGTTAATATCTTTCTGCCTTCAGGGAAATAATTGTTAAATAAAATACACCAAAAAGCATTAACTGTGATAAAATAATTGATACAATTAAAAAATAACAATTTTGTTTCCCCAAAGATACCTTAAAGCAAATGAGAAGACAAGCTAAATCTGGGAGGAGACATATACACATATACATGCATAATCAGGATTGGTATCAAAAACCCCTATGAACTAGCAAGAAAAGGAAAAATGTGCAAAAAAGCCATGAACCAGCATTTCACCAAAGATGAAACAGCTATGGCCAAAAATTATGACAAGATGCTTAATTAAGCCCACTGGCTATTAGGCACGTGGAAGTCAAGACCACAACGAGACATCATCTTTCACGCATTTGATGGGTAAACATTATGATGTCTGACACTGCTAAATGTTGGCGAGGACGTGGATCAACAGGAACTCTCAAAATTGCTGGTGAGAGTGTAATTAGTTCAAGCACTTTGGAAAAGCAGTTTGGCATTTCTCTTCGTGTAGAGCAGGGGGCCCCAACCCCCAGGCCATGAACTGGCTGGGGAGGAAACATTATCACCTGAGCCCCACCTCCTGTCAGATCAGTGGTAGCGTTAGGCTCTCATAGGACTGAGAACCCTATTGTGAACTGTGCATGTGAGGGATTTAGGTTGTGGGCTCCTTATGAGAATCTAATGCCTGATGATCTGAGGCAGAACAGTTTCATCCTGAAA
Organism: Homo sapiens; assembly: GCF_000001405.40. Taxonomy (NCBI): domain Eukaryota; kingdom Metazoa; phylum Chordata; class Mammalia; order Primates; family Hominidae; genus Homo; species Homo sapiens. The sequence continues at coordinate 57,589,347 of NC_000016.10, forward strand.
CCATTCCCCACTCTGCCCCCCGAATCTGTGGAAAAATTGTCTTCCATGAAACCAGTCCCTGGTGCCCAAAAGGTTGGGGATCACTGGTATAGAGGCACACTGGCACACCTATGCTCTGGCAAATCTACCTCCCAATTATATCTAAGGGGAAGCCTTGCAGTGTTCCTAGAGATGCACCTGAGAATGTTCATAACAGCGTTGTTAGTAATCACAGAAACAGCCCGACTTCCCCTTGATAGGAGAGTGGCCTTGTGGTATCGTCACAGAACACAGCATTCTAAACCTCTGAAAGCAAATGGACCGCAGCTACCGGCCACAGCGTGGGCAAAGCTAAGACACATAAATGCTGATAAAAAAAAAAAAAAAAGTTCCAGCGACTACAGTTTCATACCTTTAAAAAATTTACTTATTTATTTTACTTTTTTTTTTTTTTTTTGAGGCAGACTCTTACTCTATTGCCCAGGCTGGATTCCAGTGGTGTGACCTTGGCTCATTGCAACCTCCACCTCCTGGGTTCAAGCAATTCTTCTGCTTCAGCTTCCCGAATAGCTGGGACTACAGGTGCTCACCACCATGCTCAGCTAATTTTTGTATTTTTAGTAGAGATGGGATTTTACCATGGAGGCCATGTGATCCTCCCGCCTGAGCCTCTGGAGTAGCTGGGACTACAAGCACACCACCACACCCAGCTTTTTTTTTTTTTTTTTTTTGTAGAGATGGGGGTCTCACTATGTTGCCCAGGCTGAGATTACAGGCATGAGCCACCACACTTGGTCAATACCATTTTTTTTTTTTTTTGGAGACAGTGTCTTGCCCTGTCACACCCAGGCTGGAGCACAGGGGTGCAATCTTGGCTCACTGCAACCTCTGTATTCCAGGCTCAGGCAATTCTCCTGCCTCAGCCTCCCAAGTAGCTGGGGTTATAGGCGTGTGCCACCATACCTGGCTAATTTTTTGTATTTTTAGTAGAGACTGATTTTTACCATGTTAGCCGGGCTGGTCTCAAACTCCTGGCCTCAAGTTGATCTGCCCACTTCGGCCTCCCAAAGTGCTGGGATTACAGGCGTGAGCCACCGTGCCCAGCCCATACCTTTTTAATAATGGTTTAATGCCAAGAAAAAGTAAGTAATACATATCTAAACATTTATACTGCACTGAACTATACAGACAGAGCTGTAAAGGGCACATACAAAATTCAGGATGCCTCTGGGGAGGGGAGGTAGGGAAGGGTAGGGGAGACTCAGGAATTTGGATTTTGTTTGCAGGCAAAGGAGGGGGCACTGTTTCTAAGAAGAGTGATGATACCACCGTATTTTTGAAAAATGATGAAACAGCGTGGGGGAAACTGCTATGTCTTCCATATTCAGGCTTTTTCTTCTCCAAGCCCATTTCCTCCCTAGCAATGATAAGAGGAAACACTCCCGGTGAGTCAGATGCTCTCTAAATATTTTTGCTCATTGAATGTTGACACCAGCCCTGTGTTTAGTATCATACTGGGAACACGCATGAGGAGCTGAAGCACAGACAGGTTAAGTGGCTCGCCCAGGGTCATACAGCTACTCAGTGCTGGAGCCGAGATCACACCAGGCTCTGCTTCCCCACCAGAACCATGAGAGGTTGGGAGTGACCCTACTGGACAGGGATATCTGAGGTGGGAGGGGCTGTGTGTGTGTTCATGCTGAGGCCGGCATGCTTAGAACATCAACCTCAATTTTCCTCCCCACAGGGTCTGGCGGGGAGGCAGGGAGCAAGGTCGTTAAGGGTGGGCAGGGTGAGGGGGAGATTCCCTGACAGCCTGGGTTCTGCCCCTCACTTGCTACAGCCCCATGCAAGCCTCTTGGCCTCTCTGAGGCTCTGTATTCTCACCTGTCAAATGGGGGTTGTCCTGGGTGTTACTTCAAAGGCTGATGAGAAAGGAGTGAGTGGGCTGGCTCGCAGCCTGGCGTGACAAGCAATGCATAAATGTATGCCGTATGAGTCACCTGTCCACAGTGGCCCCAGCAGCTCTCTCTAGCAGGGCTTGGCCAAGACTAGGCCCTCAGAGTGTAAGAAAACTCCTGGTTTGGTGCCTAGCACACTATAGATGTGGCAAACTGTGTCCAAGAACGTTTTGATGGGAGCCTGCCTGGATGACAGAAGATCAGAGTGTGCTGGAATGTCCCACCCTTTCCAGCTTCCCGCAGCCAAGCCAGGCTCTGGGGTGATCATTCCCATAGCAACCACCAGGGGTCAGGGCTGGCCACTTCTGCCTTCTTCCCTCATCCTAGCGCCTGTGGGTGGCGATGACATCCCTGCCATCTATGAGGTGGAGCATTTCCAACAAGAGCAGGTCTGAGGCCCTGGCTTGACTTTCCCAGTCCTGTTAAAGAAGAACATTGGTAAGTGTGTCCATCCATCTGTTGGGCTGTCTGTTGTTCTAACATTCACCCATCCATTTATACTTTTGTCCATTCATCCATTTATCTGTTCATTCTTTTGTCTGCCCATCCATCCATTATCGCTTTATCTTCTATTTCCTCATCTATCCACTCATCTGTTCCTTCATCCAGCCATTCATCTGACTATCCATCTGTCCATTGTCCTCCACCCGTCATCCATCCGTCCAGCCTCCATCCATTCATCCGTCCATCTATCCATTCTAATGTCTGCGTGTCCATCTGTCCATCTATCCATCCATCCCTCCATCCATCCATCCTTCCTTCCTCCTTCATCCACTCATCTGTCCATTCTAATGTCTGTGGGCTCTTCTCTTCATCCATCCATTCATCCATCCATCCATCCATCCATCCATCCATCCATCCAATGTTCAAACACCTGTCCATCTACTCTCTGTCTATCCAACATGCAGTGAGACCTTCTGTTGAGCCAGGACTTGCTCAGCTCCAGGGTACCCTATGAAGGAAGGAGACCCAGTTCCCGTTTCTGCCACTTCACTCCCCCACCTTTGGCTCACCATTTGCTGGGGAGTGGAGAAGTATCAGGCAGTGATAACATAATGAGATGTGTGTGGTCAAGCTCGGAGGTGCAAAAATGTCATATTAATTTTTATGTCACATTAGACTCCAAGGCCTCTCATCCCCTGCATGGGTAGGAAATTCAACTCGTCCTTTATGGAGAAGGCCATTGGGTTAAACAAAAATCTGGGTGGCTTAGGTTGCTTGCTCCTGGAAGGAAAACGGGGGAAGGGCCTGGGGTTAGACTCCGTGGTCTCAACGTGGTTCTCTACACCCTCCAGGCTTGGTCCAGGGAAAGCTTTGCTAAGGCTGAGAAGCCTGCTTCTCAGAAGCACGCCAGACCTGCTTTCAGGCTGTGCCTGGCACAGTGGGAGCCTCTGGTCTCAGACAGGCCCTGCATTTGTTCCCTTACCCAGGAACCCAGGCTGCAAGAACACAGACCTCTCTGGAGTGCCTGGAGCCTGTGGGCTTGGCTGCTTCCGCTAGCAGATGTTAGAGTGGGG